>NC_000016.10:57592803-57895833 GCF_000001405.40 Homo sapiens
AGAGAGGTGTCACCCAGCCTGGCCCGGGTGGTGCAGGGCAGGAGGGTTTCCTGTGGGAGGTGACTTCTACACCAAGACCACAGTGTTGAACAGGGTTAGGCAGGAGAAAAGGGAGGGGAAGTGGCACAGGCTTGGGGTTGGGTGTGGTGGGGGTAGAGAGAGAATGCAGGAGAGTGGGCTTGGTGAGCAGAGTGGCGGTGGGAGGAGCTGGAGAGAAACCAGAAAAATAAGGAAGAGCCAATTATGGTGCTCGGGAAGTAGGGAGATACTGAAGCTCTTTGACCAGGGGAGTTCCTGATCCAAGTGGTGTTTCAAGAAGATCACTCTGGCAGGGGGTGGAGGCAGGTTGGAGTGGCATCCAGGGAGGAGTAGCTGTCCTAGATTGTGCTTGGGCATCAGCAGCAGGTGATGATGAGCCACCACACCTGGGTCATGCTGCCAGCAGGAATAAAGGGAGGGGCGAGGCTCTGGGAGGTGCTGGGAGGTAGAACCCACACTGCAGGTCAGGTGAGGGTGAGGGTGAGGTTGGAGCATCATCAAGGCTGATGTCTTGGACTCTTGGGTAGTTGGGGTGGCCTGTCTGTAACTAAGATGGGGAACCCAACGGAGGGAAGAGAATTGGTGATGTGTGTGGCTCGGTTTGATTGATAGATTGGTGGATTTTCAGAGACAGGATCTACTCTGTTGCCTAGGCTGGAATGCAGTGGCACAATCAAAGCTCACTGCAGCCTCAAACTCCTTGGCTCAAGTGATCTTCCCATCTCAACCTCCTGAGTAGCTGCAACTACCGGTGTGCACCACAATGCCCAGCTATTTTTAAATTTTTCTGTAGAGATGGGGGTCTTGCTTCATTGCCTAGGGTGGTCTTGAACTCCTGGCTTCAAGTGACCCTCCTGCTGCAGCCTCCAAAAGCATAAGGATTATATGTGTGAACCACCATGCCTGGCCTAGTTATTTATTTTTAAGCATTAAAAAATGGTAAACATTTAAGCATTAAAAAATGGAGAATACACAGGATATGCCCATAGTTTAACAAAAATGATAAAGCAAATCCCTGTGTAACTACAACCCTGGTAAAGAAAGAGAACATTGCCACCACCCCAGAAACCCCCACCGCCAATCCTCCATCACAACCTCACTGTGCTGGAGAGGGAAACGTTATCCCGACACTTAGAGGAATCTCTCTCTCACTTTTATTTATGGTTTTACCACCTGTACAGTTTTAAACAATACAGTTTTAGCTCTTTAGTTTTAGTTTTAAAACAATACAGTTTTAGTTTTGCTTATTTTGGAAGATTACATGAATGAAACCCACCTTCTTTTACTCAATGTTATGTTTGTAAGATTCATCTGCATTGCTGTATGTAGAAGTAGTTTGTTCCTTTTCAATGCTGTATACTATTCCAATATGTGAACATACTATGATTTATTAATCCATTAATTTCCTGGTGGATGTTGGGATGTTTGCAGGTTAAGGCTGTTACCAACAATGCTACTATAAGCATTCTTATAGGTGAGTAGCGGTACAAATATGCATGTACTTCTGCAGGCTATGTATCTGGAAGTGGACTGTCTGAACCACAGGTCATGAGCATCTTCAATGTTACTAGATAATGCCTGCTTTCTAAAGTGGTTGAACAAATTTACAACCCCTCCTAGCCATCCTCCACCCCCTCCTAAGTGTTCCACAGAGCCACACTCCGTATGGCTAATTTGGGGAAATCTCATGGGTGGGTCGTGATGGCTCATTGTTATTTTAAGTTGTATTTCCATGGCATGTATTTATCGGCCAGTTGGATTTCCTCTTTTGAAGTGCCTATTCAAATGCTTTTCCAGCTTCTTATTGGGTCATTTGGCTCTATAGCAGACACATCTGGGGCCAGCATCACTCTGATTTCAGCCTCCATGTCATGGAGCCTCCCACTGCCAGAAAGCCAGTCTTTCCACATTCTACCCAGGGACTCATCCAACCATGTGGGAAAGCCTGGAATGGTGGAGAAATGCCCCAGCCTCCTGACCTTCATGGAAACAACCCTGGAACTCTCAGGGGTCTTGGAGGTCCCAAAGGAACCCAGTCTTCAGTACCTACAGCAGTGACCTTGACAATGCCCGTGAACTGGGTTTCTACCTCCCTCCCCCACCAACTCTGCTGCTGGCATGACCTTCTAGATATACTGCCTGTACCCAAGTCCTTGTCTCAGGCTCACTCTTCATTTCTTCCTTGTCGATTTGTAGGAGCTATTTATGTATTCTGAATAGTATTCCTTTGTCAGTTATATTATTGTCAATATATTCTCCCATTCTATGAGTTTTCTTTTTCACTTTTTTTTCCCTGCCGTCTTTTGACAAACAGACATTCTTTAGTTTAATATATTCTAATTGATTAAACTCTTACTTCTGGTTAGTGTTTTTTTGTGTTTTTTTTTTTTTTTTCAGAAATCCTTCCCTGCTCCAAAGTTTATGTTATGGCTTGGAAGTTTAATAGCTTTTCACCCTTAGGTCTTTAATTGATTTTGGTAACTGGTATGTGCTAGGGTCAAATTTCATTTTTTTTCCCGTAGGGATACCCAACTGTTCTAGCACCATTTATTGAAAAGTCAACTCTTCCTTCAATATTCAGAAATGTCACCTCTGTCATAAACCAGGCAGCCACATGTGTATTAGACTGCTGGTGAGTGCCCTATCTTGTATATTTCTGCATGTCTTAAATTAGTTCTCAATTAAGTTTTAGAATTTTATCTGGGTTTTGCACATTTCTAGTTAGATTTATTTCTCAGTACTTGATATATTTTGAAGTATTATAAATGATGGTCATATTAGTTATCATGGCCATGTAACAAATCACTCCAACACTCAGTGGCTAAAACAACAAAATTTATCTCCCCATTTTTGTGGGCCAGGAATCCAGGGGTAGCCTAGCTAAGTGGCAATGGCTCAAGGTCTCTTATGAGGTTTCAGTCAAGTTGGAGGACAGGGCTGAGGTCTCATCTGAGGGCCTGACTGTGGAGGTGATCCACAGGGCTGCCTCATGACATGGCAGCTAGCTTCACCCAGAGCAAGTGATCTGAGAGAGAGAGATAGTATCAGAGAGAGAGAGAGAGAGAGAGATAGTATTCAAGATGGAAGCCACACTCTTTATAACCTAATATCAGAAGAGACATCCCATTATTTCTGCCATATTCTATTCATTAGAAGTGAGGCACTAAATCCAGCCCATACAAGAAGATGAGATTACCCAAAGGTGTGAATACCAGGAGGTAGGGTTCACTGGGAGACTTCCTTAGAGGCTGCCTATTGCAGTGATTTTTTAAAAATCTTCATTTCCTGATTCTTATGGCTACTATATAATTTTACATAATTGTTATTTTTTTTTGAGATGCAGTCTCACTCTGTTGCCCAGGCTGGAGTGCAGTGGTGCCATCTTGACTTACTGCAACCTCTGCCTCCCAGGTTCAAGTGATTCTTGTGCCTCAGCCTCCTGAGTAGTTGGGATTACAGGCACATGCCACCATGCTCAGCTAATTTTTGTATTTTTAGTAGAGATGCTGTTTCACCATGCTGGCCAGGCTGGTCTTGAACTCCTGGCTTCAAGTGATCCACCTGCCTCAGCCTCCCAAAGTGCTGAGACTGCAGATATGAGCCACTATGTCTGGCCTCACAATGAAGTTTTAATATTGATTTTTGTATTCAGCAACCTCGCTAAACTCTCTCATTGAATATAATAGTTTATCTGTGGATCGCTTTGCATTTTTCATATACTCGTCATATCATCCGTGAATGATAAAGTTCATTTTTATCTTTCCAATCCTTGTATGTTTTATTTTATTTATTTTCCTTGGTACACAGGCCAGGTCTTACAGAACAAGAGTTTAACAGCTGTGGTAATAGTGAGCTTCCTTATCTTGTTGCCAATCTCCAAGGAAAAGTTTTTAACAGTTTCACCTGAAAGTATACTATCTGTTGTAGTGTTTCATATACCTGTATATTAGATCAGATATTATCAGATTTAGGGAGTTCCCTTCTGTTTCCAGTTTGCTAAGGGTTTTTGTTTGTTTTAAAATCATGAATGAATGTTGAATTTTGTCAAACATCTCTTTGCATATATTGCGATCATTATTAGAATTTTCTACTTTGATCTTTTAATGTCATGAATTACATTACTTTTTTTGGTAATGTAAAATATGTATTGCATTTGTTAAACCTAACATTATCCTTTTATATGTTACTGGATTTAGTTTACTAATTTTTTAAAAGAATTTTTGCATCTATGTTCTTGAGAAAGAGTAGCCTGTAATTTTTCTTTCTCATACTGTCTAGTTGGGTTTTGGTGTCAAGAGTATGCCAGCCTCATAAAACAAGTTTGAGTCTTCATAAGAGTTTGGGGCCAACTTGGAATTATTATTTATTCCTAGAATGTTTGGTATAACTTGCCAGTGGAACTGCCTGGCCTTAAGTTTTCACTGTGGGAAGATTTTTGAGTATAAATACAAATTCTATGTCTAGGACTGCTCAGAATTTCTATTTCTACTTATGTCAATTTAGGTAAGCAATGCTTTTCTAAGGCTTTTTATAAAATTTAAATTTATTGGCATAAAGTTGTTCACAATATTATCTTTTTATATAATTATGGTCATAATAATGTTCTCCTTTTTCTATCTGACATAGGTTATTTGTGCTTTTCTTTTCTAGTGTCTTCGTTATTTCTCCAGAGGTTTGCCAATTTTACTAATCTCTTCAAAGATCCAATTTTGATTTTTGTTCATTTTCTTAATTGTATGCTTACTATTTTATTAGCTTGTGCTTTGGTCTTCCGTATACTTTTTTTGGGGGGGGGTTGAATTTACTATTCTTTTTCTAAGCTCTTTGAAATGGATGATTAGCTCATTAATTTTAAGTCTTTACTCTTTTCTATTATATGCTATATATTTTCCTGTAAGTATTAACTTTAGAAAAATTTCCTACCAGCTTTGATATATATGATATTTTCATTATTATTCACTTCAAAATGTTTTTAGTTTTTAATTGTAACTTCTCTGTGATATAAAGAAGTATGACTTTAAATTTTCCACATTATGGGGATTTCCTAGTTTTTTTTTTATTGATTTTAGCTTAATTATATTGTGGTCAGATCAACATTACATGAATTAGAAATTTATCAAGATTTGTTTTAGGCTCAGAATATGAGCCAAATTTGTAAATGTTCTGCTTGAAACATGTATCTTACAACAATTGTGTGCAGTATTCTACATATGCTCATTAAGTCTAGTTTATTAACAGAGTTCTTCAAATCTTTTATACCCTTTTGTCTCGTTTTTAAAATTAAACTGAAAACGGTGTCTTAAAATCTTCTATTATGGCTGTTGATTCTTCCATAGTCCTATTAAGTTTTGCTTATATATTTTGAGATTATGTTGTAGGCACAAATTTAATATTGTTATGTCTTCCTAGGAACTTTTGCTATCTTTTCCTCTGGTTTTTGCCTTAAAGTTTATTTTGTCTTTCATGAATATAAATACTTACATCTGCCTTTGTGTGTGTGTGTGTGTGTGTGTGTGTGTTTGTTAGATTCAGGGAGTACATGTACTTGTTTGCTACATGGGTATTACACGTGTAATGGTGCAATTGGGCCTCTGGTATACCCATCATTCAAATATTGGACACTGTACCCCATAGGTGATTTTTCAACTTTCTCTTCACTAGTATTTTTACCTTATTACTTTAAACTTTATTCTTATGCTTTAAATGTATCTCTTCTTTTGTAAACACCATAATTCCCCTCCCCCCATTCCAAATCAAGTCTGAAATTCTTTGCCTTTTAACAGGAGCATTTAGTTCATTTACATTTAATGTATATGTAAATGTAAATACAGTGTATACTTTGTAAATGTTTAGAATTAAATCTATTACTTTAGCTTATCTGCTTATTCATTCTATTCTTTTTCTCTTCTGTCTGGACTTAAAAAATGATCTGCATATATTTTATCATTTAATTTTGTCCCTTAGCTTGTTTGAAATGACATACTGTTTCTATTCCTTTAGTGCAGGGATTAGAGACCTTTTCTCTGTAAAGGGCCAGATAATATATATTTTATGGTTTGTGGACCACAGTCAGTGGGTTTTTTTAGGGTCTGTGGGCCGAAGTCAGATTTTTTATAGCCATTTAAAAATCTAGAAACCATCCTTAGCTTGCAGGCTATATAAAAACAGGCTGAAATCTGTATTTAGCCCATGGGCCATAGTGTGTAACCTCTTCTAGTGTTCACTCTAGAAATTATAACATGCACACTTAACTTATCAAAGCCTACAATTAATGAAAACCTTTACCCCTCTGGACAACACATTGATATTAGAACATTTTGAGTCTATTGCCTTCCTAACCCCAATTCCTATGTTATGTTGTCTGGTATTTACATTTTATTCCAAACTCTACTAGATATGATCATTACTCTTTTTTTTTTTTTTTTTGAGACAGAGTCTTGCCCTGTTGCCCAGGCTGGAGTGCAATGGCACGATCTCGGCTCATTGCAACCTCCAAGGTTCCAAGGTTCAAATGATTCTCCTGCCTCAGCCCCCCGACTAGCTGGGATTACAGGTGCGTGCCACCACGCCCAGGTAATTTTTTGTGTCTTTAGTAGAGATGAAGTTTCACCATGTTGGCCAGGCTGGTCTCAATCTCTTGACCTCGTAATTTGCCCACTTTGGCCTCCCAAACTGCTGGGATTACAGGCGTGAGCCACCATGCCCAGCCAATCGTTACTGTTTTATACAGTCAATGTTTGTGTACATTTGTCTGCATATTTACCGCTTTCTCTGCTCCCTATTCTTTTTGTGACCTCTACCTTCTACCTGGATCGGGTCCCTTCCACCTCAAGTACATGTGTTAGAATTTTCTTTAGTGAAGGTTTGCTGGTGGTGAACTTTCTAAGTTTTTATTTGCCAGAAAGTGTCTCTATTTTGCCTTCATTATTGAAAGCAGGACTCCCAGGATTCTAGTCCCAGCTCTGCCGTCACAGCTGCTGTGTGACTATAGCCTAGTCCTGTCTTTTTGGAACTCAGGTTCCCCACAGGTGAACCAAGAAGAAGGGCTAATCATCTCTCCTCCTGCCACCAGCTCATGTGACCAAGTCCCAGTGTTGTGTCTGTACTGGGAAGTTTGGTATCAGAGTTGCTGAGGTTACTCAAGGACCCTGAAGAGCTGGGTGATATAGAGTGAACTGATGAGATGAAGCTGCCTCCCCGGAAGCCACAGTCTTCAGGATCTGCAGCCTCTAAAGTTACCACACCTATAACACTTATGTAGGTTTACCCAATATCTGGCTTGGGCCAGCAGTTTCTCACAGGTATGGATGAACAACTCCAGGTGAGAACTTGCTGCTCCCCTTGGGCTGGACAAACTCAAGAAGGCAGGCTTCCCTTTCTGGGCCACCAGGCCCACCTGAGACCTGCCTTCCCTGAGCACAGGCAGGACACCTGGGTTCCAGCCTCTAACTCTGTACCTCAAGCCAGTCCCTGCCCCTCTCTGGGCTCCAGTCCTCCCCACCCCTTCAATGAAATGGGGTAAGGCACAGTTGAGATAAGTCTCAAGGGCTCCTCCTGCCCTGCCCATCAGGCAAAGGTGTGATGGTCCCTCCTAGTGTGTGGCCGTGATCTCCGTGTGCTCCCGCGGGGGAAAGGGCAGTGCTGAGTGTGGGCACTGGGGCAAGGGCCTGACCACCGAGCACTCCTCACCTGTGCCTGCAGGTGGCAGCAGCAGTCACCTGGCAGAGCCTGCGGGATTGCAGCAGCTAATTTGCGCATGGCCTGGGAAAGGGTCAGCTCAGTCATGCAAAGAGTAATTCCCAGCCCACCGGTGCCCGCTTCCTGCCTCTGCCAGGCCCTTGCAGGCCCCTTGCCTCCATCCTCAGAGGAAGCCAGAACTGGGAGAGGCCTTGGCCAAGGCGTTCCGGAGTAGGTGCTACAGGCCCTCTGTGGCCAGAGCCTCTGCTCACCCAAATCCTGCCCTGCTTCCAGGCCAACCCCCGAATCCATTCTCATTTAGTTAGGGCTGCCAGCCTACAGGCAGTTAACTGCTCCCATTGGCAAAAACTTTAACGAGCAATTAATTAATAAAACTCATGACTGCCAGCCCCACTTCTTTCAGTGGGGACTGATTTTATTAACTACTCAGTCATTGGGGCAAAGGCTGATATCCACGTGTTTGTATCCTTCAGGATCCTAGGGCAAATGAAGGGTGACTGATTATCATTTCTGGGCAATGTGCTTTACAAACCACACTTCTTTCGGTCCTTACAGTGAGGTACTGCTATTATATCCATTATACAGATGAGAAAACTGAGGCCCAGAAAGCTTACTCTCTTCCCCAGTGTCACCTAAGTAGAAGTGAATCCCAGTCTGTCTGACTCCAAAGGTATTTTCCCCTTGAGTGGCCCCTCAAAAACTGCTCTGTTTCCTTTTATGGCTGGAAGGTCCCAGAACCTATGAGCTAAGGGGCTGTTTTCTGACCTTCTCATGGCCTTGCAGGAAGGGACTGTGTGGACTCAGGTTTGTTCCCAAAGCAACTCCTTTGCTTTAGTGATGAAGGGAGCCCTCACCCCTCAGCTCTGTTGAGACAGCCCTTCTGCCCCTCTCCCTCCCCTCTAACCACCAGCCTCCAACCTGAATGAAGTTCCAGATTCTTCCTCTGCTTTTCCCTTACCTCTTTCATGTCTGTGGGTGCCCCCTGAGGCAGTATTCATGTGATTTCAGATGGCACAGGAGATTCATTTTTCATTTTACATCATCACTAGTCCTTTGTTAATTATGGCGTGTGCCCTTCATCATTTAATGGGATATTATATTTTATTTTAAAAGTGATCATTTTGAATTACATGTAAAAAGGCCAGTTGATCTAGAAGAAAATATTAAGTAAATATCTGGCCGATTTCTAGACTTGTTAAAAACCACTGGAACAGAACTTGCCTACCTGAAGCTGGGGAGACCTGGTTTGGATTACCCCATTTCTTCTTAACCAAACCAGCCCAGGGGGGAGTTTGTCGGCCTCAAGAGAGAAGTCCTGTCCCTTAGGGGAAGTTGGCCTTCCTCCTCAGCCAACAAGCTCATGCTGCAGCTGGGTTATTTATTTCTCTGAAAATGTTATCAATGTGCTACACACGTGTGGTTTCAGGTAATCGTGGTTGCCTGGGGTGGAAGTGGAGGGGAGGTTGACTGCAAAGAGCCCCAAAGGAACTTTCTTGAAAGATGGACGTGTTCTATATTTTGGTTGGTGTGTTTGGTCCGAGAGTGTACATGTTTGCCAAGTCATCAGTCATCACCCTGTACACTTAAAATGTGGAAATTTTATTGTAGATAAGCAAAGTTGATTTGAAAACAACATCAAAACCAAAGCCACAAATATTCACTGATGTTGGGAGCCACTCATATTCATTTCTCGTTCTGACTTCTGAGCTGCGAGGTGAGCTCTGTGGTCAGCTGCACTGTGGCGTATGCTCGCTGTCATTCAGCTGACATTTCAGCTGCTCCCAAAGTCAACATTTATGAGTTCTGCCATGTGCCAACCACAAGAAGAGTGCATAAAATGACAGAGAGATGCCTTTGACAAAGGGACATCACAAGTCAGGCAGGAAGGGGTGACTTAATCGGTAAATGGTGTTGGGACAATTGGTTCTCCATTCAGATGCAAACAAAACTAGATTCTAATAGGGCAACTATAGTTAATAGGATTTATACTTTATTTCACAATAGCTGGAATAGGAGATTTGGAAGGTTCCCAATGCAAAGAAATAATAAATGCTTGAGGTGATGGTTATCCTAATTATCCTCATTTAATCATTACACATTGTGTGCATGGATCAAAATATCACAGGTACCTCATAAGTATGTATGACTATTATGTATCAATTTTTAAAAAGACTCACCCCACAAAAAATTAGACCCCTACCTCACATCATGTTCATGCACACAAAAATTCCAGATGAATTAAATGTTAAACAAATACTCTAAAAGTATTAAAAAGAAAATATAGGAGAGTATTTTAAAAATAAATTCCAATCAGAAAAAGCCTTTTAAAGCAAGACATGAAAGCCAGAAATCATAAAGGAAGACTACATCTAACTATATAAAAATGCAAAACTTTTCTATGACCAATGACACCAAGAATTTAGCTAAAAGCATGCAGAAGATCCTGGGAAAATATTTGGCTCATATGTATTAAAGAATTAAGGTTTCTAATATGCAAAGAGGTCCTATGAATCAGTAAGAAAGTGGCAAAAAGCCCAATTAAAAATGTGTAAAGCAGGTGCCCTGCGTTGCCCAGACTAGCGACAATATAGTCAGGATGGCTAAAGATGACCCCCAAGAAACCAAAAGGTGAGATGTCTGCTTATGCCTTCTTTATGCAGACATGCAGAGAAGAATGCAAGAAGAAAAACCCAGAGGTTCTTGTCAATTTCACAGAAATTTCCAAGAAGTGCTCTGAGAGGCGGAAGACAATGTGTGGAAAAGAGAAGTCTAAGCCTGACGAAATGACCGAGGTGGATGAAGTACTCTATGATTGGGAAATAAAGAATTACGGACCAGCTAAGGGAGGCAAGAAGAAGGACCCTAAAGCCCCCAAAAGGCTACCATCTGGATTCTTCCTGTTCTGTTCAGAATTCTGCCCCGAGGACAAATCCACAAACCCTGGCATCTCTATTGGAGATGTGGCAAAAAGGCTGAGTGAGATATGGAATAACTTGAGTGACAGTGCAAAGCTGCCTGACATCACTACGGCAGCAAGCTGAAGAAGTGTGAGAAGGGTGTTGCTGACTCGAAGTCTGAAGGAAAGTTCGATGGTGCAAAAGTTAAAGTTGCCTGGAAAAAGGTAGACAAGGAAGAGGAGGAGGAGGAGGAGGAATTAAAAAACCTGTTTATCCATCTCCTTGTCAATATCTTAGAGCAGAGGAGTGTCATAATTCAGGGGTCCCCAACCCCCGGTCCATGGACCAGTACTCGTCTGTGGTCCATTAGGAGCCAGGCGTCACAGGAGGAGGTGAGCGGCAGGCGAGCAAGTATTACCACCTGAGCCTCCTGTCGGATCAGCGGTGGCATTAGATTCTGAACCCTGTTGTAAACTGCACATGAGAGGGATCTAGGCTGAGTGCTCTTTAGGAGAATCTAAATAATGCCTGATGATCTGAAGTGGAACCGTTTCATCCCAAAACTATCCCCCCCTTGCCCCCACCCTTGACCCCCGTCCGTGGAAAATTTTCTTCCATGAAACCGGTCCCTGGTGCCAAAAAGGTTGGGGACCGCGTTGTAATTGACTCATCTCTCATTTGAGAAATATCTGTTGCCCTCATTAGTTTTAATTACAAAATTTGATCACGATCATATTGCAGTCTCTCAGAGTGCTCTAGAAATTGTCAGTGGTTTACATAAAGTGGCCGTGGGTGTCCAGAGCACCCTGAAACTGTATCAAAGTTGTACATAATTCCAAACCTTTGTTTGTTTGTTTTTTGAGACACAGTCTCGCTCTGTCGCCCAAGCTGGTGTGCAGTGGTATGATCTCAGCTCACTGCGGCCTCCACCTCCTGGGCTCAGGCGAGTCTCCCACTTCAGCCTCCCCAGTAGCTGGGATTACAGGTGCATGCCACCATACATGGCTAATTTTTTTATTTTTTGTAGAGATGGCATTTCACCATGTCACCTAGGTTGGTCTTGAACTCCTGGGCTCAAGCCATTCGCCATTCGCTGGCCTTGGCCTCCCCAAGTGCTGGGATTACAGGCATGAGCCACCATGCCCAGCCTCCGAACATTTTAAAATGAAAACGCCCTCTCATATTCTCACTCTGTGCACTTTGCTGTTGGTGTGACAGGGCATTTAAAGATGTTTCTGGGCCGGGTGTGGTGGCTCACGCCTGTAATCCCAGCACTTTGGGAGGCCGAGGTGGGCGGATCACCTGAGGTCAGGAGTTCGAGACCAGCCTGGCCAACATGGCGAAACCCTGTCTCTACTAAAAATACAAAGATTAGCCGGGAATGGTGGCGCATGCCTATAATCCCAGCTACTTGAGACGCTGAGGCAGGAGAATCGCTTGAGCCCAGGAGGCGGAGCTTGCAGTGAGCCGAGATCACGCCACTGCACTCCGGACTGGGGAACAGAGTGAGACTCCGTCTCAAAACAAAACAAAACAAAACAAAACAAACAAAGAAACCATGTTTCTGGCATTTTTATAATTTGTAAGATGGTGTTAACTATATGGTTATTGGCTAGAAATCCTGAGTTATCAACTGTATATGTCCATAGTTTGTAAAAAGAATAAAACAACTGAGGCAAGCTCTTGATGCTTCTTGTCTGGCATTGAGGCTGTGGGGAAGGTGCCTTTTGGAGGGGCCATAGCTGAGGGCATGCACCGTGACGCTGGACCGGTTCACTGTGCAGTGGGCATTCATTTAGCTTCAAGTTGTCTTGTTTCTGTATGTGGTGACAGCTTTCTGCTGCCATTCTTAGCTAAAGGCAAAGATGGGGGGGTCAGCTGGCATGAGAAGTGTTTAGTTTTTGTTTTGTTTTTTAGTTAAGTGTGGTGGTTTTTAAACTGTAGAACTCTTCATTGTCACTAAAGCAAAGAGTCACTGCAATGAAAATTCAGGAACCTTCTGTCCTTAAACACGATTTGCAACATTCTGTTATTTTTTTTGTATGTTTAGAATGCTGAAATGTTTTTGAAGTTAAATAAACAGTATTACTTTTTTTTAAGTTGGATAAAGGATATAAACATTTGTTTCACAGGAGAAGAAAGAAAAATGGATGATGAAGTTATGAAAAGATGCTCGGTTCCACTCAGAATTACAATAGGCACACTAAAACAATTTTTTGCCCATCTAGAGAGATCACCTCCACATTGGAATGGATATGGTGGGACTCTAAATTGGTACTACTTTTTAAGGGGGCAATTTAGCAGTGTCTATACCTTTTTTTTTTTTTTTTTGACAGGGTCTTGCTCTGTCACCCAGGCTGAAATGCAGTGGTGCCATCATGCTCACTGCAGCCTTGACCTCCCCGGCTCAAGTATCTGTACAATTTTTAATTGCACAATTCTATAACCTAGTAATCCCTCTTTTAGGTATCTTTCCTTTAGAAATAGCCACACATGTGCCAAAATATATATGTTAATTACTGCAAAGTGTATTACACTAAAAAATAGGACCCCTTAATTTCCTTCAATAGAGGGTTATGGCTAAATAATTTTACATTCTATGCAATGGAATTCTTGTACTAATGAAAAAGAATGAGATGGAACTATACATTCTAAGCAGAAATGATATCCATTATAACTTGGCAAGAGAAAGAAAAGCGAGTTGCAAACACTGTGTATAGCATACTAATTCTATTTTTGTAAAACAATTGCATATATGAGTTACAGGGATATATAATAATCATGTCTCACAATTACTGAATGTTTACTGTGTAAACCAGGAGCATTGAATTATTATTACTCCCATTCTACATATGAGAAAACAGGAACAGAGTGGTTAAGTAATTTGCCCAAGGCGGCACAGCTGGTAAGTTACAGAGCAAGGATTTGAACTCTGGCAGCCCAACTCCACAGTCTGAGCACTTAACCCTATACATGGCCTTATAGGCCAAAAATACTTCTGTTAACAGGGATGACCTGGAAAATCAAGAGTGGAGGGGCAGAGTCACTTTTTAATAAATACTTCTAAATAGACATTAAAAAACACGAACTGGTAAAAAGGACTTATAGTGAAAAGCCCATTTCCTGCAAGCCCCCTCCCCAGAGGCAACCACTTCTAATAGTTCGAGCTCATGTGGCAGTTACCTCCAGAGCCATAAATAACATGCTTCTACTGCCATTTCCTGATTTATTAACCTTGGACATTATCTGTTGACTTCTGCAAACACTCAGAAAAGGAAAAATCAGCTTACCTTTTTTCTCCTTTCTTCTTGTTATGTTGCTTCTTGATAACAGGGCTGTTTGCTGCCACTGGCTCTGGTCTAGACCCTGGGCTGGACACTCGACTGCACAGTTGCCAAGACTAGGCCCACTGAGGTTCAAGACAAAAAAAGGACTTGCCCAAAGTCACTGTGAGTTGGTGTTGGAGGTGGCACCCGGCTCCTGGTCTGCATGGCTCCAGGGCCGGGCTGTCTCTGTGATACCCTTTGGCCCACCCTGAGAGTGACTCTTGTGCCACCCCTGGCCCACGCGGGCCTCTCTCACTCTGGCAGAGGCTTAGCATGGCTGGGGTGGGTGGCCCTGGCTGGGTTCCTGCTGAGGGCTGGCTGAGGCCTCCTGCTCAGGCAGGGGCAGGCATATTTGCAGAGCAGCAGGTGCAGCCTCCCAGTGTTTGGCCAGCCAAGGGTTTTATTCTCCAACACTGCCAGACCTAGACTTTGACCCTCAGGGACTTCTACACAGCTGGCCTTCCAGATCACTGCCCCCATAGCCTCTATATCTCCAGGGGAAAGGCTGAGCCAGTGGCTGAGACTGGCAAAGTGCCGAGCACCAGATACCCAGGACCCTTAGGGCGAAACCACCAGACTCACATGCCCCAACCCTGCAGTCGCCTGGGGCCATCGGGCGGGTGTGGGGGTGGGGGTGTATAGGGGTAGAAGGAGCTTTAAAAAATTACCAGTGCTGGCCAGGCATGGTGGCTCATGCCTGTTATCCCAGCACTTTGGGAGGAATAGGCGGGCGGATCACTTCAGGTCAGGAGTTTGAGACCAGCATGGTCAACATGGTGAAACCCTGTCTCTACTGAAAATACAAAAATTAGCCAGGCGTGGTGGCGCATGCCTGTAATCCCAGCTACTCGGGAAGCTGAGGCAGGAGAATCACTGGAACTTGGGAAGCGGAGGTTGCAGTGAGCTGAGATGGCACCATTGCGCTCCAGCCTGGGTGACAGAGCGAGACTCCATCTCAAAAAAAAAAAAGGATGTCCTGAAGGCCTCTTCAGCCCAGAGAGACATGGGCTTGCGGGCTGGGGGCAGACAACAAAGAAACACGGGGTTGGGGTGCAAGCCTGGGACTTGTAGGGGCCCCTAGCAGTGAAGAAAGGCTTTGCCTAGCACACGGTGGCCCCTGAGAGGATGCGGGTGGCACCGTCCCCACCCTTGTAGTCCCTTTTCCCAGACATGAGCTCCTGGCAGCTTTATTTGGGGTAGAAGAAGGGTCCTATTTATGCTGTGTCTGCATTTAGAGAGGCTGTTCACTCATTAAGTTACAGACTCTCCACCTTTCTGAACCTTGGTCTCCCCATCTGTAAAATAGGTATATGGTCAGGAATGGGGGTGGGAATTGAGGATTGTGGGAGCCTTCTGGCTTTAAAATTATGAGCCCTGAGGAAGATCCCTGAAAGAGCCTGTGCTAGGTAGGTTATGACTTTGGCTGCTGTAACAAACTCAAGAGTAAGAACCCATATAAACAAGAAGCCGTTTACTTCCATCCCATGCGAGGGACCAGGCTGCACGGTGGCTGTGGTGGCTCCTGGACTTTGGGCACTCATACCCCTTCCCTTTTTGCTCCTCCAAAAGGGTGCACCTCTTTTTTTTTTTTTAAGAGCATGATGCAAGATTTGCAGACTTTACTGATGGCTGCATCCTATTGTTCAGAACTTGGTCATGTGGCCACCCAGTTCCAAGGAATGTTAGGTAATAATGTCTTTATTGTAGGGGGCCATGAACCCAGCGAAAATATGGGGTTCTATTGGTATAGAAAGGGGAGGTGGATATTGAGGAACACTTACAGCTTCTGACATGGAATCTAGAGGTTGCTTGCTGGAGGCCCCGAGGGTGAGATCTAGCCTTAGATAGGCTTTGTTTGGCTTATGACAGGCTTTAAATCCATTTGAATTCATCCCCAACTTATAACAATTAAGATTTTCACATTAATTTCAAATTTCTGGCTTCCTTGAAAAAACTGAAGGATCAGGCCACATGGGGCTCATATTTCCTCAAGTGACAGTTCACTGGAGCTGGGCAGTGCTCCCCAGCGTGGCCCATACTCTCCAGTTCACCCCAGGTCCCCCCACTCCCTATTGTCTCCCACCCTGCCCCCTTCCTGCTCTCATTAGCTTTGCAGCCTGGCCGCTGTGGGCACTGTAGTTTGTGACTCTTGGCCCAGCATAGCCACCAGCTTCTATAAACAAGGAAATTGAGGCACAGAGAAAAAAAGAGACTTGCCCAAGGTCACCCGGTGAGCCTGGACAGAGCTGGGACTGCAGCTGCCGCCTGCACACTCAGCCTCAGCGTATTTTCTGCCGCACTGGTCACTTGAGGATCACCTGGGTGCCCATGTACTCAGGAGAAAGGATGGCCCAATGGTTAAGCCATTAGGTGCTGGAATCTGATGGGTCTGGGTTTGAATTTTGGCTCTGTCACTTTTCAGGGCAAGTAACATCAGCTCTCTGAGCCTTATTCTTTTTCTTTTTTTCTTCCTTTCTTTTTTTTTTTTTTTTCCTTTTTTGGACAACGAAATGGGATAATAATAGAGATTGCCTAATAGAATCACATGAAGATTAAAGTGAGGTGCAGGGCCATTGGCACTGACGGTGGGCACCTCCTTAAATGTTACACCCTAAGTATTTTGCTCATTCCAGCCTGCACAAGAAATCCTAATTCCTGGGACAGGAATTCAGAGACAAGTGGAAAAGCAGAGGGCTTTATCCCCATGCAACTGGGGGATGTGGCTGACCCTTCTGTGCGATGCAGCTCGGTTTCCTCCCTGTGGGGCCACAGCAGCCCCAAATTGCTGAGATCAGTCTGCATGGCAAATAGAATCTGTGTCAAGCTGCAGAGGTGGACCTGAGCCATTCTGTGTCGGGCTGTGCCGGAAACAAAAACACCTTCTCTGTCTTAGGAGCTGCGCCCACCTGCCCTCTCTTTCTTCAGCAGCCAGAGCTGCCTGCTCGGGTGTTAGTTCTGGCATGACTTGGCGTAACCTCAGGGAGGCACCACTGCGTCTCCTGTCAGCTCTTCTAAAGCTATGCCTCCGAGTATGGCGTGCTTTGGGGCCAGCTGTGACAGCTGGGGAGCAGCCCTATGCACCCCCACTACAGTCCAACATTTGGTTTCAGATTCTATTTATATACATTATGTACCTAGATACTTGTGGGTTTGATTTGGTTTTGTTTTGATTGCACAAATAACATTAGAACAGCTATAATGGAAACAATTCTAAAATGGAAAAAAAAAAAGGCACGCACAATGCTATCAGTTGGCTCGGCTTCCTAAAAGCACTGCTTAAGTGCTGGCAATAAGCCCCGCACTGTGCTGTCTATGGTTGATCTCACTAAAGCTGCACAACCACCCAGTGAGGAAGAAACCTGTCACAGATGGAGAAACTGAGGCACCAAGGGGCAGGTCGCCTCCTCAAGGTCACACAGTGAGGACTGGAATCCACCTCCAGGGTCCTGTGCTTGCCACCTCCTCAGGGCTGCCTCTTCTTGCCTGTCATCCCTGCCACCTCTCAGCTTGACCTGGAAGCATCAATTTGACATCACTGTTCACTCTGTGCAGAGCTTTTCCAAGTGGCCCCTGGGTAGCAGCCCTGTCTTTGAGTGGGGAAACAGGTCCCTGAGACAGGTGGAGACATTGCCTTTGTTTTCTGCTTATTTCACTGAATTTTGTATTACAGTCATCCCCCAATACCTGTGGGGGACCAAATTGTAGGATGCTCATGTCCCTCAGTCATGCCCCCAACGACTTGTGCAGAGGGCCAACTGTATAAGCGTTTTCCTTTTGTTGTGACCATATGACCATGAGCTGGGGGGTGACCAGCTCTCTCAGTTTACTGGAACTGAGAGGTTTCCCAGGAGGCAGAGCTTTCAGTGCTAAGCAGAGACAGTCCCCGGCAAAATGAGATGGTTGGTGACCCCAGAGGACAAACCTGGGTTGTGCTTTCTGAGCCATCTCCTGGTGCTGAGCACTTGGACCGCTTCAGCTCTCCACGGGTCAGGCTGGACAGCCCTGTGACCACAGCTTGTCACTGGAGTGTCTTTTCTTCAGGGCCCCTCTTGAGTAGGAGGAGACCAGGCTTTGAAGGTTCCTGAGAGGAGATGTACGGGACCTGAATACAGCTTTCCTGACCTGCCCCTCATAGGAGCCTGCAGGGAGGTGAGATGGGGACCCAGGACAGGGCTGAGGGCAGGCAAGGGCCAGGGGTGTGTTGGAGCTTGCTGTTTTGGCTTGCAAGAACTGGTGGTTAAATTTTTAGGCATTTTGTGAGTTGGTTGTTAAACATAGCCACTGTTAAGAATTAAATTACATACACAAAATTAAATTACAGTCATGTGTTGCATAATGACGTTTTGGGCAATGACAGACCACATAGATGACGGTGGTCCCATAAGATTATATGGGTCATATAAAGAAAGCTACAGATAGCACTTCATATTGGCCTTGCAGATCAACTAGGGGGAAATGACTGATATTCAGTAACGGTGCTGGGACATTTGGTTTTCCATGTAAGAATATATAAATTTTAAAATGCATCCTCTAGGTTTGGATAAATGCACTCTATGATGTTTGCACAATGGCAAAATCACCTAATGACGCATTTCTCAGAATGTGTCCTTGTTCAGTGACTCATGACTGTGTATTTAAAAAGATAATAAATACTCAGAATGAAACACTTTCTGATTATTTTACCACCATCATTCGTTGTAATGGATTGAATCCTGTTCCTCTTTGCCCCAAATTCTTAAGTTAAAGTTCTAACCCTGAGTACTTCAGAATGTGAGCTTATTTGGAGATAAAGTCTTTACAGAAGTAAGCAAGTTAATTGGCGTTTATTAGCGTGGGCCTTAATCCGATATGACAGGTGTGCTTACAAAATGGGGGAATCAGACAGAGACACACACACACAGGGAGGGCACCATGTGAAGATGAAGGCAGAGATCGGAGTGAAATTTCTACAAGCCAAGCAGTGCCAAAGATGGCCAGCCAACCACCAGAAACCAGGGGGAGAGGTGTGGGACAGATTCTCTTTCATAGTCTTCAAAGGCACCAACCCTGCCAACACCTTGATCTTGGACTTCTAACGTCTAGAACTGTGAGAGAATACATTTCTGATCAAGCCACCCTGTTTGTGGTACTTTGCTGTGATAGCCATAGCAAATGAATCCATCTGTGCTCTTGAAGTTGCCATCTGTTGCACTGGTAGAGTAAAAAGAATGGTGAGCTTCTGTGCACCTTTTCCAAATGCCGTGTTCGATGTTTGCTATCTTGCAATTGGCCGTGGCAGAAGTATTTATTTATTAAAACTTTTTTTTTTTGGTAGAGATTGGGGTGGGTCTCAGGAGGTTGCCCAGGCTGGTCTTGAACTCCTGGCCTCAAGCGATCCTCCCACCTTGGCCTCCCAAAGTGTTGAGATTACAGACACTGCACCTAGTCAGAGAGTATTAAAACCACGGAAATCTACAAATGTTACAAATCAGGACTTGCTTTGTTGTTTTGTTGATTGTCTAGATAGAGTTGAGAAAGCAGTGAAATGTTATTAAGGCATATTCCATGCAATCAATGTGTCATGTCTGTAGCTGTTACATCACGAACAGCACAAACAATTTGAAAACCATGATCCGATTCAGCCAACTATTCAAAATCTGTATTCAAAATCAGACTCAGCAAAGATTCCAGTATCTGAAGACCATAATCCCACTCGGCAAAAAATTGCTCACGTCATTGATGGACAAATGAAATTCCGACACGTATCTTTGTTGTTTCCTTTTTTTTCTTGTTAATGTAAATGAAAATATCAATATAGGTATCCAAACAACACTTAGAGAGCCTGTTGTCAATATTTAGCAGCCCACCACTAATGTGGGGCGGAGGAGGCCAGCTCTGGCCCGCCCAGGACTGAGGGGCCCAAGGCTGCAGGGCCTGCACGGGTGGGTGGACCGACTGCCTGCGTTTCAGCTGCTCTGGGTGGACCAGTTCCAGTGTCTCCTCCCTGGGAGTGGGGTGGGGGGCTGCCTTCCTACCCTCTACCCTGGGAGGCTTCTGCAGGGTTTCTGCTTGGTTCCTAGTGATCTCCGGCTATCAGGACCCTGTGGTGTTAGCAGCTGAATTTGTTTTTCTTTTCTTTCTTTTCTTTTTTTTTTTTTTTTTTTTTGAGAAGGAGTCTCTCTCTGTCACCCAGGCTGGAGCGCAGTGGCGCAATCTCGGCTCACTGCAACCTCCACCTCCCGGGTTCAAGCAATTCTCCTGCTTCAGCCTCCCGAGTAGCTGGGATTACAGGCGCCCACCACCACGACTGGCTAATTATTTTTTGTATTTTTAGTAGAGACAGGGTTTCACCGTGTTGGCCAGGCTGGTCTCCAACTCCTGACGTCAAGTGATCCGCCTGCCTTTGCCTCCCAAAGTGCTGGGATTTAGGCATGAGCCACTGCACCCAGCCAGCAGTTCAATTTCTTGATGGGGAAGTAAGAGAAGAAATAAAAAATCAATGATGTAATTAATCAAGTAATTCAATAAATATGAAGGCAAATACATGTAATGAAAGGGCAATGAAAAAAGCAAACTAAAAAAACAAAAGAGTGGAGATAATTATGCCTGGTCTGGCATGCAGGAGAGGCTGCTAGGCCTAGCATTGATCGATAGCCTTTATCTTGTCAGAGCAGGGCTGAGTCCTTCAGCTACCCTCCTTGAAATATAAATCGATCCCCTCACTCCCTTTTGAATCCACCCATGGCTTCCTGCTTCCCTCGGACTAAAATTATACTTCCGTTCCTGTCTTCACAGCCCGGCTCTTTGCCCTCATCTCCTTTGCCTCTGTGCTCCAGTCACAATTACCAGATCCTAGTTTCTCCAACATGCTGAGGATATTCCTCACTCCGAGCCTTTGCACATGCTGTTCCTTCTGTCTGGTATGCTGAGCCCCAGGCCCACTCTTTCCACGGCTGGCTCCTCCTTATCCATTAGGACCTTGTTACAAACATCACCTCCTCCAAGGAGCCTTCCCTAATTACCTGGCTAAAGTGCATTCCCTATTTCATTTCATCTTCACTCTTTTGTTGTTTAGGTTGCTTTTTAAATTGCCCTCCCATTACATGTATTTGTCTTTGTATTTATTGAATTATTTGATTAATTACTTCATTGATTGTTTAATTTCTTACCTTACTTCCTCATCAAGCCATCAGCTCCATGAAGGCAGGGATGGTTTCTGGGCTCTGTCAGGTATGCAGAGCCCAGCTTGAGGCCTGGCACTTGGTGGGTACTTAGGAAATGTTCGTTGAATGAATGAATAAAATACATTCACTGAGAAACTGTATGACCTAGAGATAAATCATGGACCTATGGTCCAACAGAGATATGGATTCAAGTCCTGCCACTGGCACTTATTGCTGGTGTGCTCTGGGACAGGTTCCTAAATCTCTTTAGGCCTCAGTCTCCCTGTCTATAATCCCCTATGTAATTCCCTTCAAATGATTGTTATGGGGATTAAATAAATCAATCCATGCAGTTTTAGGAATGGGCTTGGCACAGAGAGGTGCTTGGGAGTGTTGGATGCCAGTATTCTTATAAGTAAAGGGATGTGGGACTTTGGGGTTCAGGGGTTCAGGGGTTCAGAGCCTGACTTTCCATAAAAGAGGACGGGATAACTCCAAGAGGAGTTCTTGGAAGAAGGGGCATTTGAACTGGGCCATAAAGGGGGGTGGATGGCGTTTCTCTAGGCAGAGATGGCAGTAGGGAAATCAGGAGCCAGGAGGGACATCTGGTCCCAGAAAGAGATCTGCGGGCAGGCCAGGCCTGCTCCTGGCTGGTCCCAGAAAGAGACCTGCGGGCAGGCCAGACCTGCTCCAGGGCTGGGAGGAAAGCCACTGGGTGCCAGGGATACGCTCAGTATGAGCTGCCTTGTTCTAGGCCACGGCCTCTGCCCCCAGTCTTGACATTTGGTTTTCACCTGTTTCCTCTGGGTAGTTGACACACAGCAGCTGCTGACTCTGAGGAGGCATGGGGAGGCCCAGCTGAAAATGCCCCCGGAGGAGGTGACTCAGTAGCTCCTATCTCGACCCTGGCAGAACTCAGGTAACTCAAGACACGGGGCAAACCTGAAGAGGCCCCCAGAGCTGTACCAGGAAAGCTCTGCAGTGTCATGGAACACATGGAAGTGGCCTGATGCTACTGACTCACAGAGGCTTGGTGGATTGCTTTGAGTTGTTTTCGGTCACCCTCCATCTCCTTGTCTGTAAAACGGGGACAGGCACTCCTCAGAACTGCTGGGACAGTCCGGGGAGCCTTTTGGTTGGCACAGTGTGTTTCAGAGTGGTTCTCTGTCCCCCCGCCCCAGGCATCCTCATGTGATTCGCTTGAAAACACGGCAGGACGGGTCCTGTCATTATCCCCGTTTCACAGATGAGGAACACTGAGGCTCAGAGGAGGGCCCTGACCTGCTCAGTACCACATAGCTGGAGAGTGATAGATCCAGGGCTGGAGTCAGACCCCAGACAGTGCACAGATGGATGATCACATATTGACGGAACTTGGGTGTGACCACAGGATACAGAGAGTGGAGAACTGATCTGATGAACTGACTGCAGGAGGCAGGGTAATACCATGGCCTAGCTAGCCCTCACCTCTTTTCTAGAAAGCATGGTGAGGATGGGGGTGCTGATCCTAGGGCTGGCTGCGGAGCAGTGGCATGGAGACCACCTTCCAGTTGTGGCCAGAATGGAGGAAAGTTTTCCTATTGCTCTAATATGAGGAGGCAACACTGCAGACCAGAATGAGTTAAAAGGTCAGTAATTTATTTTTATTTTTATTTTTTGAGACAGTGTCTCTCTCTGTCGCCCAGGCCGGAGTACAGTGGCACAATCTCAGTTCACTGCAACCTCTGCCCCCTGGGTTCTAGCGATTCTCCTGCCTCAGGCTCCCAGGTAGCTGGGACTACTGGTGTGTAACACCATGTCCAGCTAATTTTTTGTATTTTTAGTAGAGACAGCATTTTGCCATGTTGGCCAGGCTGGTCTCAAACTCCTGGCCTCAAGTGATCCACCCACCTCAGCTTCCCAAAGTGCTGGGATTAGAGGCGTGAGCCATTTCGCACAGACCAAAGGTTAGTAATTTAAATTCTCCTCTGGATTTTGATGTGGCAGATGTTTACTGAGCACTTAGCCACGTGCCAGCCATGGGTGGTAGCACTTAGCATTGTCTCATTTAGTCCTTACAACTCCATGGATAGATACTGCTATCACCCCCATTCTGCAGATGAGCAAACCAAGGCTAAGGGAGATAAACCAACCGGTCAGTGGAGCCGGGTACCGACCCAGACGGTCTGCTCTAGAGCCCCATGGCTAATCACGCCTCTGCTGCCTGCTCTGTGGGCTGTTTTCTAAGTAAATCTAAGGCCCTGGTACCCAGTAGTTGCTGTGCAAATATCGGGTTAGCGGATGAATACATGAATTAGTGAAAAATGGCCCAAGTAAAATAACCTGTGAGTAGGAGGTGATTTTAGAGACCATTTAGTCCTCCCTGTAGATGTGGTAAGTGTCTTATCTGCAACGCCCTAGCTGCACAACTCCTTGGCTTCCCTCTGAGACAGGTAGCTCACCCCCGACCTTGTGGGCAGCACCAGCTCTCAGAGGGAGCAGAGAGGCTGAGCCCGCGGCCCTGCTGGAGCACAAGATGTCAGAGCTGGGGACCCTTCCTGCCCCTCCACACCTCCTATGTGCCCCAAGAGGGAAGGAGTCTGCATTTCCTGAGGCCCTCCACTGAGTGGGGATGAGGGGTGGGCAGGCTGAGACTGGGCTTACCCAGGGCTCAATAAGGGGCCTGGAGTCCTGGTGGGAGTTCTGGAGTCAGACTGCCTGGGTGGGATCTCCGTCGCGTTCCTGAACCCCCTGTGCCCTATCTGTAAAACCCGCATTATAAAGTGGCTCCCTGAGGTCAGGAGTTCGAGACCAGCCTGGCCAACGTGGTGAAACCCCATCTCTACTAAAAATACAAAAGGTAGCCAATTGTGGTGGCACATGCCTGTAATCCCAGCTACTTGGGAGGATGAGGCAGGAGAATTGCTTGAACCCAGGAGGCGGAGGCTGCAGTCAGCCAAGGTCACATCACTGCACTCCAGCCTAGGGGACAAAGCAAGACTCCATCTCAAAAAAAAAAAAAAAAAGAAAAAAAGTTATAAAGTGGCTTCCGCCTCTCGGGGTATGGTGAGGAGTCTGTGGGCTGATTCCTGTAATGGGCCTAGCACAGTGCCTGGTTGCCAGGATTACATAATAGCTATTATTATCATCTGCAGCCACCAGACATAGAACTGGACACTCTCCGGCTCCACCCCTTCATCCCAGGGGTGCTGGGCTAGGTCCCGGATTGGTGGTGAGGGAGGAGTCCCAGAGCCAAAGCCCTGACCTCACAAATGCTCCCTAGGTACCTGATGAAGCAATTTCCTGACCCTGTCTCTTTTCTTCCCTTTATTTATTTTATTTTATTTATTTATTTTTTTTGAGACAGAGTTTCACCTTGTTGCCTAGGCTGCAGTGCAATGGCACGATCTCAGCTCACTGCAACCTCCGCCTCCTGGGTTCAAGCGATTCTCCTGCCTCAGCCCCCAGAGTAGCTGAGATTACAGGCATGTGCCACCACTCCTGCTACTTTTGTATTTTTAGTAGAGACGGAGTTTCACCATGTGGGTCAGGCTGGTCTTGAACTCCCGACCTCAGGTGATCCACTCGCCTCGGCCTCCCAAAGTGCTGGGATTACAGGCGTGAGCCACCACGCGCAGCTTCTTCCCTTCACTTTTAGAAGGCAAACAAGGCAAAGGCATGTGCCCTCATTTACTAGATGATCTGAGGCACAGAGAGGTTAAGAAACCTCCCCGAGTGTACCTAGTGAGTGAAGGTCCCAGCCCAGGGCCTCAGGCCCAGCCCCTGCTGCTCCATCACAAGCCAGGGACCCTGAGGCCAGAGGTCATGGGGGATGGAGCATGGGTGTCAGGCGTGGCGGAGTTGCCAGCGGGTAGACAGGAAGTCACTGGGACTCCCTTGGTGTCCTTATCAGGGTGGGTGACATCTCTGGGGCTGTGGGGAAACCCCGGAGCCTAGAGGTCAGGCTGTCATCCTGCAGATCCCCCTCTCTCTGACACTCCTTCTCCCTTCTGGTACCCCAACCCTGTCTGTACTCAAGCAGGAGACTCGTAGGGCAGAGCAGGCCTGCAGGCCCATGGGTGCGGCAAAGGTGGCATCGACTGTTGGGAATTTGCCATGGGGAAGAGGGGCAAGAGGGAGCTGGGACTGGGAATGCCAGTGGGGTCTGGGCTGGTCTTCAGGAATGGACCTGGGCTGTGGCCAGCAGATAACCCTTCTTTACTGCCTTGGGGAGTCAGAGAGGGCTCCAGTCCAGACCTGGATCCACCTCTGCTCCCATCTGACCACCTGTCCACATCCCTGTTTCACCTCTTGCATCTCATCTCTACCTCAGCTCCTTTGTTCAGCCACAGAATCAAGCTGGCCTCCTCCTCCTTGCTCCTTAAACACCAATCCCTGGTCTCAGGGGATGTCCCAAAGGCCGCTTTCCCCACTATATTCAGTCCGTGCACAGGTGTCCCTTCCCAGAGAGCATCTAAGCTGCCCATCCCACCTCCATCACTCTTTCCCCTTTCCTGGCTTATTTTTGTTCCATAATTCTTACCACTGGATTTATTTATTTATTTGAGACTGAGTCTCACTCTGTCACCCAAGCTGGAATGCAGTGTCGAAATCTCGGCTCACTGCCACCTCCGCCTCCGGGGCTCAAGCAATTCTCCTGCCTCAGCCACCTGAGTAGCTGGGACTACAGGCATCTGCCACCATGTCCGGCTAATTTTTGTTATGTTTAGTAGATACAAGGTTTCACCACGTTGGCCAGGCTGGTCTTGAACTCCTGACCTCAGGTGAGCCACCTGCCTCGGCCTCCCAAAGCACTGGGATTATAGGCGTCAGCCACTGCACTCCGCCGCCACTGGATATTTTTAATAATTACTTGCTTATTCATTTCTTGTCTCTCCTACAGTTCTGAGGGCAGAGGTTTCTATGTTTTCTTGGCTGCAGGATCCCCCATGCCTGGCACAGGACCTGGTGCACAGCAGGCCCTCAATAGACACTCGCTGAAGGCGTGGTGCATCCCCTGCCTGTCCACACTTTCATCCATCCACCGTCTGTGCTTTCTTCCCACACTTCCTCACCCATCAATCACCCAGAATTTCTCGATCCCAGGCCCTGTGCTGGTTCTTGGGTTTGGTGCGCTAGCAGGGCACACGGATCAGGAAAGAAAGAATTCCGACACTTAGGGATTGGTCCCAGCCAAGGGGGAGCCTGGGGGACTATGGGAGAAACAGTGGGGTGAGGGGAGGTGAGGGAAGGTTTATAGGGTGCATTGAGGTGCATGCAGCACCTCGCACCAGGCGTGACCCACAGTGGCACCTGATAGAGACTTTGTAGAATAAATCAGCCATTGCCCGGATGGCTTCTAGAAGGGGTGGCGGGGCTCAGACGGTGTTCTCAATGTTGAGGATGTGATGCAGGAATCAGAAAGCATCTAGAGGAGGGGTACCTGGGTGTGAGAGCTTGAGAAACTTCCCCTGGAGAATTGCCAGACTGAGACAAGGAGTGAAGGGTGGGACAGGGGCCAGGCAGGCAGGGTTAGGGGCGAGTGGGCCAAGGCCTGCCTGGAGGACTCTGCTGGGCACCCTCCCAGGATGCCTTGAGCGGTGGCCGCTGAGCTCTTTCCTGGAAGAGGCTTCCATCCCTGCCCCTTTGTCTACCTCAGTTCTCCCTCTGTCAGGTGTCCTGCAGGAGCCTGGAAACTCAGAGAGAAGAATGAGCAGGACTCCCCATCCCCCTCGCTTCCCGCCTCCTGACCCCACCAGCTGCTGGCTGGGGCCTGTTTTTATTACAGGCAGGTGAGTCTGGCCCAGGATTCCAGGCGGGGCCTGGACTGAGGGAGGAGGCAGGAAGAAACTCACAAAGAGTTGGCAGATCACGGATGGAGGGCAGCATCTCCCAACAGCCTGGGCGGCCGCTGAGACCCAGAGAACCCAAGGACTCCCCTGGGCTCATCCAGCAGCCTCTGCTTCCCAGGAGAGAGGTGCTGAAGTCCACGAAGAGGTGAGGGGTGGGGGGACTCAGCACCTAAGGGTCAGGTTGGCCCCTGCAAGGACACCTGGGAACAAGAGAGGGTGGCGGCTGCAGTGGCTGTGGGGCAGCCGGAAATGGGGCGAGACAGACAGGCGGAGCCTCACCTGGGGCTGCCCGCCAGCCCAGACAAGCTCAGACTGGGTGCCTGTGGCCCTGGGAGGAGGTGGAAGGGGAGGAGCAGGCCACACAGGCACAGGCCGGTGAGGGACCTGCCCAGACCTGGAGGTAAGAGACGGGTGGGGGACAGGGGTGGGAAAGATAAGTAGGGTGCCACTGCCAGCCTGTCCCCCTTGACCTTGGCCATCCCTCAGGTCTAGTTCAATGCCCTGAGAGTCCCGATGTGTGTGGCCTGGCCCTTGGCCTGTTCAGGGTACTGGGCGTCTCTCAGTGGAGGCCCTGGCTGTTCTGGGGTTACCCCTTGCAGTGCACAGCATGGCCGGGCATGCTGGCATGGTGGTCATCCTAGCACCGGGAAGCTGGCAGGTGTGAGGTGTGTTCCCGGTGTCCAACGGACACTGCAGGACGCAGGGCAAGGGTGACGCCGCGGAGCCTGAGCATGGACGGGAGGCAGGCGGCAGGACCTGAAGTCTCCTGCCTGCTTTCCGCAGCGCCCTGAGCAGCTTCCTCCTGGGATCCCACGGAAACCGGTTTGGGAGCAGGTTGGCCCAGGTCGTTTGACTTTTGACTGGGGAGGAGAAGGCAGCCTCCCTTAGCGAGCCAAATGGAAGGAACAGGGTGCAGGCCTGGGGGGGCGTGCCCAGCCAGCGGCCAGCTGAGGGTCCCCTGCTCCCCCCAGCTGCCTGCACCCAGCATCACAGCCCTCCCTCCCCTGGCTGCAAGAGGCAGGAGGAGAACTTCAAACGGTCCCTCCCTCCACCGGCTGCTTGTCTTCTCTGGGCCAGGCCCCTCCATGGTGGCTGAGGACTCTTTGGAACAGGGAACTGTCGTGGAAGAAAGGGCCCGGCCCTGCCACTGCCTCCTGTGGGACCCTGGGCCAGGCTCCCCTGCTGTCCAGGCCTGTTTCCCTGTCTGTTCCATGAAGGAGAGGCAGGGGCAGTGGTCTGTAAACCCATAAGCTGCAGCAGTAGGCCCCTCCCCTGGTCTCATGGGCCACACACGCCAGCCAGCCAGAGGTGGGTGTCTGGAGTTGCGGGTGGGGTGCTGGCGCTGTGCCCTCTCTACCAACTTGGCTCCCTGGGGCGTGTGGGCAGCAAATGGCACCCCCCACATTCCCTCTGTTAATTAGGCAGCCCCTGCTAATGAGTGGCTTCATCATTGCTCCATTACGCCTTCTGAGCCATCTGTGCCCCAGGACTTAGGGGGAGACCCTGGGGGCTCCTGGCTGCTGGGCACAGGCACATGCAGAAGGCGGCATTTCTGGGATGTGTTGGGGGGCTGGGTGCTCCGTGGGCTTTCCACAAAGTAGTTTCAACTGCAGCTCTTCATTTTACCAAGAGAGAAGTGGTGGCAGTCCTGGTGTCCAGGTGAGGAAACGGAGGCGCCCTCTTTATGATTCTCCCAGTGGGAAGTCTCTTGTAGCCAACACTTTAACACATTCTGTGCTGGGCACTGATGGGGTGTGTATGGGTGTAGGGAGTGGGGGTGGAGGTGGGGTGCACGGGGAGATCAAAGCTGACCTCCAGGAACACTGTGGCATCGAGTGAGATGATACACAGTCCTTTCGAGTTGGAGCAAGTCCTGCCATCTTTGCACACTGCTGTGCCACCTTGTGGGTAGTCACTAAACCTCTCTGGGCCTCATTTGGCTCCCTTGGCACAGGAGCGACGATGCCTCACTGCCTGACCAGAGGCACCTGACACCAGGCCTGGCATCCGAGCAGCTGCCACTCAGACCTCACAGGCCAGGGCCAAGGGAGCTGCTGATGCAAGAGGCACAATTTTAGGGGCAAGAGCAGCAAGTAGGATGGTCTTGAGGTAAGGGGATGCTGGTGACCCCATGCCAAGGCTGGGACCCCTAGTTCAGGAAGGGAGGTTTCTACAGAGGAGTCAGAGGCCTCTTCTGCTGCCCTCTCCACTGGGGGAATTTGGATTTTAAAAGAGAACCCAAGCTGGGTGTGGTGGCCTACCTGTAATCCCAGCTCCTCGTGAGGCTCAGGTGGGAGGATCATGTGAGCCCAGGCGTTTGAGGCTGCAGGGAGCTCTGATTGCATCACTGCACTCCAGCCTGGGTGACAGAGCAGGATCCCGTCTCTAAAAAAAAAAAAAAACAAAACAAAAAACCAGAGAGAGAGTGGGGAGTTTATGCTAAACCAAAGATACAGCAGTGGCAGTGACAGAGGCTCTCTAAGATAGGCGGATACCTCCATTTTACACAGGAAGATACTGAGGCACAGAAAGCTCTAATTTGGTGCAAAATCTCATGATTGGCTATTCAGAGGGCTTCAGGGTGATGCTGGGTGGCGTCTAGGTGGAGTGATGGGCAGTTTTGAGCCCCCCAACCGCTGGGGCTCCTCCAGACAAGGCTGCTTCTAGCTGGGCGCCAGGTAGGGATCATCCCAGGAGCCACACTCGGAGGAGGGGCTGTGCTTCTGGCTCCAATACCCTGAGGTGCAGAGGACACCGTGACATGCAGGGATGTGTAGAGTCTCACCGAAGAACCCAGACTTCTGGACGCCCAGCCGTGCACACTGCAAGAGGGGCCCAGGCTGGCAGGCATGTGATTGGGTGAGGGAAGGGCTTATTAGAGGTGGCTCAGCCTTGCTCTGGGCTCAGGGGCTTCTGAAGGCTGGGGGCAGGGGTATGGCCAGAATGACCTGTTCTGGATGGATCCATCCTTCCTGCCAAGTGCTCTTGGGAGGCTAGGCAAAAGGTCAGACATTCCGTCATGCTTAGGAAGACGGGGCGGCCACACTGTCTACCTTCTATCTCAGGCAGCGGGGCACCCAGGCATGCCTTCCCCGCTGGGGAGGTCAGCAGGCGGGGGTGGACCTTGGAGGCCCAGCCAGCCTGAACCCTAAGGAACTGCATTCTGCAGTGGCCCTTTCCCGGCAGGGCAGGGACAGGGTGACCCTGGGGGAGGGAGAACGTCTGTCTGCATCTGGCTCAAGGCCATTTCTTGTTGGCATGTGGTCAAGTTGCCATTGGAACCAAGAAGATGGTATGGAGGGGCAAAGCAGGACTTAAATAAGGCAGCTCTAATCCTGTGTGACCTGAGTCAGTCCCTTTCCCTCTCTGAGTCTCAGTCTTCTCCTCTCACAAATGGGGCAAATCCTCCTTGACAGGGTTGTGGGGGAAAATGCAAGTCACCTGCCTAGCACAGGATAAGTGCTAAACAGGGGTTCACCTGCTCCAAGTCTAGAACCTTCCGGGGGTGGGGTGGATAGAGGCCAGTGCTGCAGCCAGGTGTGGACGCAGGAGCCCGACTGGCATCCGGGGAGTGCCTCCTCCCTGACCACAAGCTCCAGCGCTTTTGAAACCAGATGCAGGTTAAACATGGGCAGGGCACCTGCCGAGGCTCCACTCACCAAGGGAGCCAGTTAGATGGAGTCTGTCCTTGGAGCTCCAAATAAGGTATCAGAAAATGTCTTGGACCTGGTCATGCTCGCCCCTCCTGTGTGCCCGGCCTTTCATTCTATCATCTGAGCTGGCACCAAGGCTTGCATCCTAAGGCTGGTCCTGAAGCACCACTAGATTTGTCCCGTTTTAGCGATGAGGATGACCTTGCTTCCCCCGCATCTTGGCTAGGCCAGGCTCCCTGCTCTTTCCCTGACTGGGGGATGGGCAGTGGGTGGGGGAGGCGGGCCTAGGGAACCAGACACACAGCTCCCTTTGTGAAGGCGGCTGAGTCACATGTGCAACGCAATCCCTGCTGGGCCTGGGCCCTGAGGCGGGTGTGATGGGAGATGGCGTTATCATGGGACTATGGGTACCCCCACGCCTGTGTCCAGGAGGCTTTCCCACAGGAGATAGCAGGGAGGTGGCTGGGAACATTGGCCGCAAAACACATGGTCTGAGATCAGGTCCTGACTCTGTTGCCAACTTGCTGCAAAGCTTTGGGAAGTTCCTCTCTCTGAGCCTCAGTTTTCATCTCTGTTAAATGGGAACAATCATCACTGTTTTGTAGAGGAGGTAGTAGATGTGAAAGGGTTCTGCAAACTGCAAATGGTGGAGTTCTGGGCCTTTGGCATTCATGTGGACTTTATCATAATAATAATGATGTTGGCCAAGATTTATTGAGCACCTACTGTGTGCCTTGCATTGTGCTCAATGATTTATATGGTCACTCAGCTTGCAAGGGGAGAAGCCTGGATATGAACTGCTCTTGTCTAAAAAATACCCACCTCTGAGGCTGGGCGCAGTGGCTCACACCTGTAATCCCAGCGCTTTGGGAGGTCAAGGTGGGAGGATCGCTTGAGCTCAGGAGTTCAAGACTAGCGTGGGCAACGTATCAAGACCCTGTCTCTCCAAAAAAATACAAAAGTTAGCCTGGTGTGGTGGGGCATGCCTATAGTCCTAGCTACTTGAGAAGTTGAGGTGGGAGGATCGTTTGAGCCCAGGAGATTGAGGCTGTAGAGAGCTATGATTGCATCACTACATTCCAGCAAGGGCAACAGAGCGAGGCCCTGTCTCGAAAACAAAGAAAAAACCCACTTCTGAGCAGGCAGTGGTTGCTCATGGCCATTTGCACAGGTGGGGACAGCTCTTCACTGTTTGCTAGGCTGGTTCCCACTAAATGCTGCTGCTCTGGCCAGAGGGTTAGAGATAGAAAAAGGGGCTGAAGACCTCCTCCTAGCCCTCCCAGCCCCACCATGTCTTCCTACTCCCCCAGGCCTCAGTCACAGCAGACAATAAGGATGCCCTAACCCCTTATCCCTGTCCTGAGGCTCTCATGTTCTTGAAGATCTCCTCCTACCTCCCCGGCAGCCTCCTCTCTACCTCCTTTGCAGGCCCCTCTGAATAACAGTGCCCTGGCCAATGCATTGGGGTGCCCATTGTCTGCCAGGCCTGGGCTGCAAGATTTACGCATGTGGCCTCATTTAATCGGCCCAATAGAAGGTGCTATTTTGGTCCCCACTTGGCAGGCGAGGAGATAAATGGATGGAGAGATGCTTGCCCAAGTCATCCAGCTGGCCGGCTGGGAGTAGAGGCCAGCTGGCCTGAACCCAGAGTCTGTGATCACAGACTCCGGGCTCAGAGAGGGTGCAGCAGCATTGCCCCCTCTCCTCTGTCCCTCAAAACGAAGGGTTTCCTGCACCTTCAGCTTTCTGCTTTCCCCACACCATCTCTGGACTCCGTCGCCAGCCAATGATGCCATGACCTTCTCTGGGCCTGGCGACCCCAGTCCCTCACTGCTGAGCCCCAACGACGTGTTTCCAGCTGCCTTGGGAAGCAGGGGGGACCTGTGGCTTCCCCACATGACACAGAGCTGCCCCCATTCCATTGCACACAGGGCAGTCTCTTCTCTGCCTTCCGGATCTGCACCCCATCCTGTGCCCCGATTCTTCAGGGACGTTTCAGACATCTTCCCCCTCTCCTCGGTCCCCACCTTCACTTGTCGGGTTGTGGGGGGTGGGGTGTCCCAGCCCTTTTCCTGGTCTCTTGGACCAAAGTCTCCTCCCCCGCTCTTCCCCCATCTGCCTCCTTCGAGGCCCCATCCGGACCCAACTTCCCCTCTACTCCTCTGCCCATCCCTCCGCATCATTGCTGGTACAAGTCCCTGGCGTCTAGACCAGGGCTTCTCACACCTCCAATTCTGGAATCCCCTGGGCATCTTATTAAAATACACATTCAGATTCAGCAGGTCTCAGGCTATCTGTAGGTCTGAAGACCACATTTTGAGGGCTAATCAGGCCTCTCCCTACCCAAACATCTTCTCTGGCTCCCCAGTACCTTTGATTTAAGCCCAAACTCTACACTTTCAAAATCTTCCAGAATCTGCCCCTTGCTGCCCAGTTAGATCCCACTTCCTTCCAAGCATGGCTCCATGCCCTACCTCTCCACCTCAGCCAATGCTGTTCCCTCTGCCTGGGGTGCCCTTCCTGCTGGTCTCTGTTTATCGAAGCCCCCTTCTTCTCCTTCAGGTCCCAGCAGGGGCTCTGGGGTCTACACGCTTAGTTCAGATCCTGGCTGTTATAGAAAGGCGTGGGTAGCCCTCCCTGTACCTCGGTTCCCCTTCTGTAAAGTGGGGATAGACTGTTGTGAGAACAGAAGGAGAAGATGAAGTGCCTAGCAGGGGCCGGATATCTGGTGTCCCGTGTTTGGTTACAGCCCACACACCTGGAGGCCCAGCCAGGTCCAAGCTGTGCGACCTTGGCTAAGTTACTTCATGTCTCTGACCATCTCTAACATACAAGTGGTACCCAACCCACAGGGTTGTGTGGATAAAATGAGAATGATCTGTACAAGCAGAGCATCTTACACCATAAAACCTCCAGACATAGCAGGTGATTATTAGTCCTGTTATCAGCACTCATAACAGATAGTGTTGTGTTTAACAAGTCATTGAATTTCTCCCCCTTTACTCCCAGAGACCCCTGGATGCTGAATACCAACTCCAGGTATCGCTACTATGAGAACCAGGCTTGTCTCTCTAGCCAGACTCAGAGCTGGGGGCCTGCTTCCTCACCTGCCTGCCCCTAGCTCATAGTAGGTCTCTGCAAAGTCCGACGGTGAGAGAGGCAGGCAGAGCTGGGCAGCCAACTCCGCCCAGCCAGGCAGCCCCATAAGCCTCTCCTATGTGGCCAGAGTGGCAGCTGGCTCCGCACTCTCTTCAGCCATCTGCAGAGAGAGTGGTGCCTTCAACTCTCCATCTGTGCCCTTCTGGTCAGCACGCTCTGTGGGGTGTGTGTGTGGTGGTGGTGGTGGGGGGACAGCTGCCCTGTGGGCCTGGTCCCTGGGGAACAGCTGAGGCTGCCCGGGTTACCAGTTGATCAGGCCCTGAAGGACTGACCTTGGGGAAACTGAGGCAGAGGTGGTGGTATGTCAGGGACAACCCATCCTCCCCTAGATAACTCACTTGTCCTCCCTTGTTAGTGGGCCCCCAGTGTAGGCTGGCCTCTGCTGCTTTGGCAATAAGGGAGTTCCCACTGCAGCCCCGGGAGAGAGCAGAGGGTATGACATGGGCCCAGTCCCCACTGTGCCTCCCTGCCCCAGGTATTGGCCCACAGCCTGGACTGGGGACTGTGAATGTGGGAAGCACAGTGCCGTTTTCTGGAAGCTCTCACCTTATGGCCTCCCTGCACCCCACGGGGTGGCTTTGTGGCCCTTCCTTTCTGCAGCTTGATTTCAAGCAGGTAGGTGAGGAGTGCAGTTCACCTGCAGCAGCCCTGGCTCCTAGGCTGCCCGAGACGTTCCATTCATTCTTCCTCCACGTGGCATGGGGAAGCTTTTCCTGGCCCCCTTGTTTAGAAGGCAGATCTCTACCGGAGAGAAGGAATCTCAAGTTCCCCAAGCATCCACGTGTCCAGGCCCCAGGCTGAGGCCTGGGGTGCTGGATTGCTGAGTGGTTAGGAGACCCGCTATGGAGCCAGACGGCCTGTGCTCCCGCCATCCCAACTCGGGCACCTCCCTGCTGTGTGATCTTGGGCAGGTTAATTCTCATCTCTGAGCTACATGTATCTGCCTTAAGCTCCCTCTTCTTCATCACCACATTCACAGGGAGTATTTATTGAGGGCTTGGCAAGTACCAGGCACTGGTCTGAGTAGCAGGTTTGACTTCTCTCCACTGCCAGGGGCGCTCTGGAGCTGGAATGCAGACGGTGGTCAGCGAGTGTAATTACTGTTATTGTCACCACTCACCCTTCTGGCATTGTAAAAGCCTCCCAGCACATCTGACTGAGGAATCATCTATCCTCATTGCTCGGAGGAGGAGGGCAGACAGGAGCCTCTGCAGGGAGTGTGAGTTATCCAAAGCCTCCTGACTCGAGAAGGGCACTGAACCCCAGCAGCGGGAGGTGCTGCTGACAGAGGAATGACCAGAAGGGGGATGGGGCATGGTCCATTTCCACACTTCTCTGTCTGAGCTTTTGGGGCCACTGGGAATGGCTCTTCACCCAGGCCTCGGTTTCCCCTTTGGCTCAGCAGATGGATTAAAGGAGGCCGTTTCCAGAAGCCCCTGGGGTCTCAGAATCCAAAATGACTTGGGATGTTGAAACTGTGGGTGCTTGAGGAGCACTGAGAGGGGAGACGGGTCACCCCCCGGGGGGACGCAGGTCAGCCGGTCAGTCGTGCGTGGCCTGGCTGGCCTCCTGCCCGGCTGCCTGTCACCCGCTCCCTCCCGACTGCCTTCCGCTCTGCCGGTCAGCACTGGCTCCCGTCGGCTGCCAAGGAGGCTGGACTCTCCTTCAGGAAAGGGCAGTTGTCGCCCTGACCTGGGGGGTGGGCGGACAGCATCCAAGGGCCCTGTTGCCGTGGCAACCCCGGCCTCTCTGTGGGAACTTTGGGGAGACTGGCCCTGGGAGGCGACAGATGGAGGCTGAGGAAGCAGAGTGATCCCCGGCCCCTTCCTGTCCCTGAACACTGTCTGCCTGGATGAGGGGTGAGGCTGAGGTGCCCCCTTGCCCGGCGCTGAGTCATGGGCATCCCCCAGGATCACTGCCTCAGCGCTCTCAGCCCTGCCCCCTCCTGGTCTCCCTCTGAGAAATCCATGACTCACATATATCGTCCGTCATCCCCAGTCAAGCTCAGGGAGGAGGGAGGAGCCCAGCTGGGGCAGGAGAGGGGTGTCTCCCCACCAAACAAACCCGGTCCCTCCCTCTCCGCACTAGCTGTCTGCCCTGCCCTGCCGTAGGAGATGGGCTGGGAGCCTCCCACGCTCTCCAGCTCACTCGGCAGGCAGCGGGGACCAGGGCTGGCAGGTTAAGCCTCTGGGGGTGGATCCTGAAAGGTGGTCCAGCCGCCTGGCCCTGCGTGGGACCCTCCACCTGGCAGCAGGTACCCAAACAAGGGCTGGACAGCAGGTGGGAAGGGGAATAGTGTGAGTGTGAGAGTGTGAGTGTGTGAGCGTGAGTGTGTGAGAGTGTGAGTGTGTGAGTGTGAGTGTGTGAGAGTGAGTGTGAGTGTGAGTGTGAGCGTGAGAGTGTGAGAGTGTGTGAGTGTGAGTGTGTGAGAGTGAGTGAGAATGTGAGTGTGAGTGTGAGAGTGTGACTGAGCGTTTGAGTGTGAGAGTGTGAGTGAGTGTGTGTGAGTATGAGTGTGAGTGTGAGTGTGGGAGTGTATGTGAGTGTAAGTGTGGATGTGTGCATCCGTGCACGGGTGGCTGTTGGACAGTGGGTAGGGATGGTGGTGAAATGGGGAAATGGGGGGGTCTTGGTATCTTGGTGGGATCTAGTCCAGGTCAGCATGGCTGTGGGTGGGTCTCTAGAGTGGGGGCGGACCCACAAGGAGATGCCTGGGAGGGGACTGGGGCCCAAGGGGAGCGACACCTCCCGGGGCTCCCAGGCATTTTGTTGCTGGAGAAACTGAGGCTCAGAGTGGTACAGTCACTGGGCCCAGCAAGCTGGGGTCTGCTCTTTAGGCTGTGAGATCAGTGCTCCTACTACACAGATGGGAGAACCGAGGCTCTGGGAGGGCAGGTGGCTTGCCCAAGGTCACCTAGCACATCCAGGTATAGAAAGCCAGGGGCCAGGCTCAGGGAGGGGGTGGCACTTGAGGGAACTCCTGAGGACAGCTTTCCTGCAGCTGTCCCTGGGGCTGGGTCCGGGGTCCCCACTGAGCAAGGGACAGCCGTGCTCTTCATCACCAAGGCCAGCTTTGGGAGAAGGTGGCCCCGCAGGGTCTCTGAACGTGGGCCACGTGGGTGAGAGTCCTGGAACCGGTGACAGGCAGACGGGGAAGCGCAGGCTGCGGGCTGAACACCCTGCCCGTTGCCACCAGACCTCAGGGCTCCATCTGCCTGGCACTGATAGGACTTCCCACCCTGGTCCCCGCGGGGGCTGGGAGTGTGTAGGAAACCAATGATTCCTGTCCTCCCCCGTCCCCAACCCACCTCCCCTGCGTGGTAGAGTTGGGGTCTCCCTGTGCCCCACTGGGAGAGGTCTGATGTTCATTTTACTGCGTAGGGAGGAGGGGATGGGTCAAGGCAGGGGCCTCCCACCCCCACCAATGTGGAGCAGTTGTAGCCTGGGGTCCACGGGCTGTGTAGGAATAGCCTTTGTTGCTCCTTCAGTGGACCAAGAAAGTTATTTATAGAAGCATTTATTGAGCGCTTACTGTGCACTCTGTGCTCTGTCGGGAACATGGCCGTGGGTGAGGCAAATAAGGTATCTCAGAACTCGTGAGTGGCCCAGACCCAGAGCCAAGCCCCCTGCCCCTCCCAGAGGATAGCCCCGGGCAGCCTGTTGGCTCCTTGGGGTCAGAGACTGTGTGAGAAGGAGCATATCTGGGCATTAATAACCATGGGCTGCCAAGTTGGCTCCCCAGAGCCCAGGCAGGGGTCCTGTTGGGCTCTTTCCTGCCAATGTCCAGGTGTGGAATGAGCTCTTAGGGCCAGACCTGACCCCTTCTTTGCTGCAGGGACCCGAGATATGCACCCACCTTGGTCACAGCATCACTGTGGCCCCCTTGCCCTTCCTCTCCTCTCGCCTCAGGAGCTCAGCTGCTAAATGGGTGTGTAGGGGTGATCACAGCTGCCCTGGCTCCCGTAGGCCTGGGGCTTGGCTCCGAGAGTGTCGGGTGATGGAGAACGCCGCTCCAGGTGTGATCTGTGACGGACAGGCTGTGTCCCGGCCTGGGCCACTGGGCAAGGGCCAGTCAGCCTGGTGTGACACTTCCTTTTGTCAGGGATACAAACAAACAAACAACAGTTAGGAGGTGAGATGGAGGCGTGAGATAAGCTTGCTAACAGAGGGCCCAGAGAAGGGGAAGAGGACCAGGGAGCCTCTGCGGAAGGCACTTAGGCTGGGCTTGGGAGAAGGTGGGAGGGGAAGGGACTGATGTCTGTATGAGCACTGTAGGGGGAGTCCTAGTGGAGGAAACTACTTAGGAAAACATTTGGGGAACGATACAAGCTGGGGACCACGGGGAGGGTGATACCGGACCCCTGGCATGGGTCATTTCATGGGACTTGATGAGCCAGGCCAGCAGGTCTCAATCTGCTCTGTGGGGGGGAAGAGAGGCAGGAGGACTCGCCAGGCAGGTGCTGTGTGGGGCTGGGGGCCCAGGCTGCAAACCCAGCAGGACGGGGAGGGCCAGGATGGGTGTTCAGTGTGAGGTTGGCCAGGCAGTCCCAGTCTCTGGCTGCTGGGTTAAGGCTCAAGCTTGGGAGCAGCTTCACGTGTGAGGGAGACGAGGGGGAGGTGGCGCCCAGTCGAGGGGAAGGACAGGAGAGAGGTGGCAGAGCTGCAGCAGGGTTGGTGTAGGGGTTGGCCTCCTGGCAAGGCCCAGCATGACAAAGGCAGGTAAGAGGAGTGGGCAGGACAGCCATGGAGGGACCACTGCGGACCGTCCTCCAGCCGGACTGGGATGCGGGTTCCGCCATCCTGTGCAGAAGCTGTGTGCAGGTGGGGTCTGGGGGGCTGTGCCATTTCAGGGATGCAGGATGGGCTTCCATGTGGCAGGGCTCCCAGGGAGGCCATGGAGGAGGCCGTGGGGAAGTCGGGTGGAAGTAGGGAGGAGAGGGGAGTGTGACAACAGAGCCCCAAACCCCAGCACCACCTCCTCCTCCCAGACTGGAGCTTGATCAGGGCTCAGCCCCCGTCCCCATGCTGGGGGTGGCCCTGTGGACCCCGCCTTCTGACTCACAGCAGATGGGGACATCATGTGAGCAAACCCAGCAGTCAGGGGTGACCAGACACAGCAACTGGGCAGATGGCAAATGGGGGGCGGGGCGGGCTGGCACAAAGGGGTCTCTCAAACCGGGTGGGGCGGGGCTGTGGCACGGCCTCAGCCTCCCAGGCCTCCTTTCTCCTGAGCCGTCACTTGGCTGAGACCCTGCCCCTCCTCCTGTCTCTGGTGCCCCATCTGGGGCTCCTTGAGGCCCCCAGGGGAGCCCTGTAGATTCTGGTCTTAGGTCTGGACTGCTGGGTAGAGGGGCCAAGGGTTGGGGAGTAGGAAGGGACACACATTTTCTGACCACTGCCCAGTGCCAGCCTGCCCTGGCAGGAGGTCAGCTAAGCCCCAAACTCTCCCTGGTTCCCTGATGGCTCAGCCTGGATGGGAGCAATCCTGGACCTTCCCTGACCTCAGATTCTGCCAGGCCCTGGGCTCAGTGCCTTGCACACGACACCCACTTTTCAGATGAGGACATTGAGGCAGGGGAGGCTTACCCAGTGAGCAACCCCACATCTTTGGGGATCCAGAATTTGGGCTCTTGTCCCTTGGTGGAGAGGAGGCTCCTCAGCCAGCCAGGCACATGCTCGTGTCTTGAACCCTGCCCCTGCCACTGCCAAATCCACGCACCTGTAGGGTGACAGGGCCCGTAGAGACAGCAAGGGTGGCTTGCCCAGGGAGAATCTTGGCTTTGTTTCTCTCTGGTTGTGGGAACATGGGCCTGTGCCTCGGTTTCCTCATCTGTAAACTGTGGATCACAATCACATCTGCTTCAGAGGCTATTATGAGCATGAAGAGAGTTGATAGAGGAAAGCATATGGGAAAGTGCCTTTCCCATACGTGGGAATGTTAAGCCTTTTTTTAATACCTCTCCCATTGGACAGATGGCTGTATTGAGGCCCAGAGATAACCTGAAATAACTGTGAGCACTTCTCCCTGCCCCCGCTACTGCTGGGAGAGCTGCGGCCACCTGGACACCAGTGGCGCTCACTCACCCACCTCCAGCCTGACTCGTGCTTTGGTGAGGAGGCCAGTGTGGTGGGCGTCGGGCTCCCGAGCTGGCGCCTGCGCAGGCTCAGGCAGTTTGTGGTATGCTTGGCAGTTCCAGGCAGAGATAAAAGCTCAGCCCCGGAGGAGCTGGCATGCTTCCGGGCACCGGTGGACAGGCCTCTCTGCATTAGTGGGAGATGGCCTGGCGGTGGGGAGATGGCCTTGCTGTCCAAGAGCCAGCCCAACCCTGGTGGCCTGAAAAGTTCTGCGGTGAATGGCTCTGGCTTGGCTTCCCAGACTCGGGGCCACTTACACCAACTGCAAAACAAGGAACAGTGAGATAGAGAGCCGCCTCTGCCACCTCCCAGGCCCTTTCCCCTCCCGTCCCCAGGTCTCTGTCCTCCTAGTACCCCCAGCCTGGATGCTCAAGGCCCATGGGGGAAAGCTGACTTTTGAGAGGAGCTGTGGAGACTTGCATTCCACTGCCAAAGATGACAGCTTCTCTGGACCCGTTTCCCTGCCTGTAAATGGAGATAACAATACATCCCTTTGCAGGGTTGCTGTGGAATTTGGGGCAAAAGTGGCTGCAAAGTATGTACCTAGCACAGTGCATGACTTCAAGAGGTTCTCCCTAAACCTCAGCTGGAGGTTTAATCTTCCAGGTCATGGGCTCATTGACTTAGGCTCAAATCCTTGAAAAATGACTTAGAGCAAGCGGCTGAATTTCTCACAACTTCATTACTTGGGCTGTGAAAGTCTCTGATACCTAAATGCGGCTTTGTGGGGATGAACCGAGACAGCCACACGTCATAGGGGCTCATGAGACGCAGACCCTGTCCCCAGCTGTCCCAGACCTTTGCTTTTCCATCCCTCAGCCAGGCTGCCCCCTAGGAGAGGCAGCACGAGGTGGGCTGTTAGGGGTGTGGGCTCTGGGGCTGCCTGATTCTGTCCCAGCTCTACTGGCTGTGTGGCCTGGGACAGGTATATTAACCTCTCTGTGCCTCGTCTTCCTAATTGTAAACATGAGGCTGGTAATGGCATCCTGAGAGGATTAAGTGAGCCTCTGTATTTTAAGTGCTGAGTGCAGGGCTGGGCACACCTCAAGTGCTATTGTAATTGCCCCTTCTGGGCCATGACCAAGCCTTGTTCTTAGAGAGCATTGGAGACTTTATCCGGAACAATGGTGCCATCCTCCCAGGATGTTACCGGGAAAACCACCAATCCTGTGACAGCTTCCCCTTTGGACATGCCCATTCCTGGGGTCTTGATCTGCTGCCCCGAGGCATTGTCCAGCCTGGGACTCCTTCATGTTCCCCAAGACCTGAGACCTGACCCAGGTTTTGGAGTGAGTTAATGTGACCCTGGGCTGGGGAGCTGAGCTGGAGCCATTACCCACAGAACCGCCGACCTTTCAAAGGACCAGAGGCCATGGCCCTAGCCCTGGAGAGGAGGCCTGGGTTCCAGTCGAGCTGGTTTCCTGGGACAGAACAGCACTGTGGTCACTTCTCTGCTGGGTGAGTTCACCCTAGGCCCCTGGGAGCTAGGCTGAGCAGCTGACCCCTTCTGGGTCCTTGGCTGAGTCTGGGCCTCAGGGTGTGGCTCTGTGGCTGGCACCCTGGGTCTCGGACCCTGTGGCAGGGGGTCAGACAACTGCCCAGACCCACCTGCTTTGATGGTGACAGATGCTAGGGGTGAGCCCAAGGGGCTGGCAGGGGCCCCTGAGTCATGCTCAGCCCTGTGCCCTCTGCCCACTGCTCCTCTGCTGTGTCACCATCTGGGCACGGGCCAAACAGTTCAGGGGCGACTCACAGCCCAAACTTCCGCCCCTGGGGCATACACTTCACTGCCTACAAAGACCCTCATTCAATCTTGAGTGCTGCTGGCCCTCTAAGACTTGAAACTTTATCCACATTTCACAGATGAGGAATCAGGCCCAAGAGCTCGGAGCAGTCAGTGGTAGCAGAGCCCGAACCCAGTCTCCTGCCTCTTAGCCTGGACTTTTCCCCAGAGTACCACAGATGGCCATTCCCATGATAGGTAGTGAGTTCCCCACCTTTGTAGGTGTTCAAGTGTGGCAGGGGCGTTGCAGAAGCAACTTTGGCATCGCATGGGGCTCCTCTTCATGGCTGCTTCCAGCCCTGAGCTTTCCTAGCCTTGGGGGAGATGGGCACCCAATTCCCACATTCCCCGGAGTCGCTATGTCCTTAAGCATCACATGGGTCTTTCTAGCCGCATCAGGCCATGCTTGTGGGCAGGTGGTGCCTCTATCTAGAAACCCTCTTCATAGCCTGGCTGTCTGGCAAGGTTCTTCCAAGGAACCTCCACCATGAAAGCCATGAATGCATCTTCAGAGACCCCTGTCCATGTGTAAATAGCTCAGTGGGCTGGATGGGAGGGAGCAGAGGGGGAGAGGGACCCAGCTGAAGAGGACTGGAGTGAACAGGGAGAGGCTGAGGGAGGTCAGGAGGGCAGGACACCCACCTCCTGAATCTTCAGGACCCCTTGCTCTCCCTTATCCAACAGGCTTGAACCTGAATAGGGGCATTCCTGACCCCATGGCACTTCCCCTGCCCCCCACCTGCCTAGAGCCATGGGCAGTGGGCAAAGCTGGAAGAAACCCTCGTGCACAGCTTCCTCAAAGCTGTACTTATCCTATGCCATGGCTGTCCTGGCCACACCTTCTGGGGGACTCTGCCACCTGTGTGCACACCTAGGGGACCAGGTGCACACGGTCTGTCCTCCAGCTCCTCTCCTGCCTGCCTCCTGGCACCTTAAGTGGAGGTGGTGGGAGCTGGGACCAGTGCAGCACCCTTGCCAGCCATGGTGGGGGAGGACAGCCAGTGTCTCTTCATGGAGATCCTGCAGCAGGTGGTGGCATGCCCCAGGGTCCCGTCTCTGTCTACCTACCTGGGTTTGGGAAACTGGAGTCAGAACCTTTAGTGATTGCGATCTAGGAAGGACGGTAGTGTTTGCAAACCACGTGAGCACAGGAGTGAGCAAGGTCCAACCCCGCCCCTGTTCCCTGGGCCGTGAGGCTTTGGGCCCTGTGGCTCAGCCCCTCTGAGCCTCCCTTTCCCTCTCTATGGAGTAGCTGCTGCCGACTCTCCATGTCGTTGCCAGGGCATGCAGGACAACAGAGGCAGCCCAGGGAAAGGAGTGCACCATGCTCCTTTGGATCCAGTTTTACGAGCTCTGTGTCCCTGGGCAAGCTCCGTGTCCCTGTGTCCCTGCTATAAAATGGGAATGATAGTACCTCCTCATAGAGTGGCCCTGGAAGCATGGGAGGCCAAGTGCATATCCTATGGTTTGCACTTGTACGTGGCTCCCTGCCCTGCCCCAGCTCTGCCTCGTGAGTCTCTGCAGACTAGTCCTCGGGACACACCCCACCCCCAGCCTGCTAGATCGCAGGACCCCATGGCCATAGGCACGTGCCCTTTCTCCTCCTTGCTTGACCTTGGAGAGCCCATGGGGAGCCCAGGTGGGAGCTTGGGGTCTGCAGCAATGGGAACGGGACCCACTTTTCTTTGCACATCTGCTACCTGGGCTCCCCTTAGGCCCGAACCACAGGAGTGGGCCTTTGAGGGTCTTGGGGGTGGTAATTTTGCTTTAATGTAGAGAGAAAATCCAAGGTTCAGTGCTCACAGATTCAGATGGAATCTCAGACATCTTCTAATCCAGCAGCCATTAAAGCTGTCTGTGGCCCCAGTGGCATAGGAAAGGCATGCGCTCCCAGGCTTCCATGCTGTGGGACTTCTCAGAGCCTTTATCGGGAAAACAAAGGGGAGTTTGCCTTGTGTTTCAGATCCTATCAGGCTATGCACAGTCTTGGGAACCGTTCTCTGGCCAAGCAGCCGGCAGAGGTGTGTGTGCTCCTGATCCTGTTAGATGCTGGAGAGTGGAGATGGCTCAGTGCTTGAACCCTCTCCATCCCCTATCCCCTACCCCTCACATAGCCTGAGTGGCACTTTTGGGTTGGATCTTCTAGATCTTCTATCAGGAATGGCTATCTAGTATCTATCAGGAATGGCTCCTTTTGGGAAGAGGTGTGGAGCCTGCCTGCCCTGGGTTAGAGTCCCAGCTCCGTCTCAGTCTTCATTTACTCATCCAGCAGTCACTGGGGATCTTCTATGGACCAGGCACTGTGCTAGGTACTGGAGATGCAGGTGGTGAGCAAGACAGGTGAGACAGCAAAGCTGAGCAAGGGATAACAGGTAAGCAAATGGCAGAGTCATGTCAATGTTGGGTGCCAATACGGGTAATAAATCACATGGAAGCGAGTGATGGATACGGAAGATAATTTTAATTGGGTGGTCATGGAAGGCTTCTCAGAGGAAGGGACATTTGAGTTGAGGCCTGAGAAGGAGGCAGTCAGGGAAAGGGTCCTGGAAAGGATGTGCTATGCTGAGGGAAAAGTGCACGCAAAGACCCTGAGGTGTGTCTGAGGACAGAAGTCTAGAGTGGCTGGAGTTGGCGACTGCAAGGAAGGGATGGGGTGGCGTAAGGCTGGGGGACGGGAGTAGGCTTGTGGTCACTGGCTTGTGATTTCAGCAGTCCTGCTGCTCCCTGAGCCTCAGTTCTCTGACTTACAAAATGAGCTTCATCATTTCAGTCCCCGCCCCGACCCTGGTCGGGAATGTTGTAGGTGTGAAGTAAGACAGTGCTTTGGCTTTTGGCTCTGGGCAGCAATGAGCTATTGCAGTTATTTTTATTATTACTATGAGTGGGATGTTTAGGGACTATGGGTGGGGCTGGGGAAGCTGTGCCTCTGTTTCTCCGGGTTGCTGTTGTAAGTGAGTGCCAAGTGTATGTAAAAGGCGTGGTGTGCCTCGTCTGTACCTCCCCCCAGGTCCCCTGAACCACAGCCCCTTGCCAGCTCCCTTTAAGCACAGGATCCTTTGATGCAACAGAGGCCGCCTTCTCCGGCCAGCAAGCCTTGTGAGCCTTTCCGGGAGAAGGTTTCACCAGAGAACAGCAAGTCCTTTCTTTGCTTTCTTTTCCTCTTCCTCCGGGGGCCAAAAATAGGGCCTGAATGGGACCCAGCTCTGGGCCTGCAGTGAGACAATAGCAGCCTCCTGACTGAAGCTGCCTCCTGGCTCTGCTCCACGGAGGGGCGGGGGAGAAGGGGAGTTGCAGAGACACCATCCCCTCAGCCCCAAGCCCCTGCTGCCTTTCCCATGGCCTCTGCCAGAAATCATCCCAAAGCCCCTTCCTCTGTTGGACTCCCCTCAGAATGTGATTGCCAGTGGGGTTCCCCACTTGTGCTCTGAGAAAGTGCTTGTAGCTGGTTGACTGAGACCCCAGGACCTTTTGCACCCCTGAGCAACCCCACCCTATCTGCTGGCCTGGAACCGAAAACCTCGGTGGGGGTTCTAACCCCTGGTTCTTTTCTGTGCCCTGTCTGGGGCGTACCACAGTTTTTATGTCCTTTTCCCTTTGACTCAGTGGGTATGAAAAACTTAGAGATCAAAGGAATGTGCCCTCTTGGAAGAGAGCGAGCTCCCTGTCACTGGAGATGTTCAAATAAAGTTGGCTGAGCATTGAACGTGGGGGAGAGTTAGGGATTAGCCAAGTGCCAGATGGACAACTGGTCTTGATAGCTTCATGTCCCAGAGAAAATCTCCATTTAAATTCCATACCCTTCCCTTACCAGCTAGGTGGCTCACAGCAAGTCACATCCCCCGAGTCTCTGTTTCCCAATCTGTAAGGTGGGTCCCCTAGGGCTAACCTTGCAGAGTGGTAGAAATGGATCTCCAAAATGCCCAGTGTAGTTCCTGGCACACAGTAGGAGTTTCAGAAGCTCTGCCTCTATTTTCCTCCTTCCCCAGACTGGCAAAAGAGAATCTGAGCTCCCAGCCCCGCCCCGGGAGCTCTAGAAGGAAGCCAGGAGGAACCTCCAGGCCTAGGGCTAACTCAGAAGGGGGATTCTTGGTAGGCTGTGGCAATCTGAGGAGGCTTCCTGGAGGAGGTGGACCCTAAGGAGTTTTCAGAGAAATATGATGCACACATTGTGCTCACAAAAGCCAGTGGTGGGATTAGAGGGTGTTCAGCTTGTTTTGAGGGCAGGGCCACAGGCTGGCAGCTTCCAGAAGCAAATCCAGCTACTGTTAGGCATAATTTGGTTACTGGGTGGCCTGCACTGGGTTCTAAAAAGATTTGGTTTTGGGCCAGGCGCGGTGGCTCACACCTGTAATCCCAGCACTTTGGGAGGCCGAGGCGGGCATATCATGAGGTCAGGAGTTCGAGACCAGCCTGGCCAGCATAGTGAAACCCCGTCTCTACTAAAAATACAAAAATTAGCCGGGCATGGTGGTGGGCACCTGTAGTCCCAGCTACTCGGGAGGCTGAGGCAGGAGAATCGCTTGAAACTGGAAGGCTGAGGTTGCAGTGAGCTGAGATCACGCCACTGCACTCCAGCCTGGGCGAAAGAGCGAAACTCTGTTTGAGAAAAAAAAAAAAAAGATTTGGTTTTAAAGTCAATGTTGACAAACTTGCAGATTTCATGTAAAAACCTGGGGCTCTGCCTCTCTCGAGAAATTGGAAGCTCTGGCTCTTTGTGGTCCCTTCAAGACAGGCAGGTGTCCCCGGGGCTCCCCATAAATCGCTGTCCTAACCCCTGCCCTCCCTCCTGCCAGCTCCCTGTCTGGCCTGGGCAGCGTCTGAGTTGAGGACTTGGGAACAGGACAAGTTACGGAGCCACGTTGCTTTGCTGGGTCTGAGCCGGGGTGTGACGTAGTCCCTGCAGCTGCCAACGGTTGCCAGGGCAACGGTTGCCAGGGGCTGCTGTCACCTGCGCCCCTTCTCCCGCGCTGGCGGCTGGGGCTTCTCAGCCTCTATTCCCTGGCTGTCCCCTTTGTTTGAAGCTCCAGTGAGGGAGCAGTGGCTGGGGTGGCCCAGCTTCAAAGTCTCTGTCCTCTTGAAAAAAGGTGGTCGGGGGACATTGACCCACCAGCCCCGCAGGCTACTGCCTGCAAACAAGAACCCCTCATCTGCCACGCACGTTCTTAATGTATCTATAGTCTGCCTGATGCCACAAAGGAGTCCAGGTACGATTCTCCCGCCTCCTCTCCCCTCCTCCCCGTCCCTTTCACTCCTGCTCCCTCTCCCTGCTCCCCGCTTCTCCCCTGTCTTCCTCCTTCACTCCCCTTCCCCTCCAGCTCGCCTCCTTCCTCCCCATCCCTTCCCCTTTATCTTTTTCCTCTCCCGTGCATTCCCCTTCTCCCCAGCATTGATGGTGTAGCCAGTGGGTGGGGGTGTGGTGGCACTAGGGACCCTGGGGGGGTCAGATGGTACTCCAAGGGACTTGGGCAGTTTAAGACAGCAGCCTCAACTACAAGGAAATAGTTGGGGGTGAGAGCTCCACACCCGTCCCTGCAGCCCAGCCCTTGCTGAAGATTCTTTTGGGTCCCTGGGCTGCACCCCCGGTGTCAGAAACAAGCCTCTGACAAGTCCAGGGCGTGAGGGGACTGGAAGTGCAGGAAAGAGCCACCAGTGGGGCTGGGATCCAAGGTCACCTGGGTGAGTTCTGATGGGCTCCCTGATTTGGGCCCTTGGGAGGATGGCGTCCAGCTGAACCCATGGAAACACATTGTTGGAAGCTTTCTTTACTGTGACTTTTCAAGAGATGTGCTTTCTAAGAGTCAGGTAAGTTCAGGAGGGAAATAGGCTTGCAGATGGACAGCGTGTGTCCTGGAGCCAGCCCTGGGTTCGCATCCAATCTTCATTACTTGCTAGCTGTGTGACCTCGGGCAGGTAACTTGACCTCCCTGGGCCTCGCTGGCCTTATTTGTTGAGTGGGTGTGATGGTACTTGTCTCAAGGGTTTTGAGGAAGCTTAAATGCGTGAACATGTGTAAAAAGCTCACAATCCTGTCTTGCATTTTCGAAGAGCTTAATGAACATAGTTGTGTCACTGGAGGTGGTGAGCACCCCGCCTGCGGGGTGTGCAACCTCTGATGGTCAGTGATGCTGTGCTGTGTGCTCAGGAGTGGGGATGGAACTCAGTGCTTCTACTTCCCTTCCCTGGACGGGGCCCAGGCACAGTCAGGCTCGGGCCCCCAGCCTTGGTAGGGGAGAACTTTGTTCTTCTCAGCCTACTTAGTAGGGGAGGGTGCTCTCGGCCCCTCAGCCAGTGATCCAGGACCTCGAGGAGGGGGAGGAAAAAAGAAAGGGAGGGTTGGTGGCCAGCCTGGGAATGCTAAGTGTCCTGCGCTCCAAAGATGGGAGTTTGCCAGACCTGGGGTAGTTGAACTGCTAAGCAAGGAGGGAGGTGACTGGGCTGACCTTGCGGGCCTGGCCTTGGGCAACGTGGGAACACAGATAGGGAAGGGGAACCTCAGCCAGACAACTGAGGTCCGGCTGTGGTTTGAGAGGGAAGACAGTCTAGAGGGGTCAGGGGAGACGGTTCAGCATCCTCTTTGTCCCTTGCTACCAGCTTGGAGGTAAGCTCTGTTCTTACCTGTAGGCATCCTGAAGCCTGCGGGAGCCTGGAGGGCCCTGGCTGCAGAGAAGGCAGTCAGGGGACAAACATCAGAGTTGCCCACTTGACAGAGGAGAAAATAAGGCCCAGAGAAGGGACAGGCTGGCCTCAAGATTCCAGTTGGCTGCAGAGCTTGTCTGAACCTTATGCCCCTAACTCCTGCCACCCCTGCTCTAGGCATGTACATTCCCTGGGCAGGTACTGACTGGTGTGTGCCCTGGCGCCCAGGAGGCTGGCCTCAGCTGCTCCTTGGAGATGGCCAGGTGGAGACTTGGCCATGAACCTCTACGTGGCTGCAGACCACCCCAGGAGCATAAGCTGAACAGGCCTGGCACCAGAGTCTTCGGACTGCTGGCTCTTTGGCTCTTTGAGGTCCCTTCAAGACAGGCTGGTGTCCCCAGTGCCTTCCTAATCCCTGTTTCTCCTTTAGGTTCTAAGTCTCTTCAATCAATTCTAAAAGTCCTTTTTTTTTTTTTTTTTTGAGACAGGGTCTCGCTCTGTCACACAGGCTGGAGTGCAGTGGTGTGATCTTGGCTCATCGTAACCTCCACCTCCCGGGTTCAAGTGATTCTCATGCCTCAGCCTCCCGAGTAGCTGGGATTACAGGTGTGTGCCACTATGCCCAGTAATTTTGTTTGTTTGTTTAGAGATAGGGTTTCACTGTGTTGGCCAGACTGGTCTCGAATTCCTGGCCTCAAATGATCTGCCCACCTTGGCTTCCCAAAGTGCTGGGATTACAGGCGTGAGTCGCCGTGCCTGGCCTCCAAAATTCTTCTTTTCTTTTTTTTGTTAATTTGTATTTAGAGACAAGGTCTCACTCTGTCACCCAGGCTTGAGTACTGCGGCATGATCATAGCTCACTGCAGCCTCAAACTCCTGGGCTCAAGCAATTCTCTTGCCTCAGCCTCCCAAGTAGCTGGTACTACAGGCAAGCACTACTACCCCTGGCTTCAATTCCAAAATTCTAAGAGACTTTGATTCTCATCTCCTAAAACTCTTGCATCTTCATATTCTTTCTCTCTCTTTTCCAACATCCTGAGTGTCTTAGCTGCTTGAGATGAAGTCACAGGCCCAGCTGGCCACGGCCAACTTTAATGGAATGGCACACCTGGGACAGGCCTGGCAGTGCCCTTTTCCCCACGAGCTGGTGCTGCCGGCCGAAGGGAGGTGGGATAGGCCTGAATATACCCCAGGCTCACCAGGGACCTCTTTCCTGGAAGTGTCAGGGATGATGATGAGTGGCCCTGGGGAATGCCTAAGTGTCTCCTCTAGCTCATCTCATGCTAGCTAATGACCTTTGGGACAGCTCAAAGGGGAAGGGAGGGGAGGGGGCTGGAGGTGCTGGCAGGCTTCTGTGTGGCGTCAAGATTTCTGAGAGCTTTTTTCCATGTGGATAACAGGTGTCCGTGCAAAAAAGGCTCTACCTTCACGTTGGGTTGGGAAACTGCCCAACCAAGCTTTATGGGTTTCTTTCCTGCAGGACTTATCAGAGCCTTTGATATGCTAATATACAACAGAAAGTATGGCCCACAAGCATTTCTCTAATCTGGGGACTAGTGCTCCCTGAAAGTGCTTTGGCAAGTTACCTCATGGTAAAGATGGGGAGACTGAGTCCCAGAGAAGAGAAAGAACTCAGAAGACCACAATGGCTAAAAGTTTGGGCTTGGAGGTTAGGCGGACCTGAGTTTGAGTCCCGGCTTTTCTGCTTATTTGCTGTGTGATCTTGGGCATTACTTAACCTCTTTGGGCTTCAGTTTCCTAAAGTGGGGACACTGATAGCATTTGCTTCACCAAGTTGCTGCGAGGATTGCATGATTCATGGGCTCTGCTCATAGGGTTACTGTGAGGATTGAACAATTAATTTTTTGCCAAGTGCTTTGCAGGATGCCAGCGGCTAATTGAGCACTTGGTGAGTGGAAGCTGTGATCCTCCCTCTCCTCTTAGAATCTCCCTGGATTCCAGGGCCCTTTTCACTGCACCAGATAAGACCCCTGTTTAGTCCCACTCATCATCTGGTGTCCTGCCAGGCATGGGGACTGGGAGGATGTGGGGGCCTGAGGCCAGGACACTGGGACTCTCACAGACGTGTCACAAGGTTGTCATCACAGGGAGGAGGACCAGTGTGTGCAAAGGCTTGGAGGTGGGAGCATCCAAGGCCAGGCTTCTTCCTGGCTGGATGACTATATGTTGGCTTCTCTGAGGCCTCTTAAGCAAATGCCCAGTTCCGCATATGGGAGGCAGCAGGGCAGCCGGCTTTGGACAACTGACTCTCTGGGAGGACTTGGAGTCCCTTCCTATGAGTGGGTCCTTCCCTCTCAGGCTGGCAGGGAGTGCCCCAACTTCTCCCCTTTGTCACTCTTCCCACAGGGTGTGTCTGGGCAGGCAGAGGGTGTTGTGGCTCAAGCACTTGGTTGGACCAGAAGCCACGGGGACAGTGAGGCCTGAGCTGGCGGTATGGGGGGTGGGGGGTGTCCAGCAGGTCTGGTGTAAGAGTGTGAGGCTCACCCTGGGCAGTGAGTGGGCCAGGCCTGGGCACCTGCCAGCCTCCGAGGCAGGCAGCTTGCTTCATTTTATTCTCCTTTATTGTAGGAAAATTCCTGAAAACTGAAGTCACTCTGCTTCTGCCAGTGATCCTGGAATACCCCTCTTGGGGAGCTCTCTGTGGTCACCTAGCTTGGACTTCCGTCACTCACTTGGGGAGTGGGAATGGGGGAGGGGAGTGGGAATAGGGGAGGAGAGTGCTTCTGCCTTTGCAAGCTGTTATCCCAGGACCCATGGGTGCGGCTGAGGGGTGGGGGGACTGGGCTGGGGGTGGGGCGTAGCCCTGAGTGCCACCTGGGTCTGACAGGGGTGTCTACTTTGAGCTGTTGGGTACATGCTATTTCCAAGTAAGATTTACTTTTATTAAAAAAGTTTGGAAACCGTTGGAGGGAGGGTCCTCTCAGACGCCACGCCACCCACCATGGAGGAAACACCTGCAAGAGCCCTGCTCTTTGCACTGTGCCCCGCCCTCCCTGTCCCCTTCCCAGCTTTGAAGTCTGTTCCTCTGAGGAGCTCCCCGCCTTCTCTTGCTTTCTCCTCCTGGCCCCATGCATCCCTGTGTATGCACGGGCACACGCACTCATGCACACACACTCATGCACACACATGCACAGTCATGCACGGGCACACACACTCATCACACACTCATGCTCAGGCACACACTCATGCACACAAGGACATTCATGCATGGGCACACACACTGATCACACACTCATGCACGGGCACACAGCCATGTGCACACAGACATATGCACACTAATGCATGGGCACACACACTCGTCACACACTCCTCACACATTCATGCACATGCACACACTCATGCACGGGCACACACACCCATGCACACACATATGCACACTCATGCATGGGCACACACACTCATCACACACATGCGCAGGCACACACATGCACACACGGACACTTATGCACAAGCACACACACTGATCACACACTCATGCAAGGGCACACACCCATGCGCACACACATGCACACTCATGCATGGGCACGCACACTCATCACACACTCCTCACACACTCATGCACAAGCACACACATGCACGGGCACACACTGATCACACGCACTGGCACACACTGATCACACGTATGCACGGGCACACACCCATGCACACACACATATGCACACTCATGCATGGGCACACACTCATCACTCCTCACACACATGCACACACTGATCACACTCATGCAGGGCACACACACCCATGCACACACACATGTACACTCATGCATGGGCACACACACTCATCACTTCATAACTCATGCACACACACACTCATGCACGGGCACCCACTGATCACACACTCATGCATGGGCACACACCCCCATGCACACACACATGCACACTCATGCATGGGCGCACACACTCATCACACACTCATGCACATACACACACTCATGCACACGCACACACACCCACATGCCTGTGTAACTCGCAGGAGTTCATCCTCACCCTGCCGCCCGACCCCCTGGGCCAAATCCTTGCTTCCAAAGGCTCAGCAGCTCAGTGTCGTGCCCCAGCAGCCCACAGGAGAGCAGCTGCGGACGGGAGGGGAGCTAGGGCAGTGGAAGTTGAGCTGGGGGGGTCTTCCCCTCTGCCTCTCCCAGCGAGGGCCCATTTAAGGGGAAGGCCTCCAGGTGGGCAAGACTAGGCTGGAACCTGGAGATTGCCTCCGGGGCTCCCTCGTTCCTCCCTCCTTGGCTCCCTTCCCACCCCACCACCCCCCAACCTGATGCCTGCCCTTCTCCTGATGTCTTTCAGGAAGCCCCTTCCAGGGCCCCGCTAAATGCTGGGGGAGCCACAGAGGAGCCTGATGGGTCTGCGTCACAGGGCAGGGAAGAGAGTGCTGGAACGCAGGCTGCCCTGGCCCCGAGTCCAGGCCCTACCATCTAGCAGCTGAGGGATGCGGGGCCAGTCCCTCCCCTCTCTGACCATCTCTAAACCAGGGCTGCTGGTGCCTTTCCCTGGTTCATAAGCCCGTGGTTCCCAAGCCTGCAGTATGTCCATCAACGGGATGCTTGTTAAAGCCAAGCTCCCAAGCCCACCCCATCAGACCCTCTTTGGGCCGGGACTGTGAATCTGCATTTCAGCTCACTCCCAGAGGAAGGTCTGACCCACCGGCAGGCTTGGGAGCCTCTGATGTGAGCGCCTGTGGCAATGGGGGGCGTGTTGTGTTGAGGGTGGGTTGTGGGCCAGCAGGAACATGCGTTAATTTTGGCAAGGAATGGACGGGTAGGTGAGGCTTCATGGGGAGGACTTGTCTTAGCTCGTCTCAAAGATGAGCGGAATGTCACGGGGCTAAGTGCTATCCAAGGCAAAGGGACACCAAGGGGCAAAGGTCTGTGGGTGGGATGCCTGTGCTCGGGGGCGGGCAGTGGTCACTGTGTGTAAAGGGAAGAAGGAAGCAGTGGATGGCCAGGTTCGTGGGTCTTCCCGGCAGGAGACAGCAGAGAGGCGCCTGCCCGGGAAGGGTTAATCCCAGAGCCGTCCAGGTCCTGTCCACTCAACTTCCACCTCCATCCTCTGAGGAAATGGGTTTTCCAGGAGCTTGGCCTGGGCAGCGGTGACTCGTGGCTCCACACGGAAGTGACTCAGGTCCCCCGGGAGAAAGCGAGCCGTGGGTCCCCACTGCCCACCGTGCAGAGGGGCAGGGCTGAGCCAGGTCTGGAGCTGGAGCCCTGGGGGTGGGGCGGGGGATGGGCTGGTGGTGGGGTGGGGGTCTCAGCTCAGACAAACCCTGGCCACCTTCCACTCTGCTGGATCCTTGGGGAACCCCATGATGTGGCCCCCATTGTGTCAGACTGGACTGGCCTGTTCTGTCCTGTGTGTGTTTACGGAAGGTCTGAGGTCAAGGGCGGCTGCTCTGGAAGCTGGGGGTTGTGGGGGCTTCCTTGGGCCTCAGCCCCAGCACCCTCTATCCCAGGCTGGATTCTCTGCTACTCTCCATTCTCCTCTCCTTCCCTTTGTGGGGATTCTAAAGCCGGGGAGTTGGGAAGGATGTGCATCTCTGGGGCCTTTATCAATGCCAGCTCTACAAGGAGGGGGAGACTTGGCACCACGCTCGTGTGATCTCAGAACACACAGCCTTCCCCAGCCTCAGTGTCCGCATCTGTAAAATGGTAGCAGTGAGACCCGTATCACAGGGTGGTTCTGAGGGTTTGGTGTGATAACGTGGATGTCACCACTAACATTATCATTGCGGGGGTGTTGCTAGAATGCCCCCTGCTCAGCCACTCCCTCTGGCTCTGTGTGAGCAGAGGCAGGGCCCTTGCCTGTGGGGCCGTGGTTGGTACTGAGCGCCTGATGGCTGAGGCCCTGTAGCGCTGGGGATCTGCGGCTCCAGAGGCAGAGACAGGTCAGGTCCCAGGGGTCTGTGCGGAGACTCATGCTACATCCCTGGCGCCTGGGTGGGTGGGTGGGCAGGTGGCAGGTGTGTGTGCGTGGGGCAGACCTGGAGGGGTGGCATAGGCAGGGATGAAGGAGGGGCGCTAAGTGGACAAGCGTGACAGTGTCCCCCTGCCCAATCTGTGTGGCAACTTTCTTGTCCCCAGCCCAGCTCTCCTGTCCCAACGGGCTTCTGGAGGAGGGAAGTTTTCTGGGTGGGGTTTAACCTTCCATTGCACTCTCCCGGAAAGGAAGCTTCATGCTCTAAGAATTTCCCCTCAAGGTGCTCTGGTGGGTGAGCTGGTTGCTGGGGGCCGTACGGGAAGAGGGGGAAACAGGGAGGAGGGGCCTGTGACAGGCCCAGGGGGCTGAGTTAGGGGCAGGCATGAGCTGTTTAGAAAGTACAGAGATACTTAGCTGAGACTGATGGCACCTGCCTCTAAGCCGTTTACAGGTATCAATTCATTTAATTCTCACAATGACCTTTGAGTGAGGTTGACTTCTTTATTCTTCTTTACTAGTGAGGAAAGCGAGGCCCAGAGAAGGTGAGTAACTAGCCCAAGGACACACAGCTAGTGAGGGAGTCAGGATTTGAACCCAGGCAGTCTGGCTCTAGAGTCTACCCCATGGGTTAAAGGAAGCCAGCCAGCCCCTCCCCTCAAGCCTCAAGCATGTTAATGGAGCCAGGGCTGTCCACCTTGGAGTAGTTGTTCAAACAGCTGAGGTGGAGTGGGGATGACTCAGGAAGTGGCAGGGACAGTTGGTCCCTTGTGTGTGTCTGGATTTCTTCCGTGGAACCCCATGTTGTCGCTTCACTTGTTTCCTTCCAATGATGGGGAGCTCTCTACCTGTACTCCCCTCCTTTACTCTCAAGGGCCAATCCAGGAGGGCTGAAGTGACACGGTGGTTCTGCTTTGTCCTTCAGCCATGCCTACTGACAGTGAAGGCTCACTTTGAAGGTCAGTAAGCCAGGGAGATGCATGGATTCTGGCCAGTTCCTTCCTTGCTTGCTATGTGACCTCAGGAGGTCACTGGCCCTCTTTGGGCCTTGGATCCAAATTCTCCAAATGATTTGTCAGCTTCGAGTTTACAGGTAGGGAGTGGTGGTAGCAGTGAGGGGCTGCTTGGAGGAAGTGGCATTTGAACTGACAATCAGAGGGGGACAGCAACAGAGACTGACAGGAAACAGAAGGAAAGAGGGGGTCCGGAAGGGACATGTCCCTGTCCCCGGATGTTGGGTTTCCTTCCAGTGGTCAGAGGTGGCAGGAGGCAGTTTCAAAAGGAATCAAAATGCTTACAAATCACAACCTGGGAAATGGTGCCCTTCCCTAAAACACTTTCACATCCTTCTTCTCAAAGGGCTCTGTGATGCCACCAGGGCAAGATGATGTGCCTATTTGACCTACGACTGAACTGACAAGGCCTGAGAAATTGGGGTTCCATTCCACATGGTGGGACGCAGGGAACTGGCTCTCAGTCGAAGGGGCCAGGTTTATTTGAGGGAGGACTGGCCCAGGAAGGAGACATTGAGCTCCTGCCTGGGACACCCCTTCTTTTAATGCTGCTCTCAATGATTTGGTTCAAAAGCCACCTCTTCCTGAAAGTCCTCCTTGGTTTCTCTTAAACTCAGACTCCACGTGTGTTCTCCGGCTTGTGGCCGATGACTGCCTCTGTCACTGTGGCCAGCTGCCGCGCCACGCAGGATGAGGTTCTGTCTGTGTCTGTGAGCACCCAGCTCTGCCACAGGGCCGGCTGGCCATAGGGAGGGCCAAGCCTTCTGGCAAGTCTACAAGTGCCAGGGCCACAGGTTCCCTGCCAGGCACTATAGTCCTGACCAGGCAGGGAAAGCCCCTGGCCTCGGGAGCATTTTTGGGCAAGTCATTTAACTCCATGGGCCTCAGGTTCTCCATCTGTGCAATGGGTCAACAGCAGTGCCCACTTCAGAGGGTTGGAGTGGGAATCAATGCAGATGCAGGGGTGGGATGGGTCAACACAGAGGCTGGCAGATAGTAGCCGCTCAGCTAATAGAGAGCTTAGGGGGTCAGATTTGCTCCATCCTTGCCAGGGCGGGGCAATACCGAGTCCTTGTCCCCAGCAGAAACCGTGGTCCCTTTGCTGTTCCAGATGCTCTGGACCCTGGGTACTGGCTCCCCCTGGCGGTCATGATAGGAAGCGCCCTTCCCCTCTGGCTCCTGTAGAGGGCGTCGCGGATGCATTGATCCTTTAGTTCCTTCACTGTCCATCCCCACAGCCTTTATCCAGCAACCTCTGTACAGCCAGGGCCTGCCCACAGAGATGGATCAGGTGCTCCCTGGCTGACCAAGGAGGAGGGAATGCACGTCTCCCACTACCTGGAGGAGGCTACTGGGGGTGGGGAGGGGCTTTGGCCAGTGGTGTGAACCAAAGGAGGCTGGGACTGACTCTGGAGGGAGTTGAGGAGGGCTTCCTGGAGGAGGTGTCCTCTGAGCTAGGTCTCAGGAATGATGATAGGGAGGTAGCTGGGGAGAACTCTGGGAGCCCCCTTTTTTCTGTGTTCCCTCCGGGCCTGGAGGGGCAAGGTGGTGACGGTTCCAGGTAGAACCCTCATGCCAGATTCTAGATAAGATAATCCCGTCACTCTGGGTTCAGGAGGGAGGTACTACGATTAGCCCGATTTTGAGTGACTTACACAAGGTCCTGCAGCGGGCAAAAGGTGGAACTGAGACTGGAACTCAGCTGGACTCTGGACAGCCACTCCCCCGCCTTTTTTTTTTTAAAGCAGGGTCTCACTCTGTCACCCAGGCTGGAGTGCAGTGGCGCAGTTATAGCTCACTGCAGCCTCGACCTCCTGGGCTCAAGTGATCCTTCCACCTCAGCCTCCCTAGTAGCTGGGACCACAGGCATACACCGCCATGCCTGGCTAATTTTGTTTATTTATTGTAGAGATAGGGTCTCACTGTGTTGCCCAGGCTGGTCTGAATTCCTGTGCTCAAGCGATCCTCCTTTCTCAGCCTCCCAAAGCGCTGGGATTACAGACATAAGTCACCACGCCTGGCCTCACTGCCTCTTGGGGAGCGGCCTCTGGCCGCTCTGGGGAGGTCCATGGGCTTTTTCCACACTTGCTTCCCCACCTCACCTCCCACATCCATGCCACACTGGCCTCCTCTTCTGCAGGGCCAGCCCAACCACCACACAGTCCACACTCCCAGCTAACACTCCTGGTCTCTTCCAGGTGGTGACTTCCAAGAGTGACTCCGTCGGAGGAAAATGACTCCCCAGTCGCTGCTGCAGACGACACTGTTCCTGCTGAGTCTGCTCTTCCTGGTCCAAGGCAGGTCTTCCCAGGGGTGCCCTGGGCTGTTGGAACTTACGTTAAAATGCCCCTGTGCCTAGGGTGGCTGCCAGCACACATGCTAACTCCTTTAGGCAGTTACAGCTCGGCTAGTGGAGGGTACCTTGGAGAAAAGCAAAAGACACTCCTTCCTTCTGGCAGGTGCAGCCCTGCAGTGCACAGCTTAGGGTATGGAATATGGATGGGGTACTGGCCCCACTCACCTCTGCAGCCAGAGCATTCTTGTGCAGTGTACCACCTGCACAACCGTCTATGTCAGCCATGGCCTCATTAAATACTTCATTGCTGTTAAAAATATGTTTTCCCCTTGAAATTACTATTCGTTTTCAGTTTCCTCTTTTTTTTTTTTTTTTTGAGACGGAGTCTTGCTCTGTCGCCCAGGCTGGAGTGCAGTGGCGGGATCTCGGCTCACTGCAAGCTCCGCCTCCCGGGTTCACGCCATTCTCCTGCCTCAGCCTCCCAAGTAGCTGGGACTACAGGCGCCCGCCACTATGCCCGGCTAATTTTTTGTATTTTTAGTAGAGACGGGGTTTCACCGTTTTAGCCGGGATGGTCTCGATCTCCTGACCTCGTGATCCGCCCGCCTCAGCCTCCCAAAGTGCTGGGATTACAGGCGTGAGCCACCGCGCCCGGCCTCAGTTTCCTCTTTTTATAGTTTGATGCTGATAAGTTTTGAGTGGGAAAGACTAACACATTTTTGTAGACCCTTGGAATGTGTGTGAATCTCAGGCTCCAGGTTCACATGTACTCAGCCTAGGTCCTGTCCCCTTCCATGCCTCTGGTCAGCCCCTGCCACGGGGTCCCATCTGCAGCCTCTGCCTCCTCAGGTGCCCACGGCAGGGGCCACAGGGAAGACTTTCGCTTCTGCAGCCAGCGGAACCAGACACACAGGAGCAGCCTCCACTACAAACCCACACCAGACCTGCGCATCTCCATCGAGAACTCCGAAGAGGCCCTCACAGTCCATGCCCCTTTCCCTGCAGCCCACCCTGCTTCCCGATCCTTCCCTGACCCCAGGGGCCTCTACCACTTCTGCCTCTACTGGAACCGACATGCTGGGAGATTACATCTTCTCTATGGCAAGCGTGACTTCTTGCTGAGTGACAAAGCCTCTAGCCTCCTCTGCTTCCAGCACCAGGAGGAGAGCCTGGCTCAGGGCCCCCCGCTGTTAGCCACTTCTGTCACCTCCTGGTGGAGCCCTCAGAACATCAGCCTGCCCAGTGCCGCCAGCTTCACCTTCTCCTTCCACAGTAAGGCAACTTCCAGGCGGAGGGAACAACTGGGCAGTGGTCTAGAGGCAGGGAAGGCAAAATGCAAAGTGGACTGGGCTCACAATATCAGATCATGAAGACTGGGCTTTGCTCACAGGCACTGGGGAGCCAGTGAAGGTGTCTGAGGAGGGGAGGAGTGTAATCCAAGTGCTAGGATTACAGGCATGAACCACTGCGCTCGGCCCCACTGTCCCTTGATGGTTACTTTGTGGGCAGGCAGGGGTGAGGATGGAAGGGCAAGGGCCCGTCCTGAGGCTGCAGAGAAGGTCTTGGTGAAGGAGGATGAGGTCTGAATAGGGTGAGAGAGCAGAGACTGGAAAGGGACTGAAGATCAAGAGCCCCAGGAAGAATTCTTCCTCAGCATCAGTGTAGACTGTTTATTTCCTTTCACAGAGGAGGAAACTGGGGCACAGAGAGGATGCCCAAAGCTGCACAGCTAGCCAATGGGAGAGCCAGGATTTGAACCCAGCAGCTGATTGGAGTGGGGTAGGGGTGAGGGGCGGAGTATGAGAGGTCAAAGGTCAGGAAAGCAGTGGGGTTGACTCTGAGGTCCAGAAGCTGCATCTTCCCCCTTGAGTGTGACAGGTACATGTGGCCACTGCCATTCAGCACCATTAAATGCTGAATGGTGGCCAGGAAGGGAGGAGCATCAGAAGGAGCTTGAAGGTTTACTGGGGGGTTTTCATGTCTTTCCAGCACCTCAAGTTTGAGGCAGGGCTTTCAGGGGTGGGGGGCACAGCACTTTGATTGTGTCAGTGTAACAGGCTAATGATTATGTCCAGTGCAACAGGCAGGCCCAGGCCCGTCAGTGGTGGGGGGTTCCCCACACCCCAGGCTGGGATTCTGCCCCGCAACCTGGGAGGATTTAGGGCAAAGTTGATCCTAGTTGCAAATTGGCATTCTGAAGACCAGACTGAACTTGGTCTTGTTTGGCCTGTAGAGGGTTTTTAAAAAACATGGACCAGGGATTTCAAATCACCTAAAACCCAGGCTTTCTCGGTTATGCATTCAAAAGATGGAGCTACCCAGGGCCTGCCTTCCTCAGTGGCACAGAAAGTATACCCTCCAACCCCCACTGTTTGTCTTCCTCATCTGAGTCCCAGCTAATCCCTGGAGACACCTTAGTCGGCCGCCTTAGTAGGCCGCCCACGCTACCTGGGCAGAGGGGCCCGAGCCTGGAGTCAGGGAGGCTGGTGGGTGTGGAGTCCCAGGAACCACCACCAAGCCCCGCACATCCCTCCTAAGGAGGCCTGGCTGGGCCCTCTCTGCTCCGTGTGTGTAGCCGAAGGTGTCTGCGGAGGGTGCTGAGCAAGGCACATCCCACCCCATCCCGCTGGGGCTGGCATTGCTGGCGGGTTCTGTAAGACACAACCCCCACGGGTTGGCCTCATCTGAGTGGCCTTGGCAGAGTCCACTCTGCTTCTTGAAGCCTCAGTTTCCCCTTTGTAAAGTAAAGATCGAGGCATTCAGAGTCATGTCAGGGTGGTAGGGGGCAGAATGGGAGGGTCCTGGGACCTGAATCGGCAGCCTCGGCGGGGGCCTGTCCACCCCTCCCCCAGGTCCTCCCCACACGGCCGCTCACAATGCCTCGGTGGACATGTGCGAGCTCAAAAGGGACCTCCAGCTGCTCAGCCAGTTCCTGAAGCATCCCCAGAAGGCCTCAAGGAGGCCCTCGGCTGCCCCCGCCAGCCAGTAAGTTTGGCACCTGGGGCTGTGAGGGGAGGCAGGAAGGCATCAGAGATCTGGACCTGGGCAGGGTGGGACCTGGAGTAGGGGCTACTGCGAGGCCTTCCCTGGGACTGGAATGCTTCTTTGATTTCTCTTTCTGCCTTCTGGGAGTCAACACATGCCCCCCAGGCTGAGCCCTCTCCTGTCTGAGTCAGTAACCAACATCACATCCACCATCCCAAGCCCTCCTCCCCCTCATAAAGAAAGGATGGGTGGTCCACAGTACAGCCCAGCAGACCAAGGCTCAGAGACGGCAGAGCCGCTCCAAGGCCACAGAGTAGGTTGGCACAGGCGGAGCTGGGCCCAAACCCATGGTGCTGAGTCCCAGGACAGCCCCCACCACACCATTGCTCTCCTTTCCCTTGGCTCCCAGGTCCTGGCCTCCTCTGTCTGACCCTACCCCAGCTCATTCTTTCTCTCCCACACGCAGATGCCTGCTTTTCTCTTTTGTCTGCTCTCCACTCTCTCTTGCCCACCCCACCCCTCTCTCTGCCTCTGCCTCTGCCTCTGCCTCTTCCCTGTGTCTCTGTCTGAGTCTCTCGTCCTCCTGCCTCAGTCTCCCTGGTGGCCCGGCCCCCTCCCCACCATCACCACCGCTTTCTCCTCCCTGCCAGGCAGTTGCAGAGCCTGGAGTCGAAACTGACCTCTGTGAGATTCATGGGGGACATGGTGTCCTTCGAGGAGGACCGGATCAACGCCACGGTGTGGAAGCTCCAGCCCACAGCCGGCCTCCAGGACCTGCACATCCACTCCCGGCAGGAGGTCAGGGGCAGGCCTGGGCAGGAAGCAGATGCGGGTTGGGCCGGGGCCAGATGGAGGTGGGGGCTGTGAGCACTCCCTGAAGCTCAGTGCCGTCGCAGCCTCTCCCTGGGGCCTCCCGAGAAGGTTCCAGGCCCGAGGATAGCCATCCTAAGTCAGTAGTTCAACCGTGGGATTGAGGACCCTGTGTGGGCACAGTGGCAGGGTCTGCTTCCTATACCAGTCTCCTGGGGCCACCCGTGTGAACAGAAGACCAGCCCCTAAACGCCTGTCCACGCACCCCCCCCCCCCGTTTTTTTTTTTTCGAGACAGGGTCTTGCTTTGTCACCCAGACTGGAGTACAGTGGGGTAATCATGTCTCACTGCAGCCTCAAACTCCTGGTCTCAAGCGATTCTCCCACTTCAGCCTGTGAGCAGCTGGGACTGCAGGCTTGCTACCACACCTGGCTTTAAAAAATTCTTTGCAAGGCTAGGTGCAGTGGCTCACATCTGTAATCCCAGCATTTTGGGAGGCCGAGGCAGGCAGATCACTTGAGGTCAGGAGTTCGAGACCAGCCTGGCCAACATGGTGAAACCCTGTCTCTACTAAAAATATAAAAATTAGCCGGGCATGGTAGTACATGCCTGTAATTCCAGCTACTCGGGAGGTTGAGGCAGGAGAATCGCTTGAACCCGGGAGGCGGAGGTTGCAGTGAGCTGAGATTGTGCCACTACACTCCAGCCTGGGCAACAGAGCGAGACTCTGTCTCAAAAAACATTTTTTTATTTTTGTAAAGACAAGGTCTTGCTACGTTGTCCAGGTTGGTCTTGACCTCCGGGGTTCAAGCAGTCCTCTCGCCCTGGCCTCTCAAAGTGCTGGGATTACAGGCGTGAGCCACTGCACCCAGCCACACACCCCATCTTGAGACTGCCCCCTGAGTGGCTCTGGTTAGCTGGGAACCACCCACACTGCCCACATGGCCACCCCCAAGTTGGCTGCTGTAGGCAGAGCTGGCATCTGAAGCCCCAGACAACAGAACATCATGTGGTTCTCCCAGGGCTATTTGCCCTGGAGTCCTGGATTCTAACCACAAGACTCCCCAGCCAGAGCTGGTAGCAGGGAAGGGAGGGATGAGGAGGGCTGTCATGAGTCAGGCTTGACTTCCTGAAGAAATGGGCTTAGAAGTGGCAGCGTCCAGGAACGGATGGGTGTGTGTGTGTGTGTGCTAGGGTGGGGGGCACGGATCTAGGGGTCCGCATTTGGCTGAGCCCTAAAGGGACCTCTGCAGGAGGAGCAGAGCGAGATCATGGAGTACTCGGTGCTGCTGCCTCGAACACTCTTCCAGAGGACGAAAGGCCGGAGCGGGGAGGCTGAGAAGAGACTCCTCCTGGTGGACTTCAGCAGCCAAGCCCTGTTCCAGGTATGGGGTCCTCACCCTCATGCCTCCCAGGAGAAAGCAGTTTTTTTCTGACAGAGGTGGAAAGAAGGCACGCAGATGAGCTCCTTCCTCTGGGAGTCAAAGCCTTTCCTTGTAAAGTTACAAATTGCACTGCAATGTGCAAATCTCCCTGTGAGAGGGCTAAGCAATGTTCTTCTTACTATAGTGTAAATGACTACATGGGCAAAAGTGGTTCCAGAGGGAGACGCAGCATCTCAAGGCAATGTGCTGGGAGAGGGTTATCTAGAGAGGGTAAGGGGCTTCTGGGCCCTTCTTCTCAGTCCTGAACTCCCTCCCTACTCTCTTCCTCCAACCCCATGTATCTAGGACAAGAATTCCAGCCAAGTCCTGGGTGAGAAGGTCTTGGGGATTGTGGTACAGAACACCAAAGTAGCCAACCTCACGGAGCCCGTGGTGCTCACTTTCCAGCACCAGCTACAGCCGGTGAGTGGGGGCCAGCCATCAAGAGAACAAGCGCCCCTCGGCCATGTCACCCTTTCCTCTCCCTCCCTCCAGACTCATTTGTCTTTATAATGAAACGATTGCCTGATCGAGCAGTCAGGTCCAAATGGGGCGGGTGGTGGCTTGACTGTGTTCTAGACTTCCTCTGCCTGGCCTGTAAAGTTGGAGGGGTGGGGGGCTGTCACAGAAACCACTCTCCTTTCTTGTCCCTACAGAAGAATGTGACTCTGCAATGTGTGTTCTGGGTTGAAGACCCCACATGTGAGTATGCAGGGGTCTCTGGGCTGGACAAGTATCTGGAAGAGAAATAGAGTCCTGGGGGGTGGGGGAGGTGGGGTTAATCACCGAGGGCTTCCTGGAGAAAGGAGGACTTTGAAGAGAGAGCGATGGCAGGCTATGAGTAGGCCGGGTGGAAGAATGACACAGTCGTGCTTTTGGGGGTGGACACAGTGGGGTCCTGGAGGACTGGACTTGATTGGAGCCCCGTGCTGTCCCCTCCTCAGTGAGCAGCCCGGGGCATTGGAGCAGTGCTGGGTGTGAGACCGTCAGGAGAGAAACCCAAACATCCTGCTTCTGCAACCACTTGACCTACTTTGCAGTGCTGATGGTGAGGGTCCCTGCTCCCACCTCGCAGCCACACCCCAGGCCGTGTGCTTGTTCTGTGCAAGCACTTTTCATATATTCAGTCATTTATTCCTCATAACAGCTCTCCAAGGTAGCTTCTATTGTTGTCCCATTTTATAGATGAGGAAATGGAGGCTCAGAGAGGTTAAGCAATTTACCCGTGGCCACACAGCTAGTCAGTGAAAGAGCTGGTTTGTAGAGCCCCTGCTCTTTATTCCCAAATTTTGGTGTGTACGAAAATGCAGATTCCTGGCCCTCACCTAGGGTTCTGATTTGGCAGTGATGGGGCCAAGAGTGTTTCTAATGAGGCCCCTGAGGTGGCCTCCAGTGCCCCCAAGACCTCAGAATTCATGCTCCCAGGACTGTAGGATTCTGCCTGTGGGTATCCACCTGGGGCTTGAACACCCCTGGGTGTGGGAATCTCATTCCCTCACAGGAAACCTATTCCCATGTTAAATGTTATAGAAGAATAATCAATGCCAGGACAGAATAGGGGTTCTCTCATGAAGGGTTCTTGGCCTCTGTGGGTCAGGAAGCCGCTTGAGAATGTGGTCAAATCTAAAGATGCCCCCACTCCAGAAAAATGCACTTATGGGACCACATTCTGCTCAGTTGGGAGAGGGGGTTCTTAGGCTTCCGAGGCCCACCAGGGACCCCAGGTTAGCCCCTCACGCAGGGCAAGCCTCCAGGTTGTGTGGGGGACACAGAGGCCAGCTCTCTCCTGTCTCCTGGGGCCAGGTCTCCTCGGTGGAGGTGGACGCCGTGCACAAGCACTACCTGAGCCTCCTCTCCTACGTGGGCTGTGTCGTCTCTGCCCTGGCCTGCCTTGTCACCATTGCCGCCTACCTCTGCTCCAGGTGAGGCCTGAAAGGGGTGGGACAGGGGAGGGGACCCTCCATTGCACACACCTCCACCAGGGCGCCGCACACATCTCCGGTCATGGCCCGCCCGCATGACCTGGAACTGTGTGTGTGGTTAGGGGAGCTGTTTGGGGTAAGCTGACCCTTGGGGGCCACGTCTCCTCCTCAGATCAGTGGTGTTTGGATAACATAGTATTTACAAATTTTAGCTGTCGACATTGTATTTATTTATTTTTATTTTTATTTTATTATTATTATTTTTTTGAGACAGAGCCTTGCCTCTGTCGCCCAGGCTGGAGTGTAGTAGCATGATCTCGGCTCACTGCAACCTCTGCCTCCCGGGTTCAAGTGATTCTTGTGCCTCAGCCTCCTGAGTAGTTGGGACTACTGGCGCCTGCCACCACACCTGGCTAATCTGTATATTTTTAGTAGAGACGGGGTTTCACCATGTTGCTCAGGCTGGTCTCGAACTCCTGACCTCAAGTGATCCACCCACCTCAGCCCCCCGAAGCGCTGGGATTACAGGCATGAGTCACTGTGCCAGGCTAATTGTCAACATTTAAAATTGAGAGAGTCCACCTAAGAATCTGTTTCTTTCCTAGAGTAAGACAGGAAAGCAAAATAAAAAACTTAAAAAAGGAAAGATTTTTCATTTCTGCCTTTGAATAAGCAGATTTGTGAGAGCACTGGGTGGACACAATAATATCACAGCGGTAATGATCATACTTAACGTGTGTCAAACTTCCCGTGTGCCATGCACTGTTCTAAGTGTTTTACATGTGTGAACTCAATTCATCCTCACAACAGCCCTATGAAGGAACACTCAGAGAGGGTAAGTGACTTGCTTGAGGTCACACAGCAAGGAAGTGGCAGAGGTCAGATTGTCAGTGCTTGGCTTGGCCTAAATTGGGGTCCACTTGCCCTCAGCGCTGAACCCATTTGGGTAGAGGAGAGGCACCCTCGGTTCTCACTGTCCCCAGCCACGAGGAAGGAGAGGAAAGTGAAGCTGTATTTATGCGTGTGCACAAGCACGTGTGTGCCTATATGACTGTCCTGTGTGTGCACAGCTGTGTACCTGGGGAGCTAAGTAGGTGATGGTGATGAGGAAGGACAGCTGGGTGATGAGATGGGCTCGGCGGAAGGCTGGGGGTGGAGGCAGAAGTCCTCAACACCCAGTTGCTCACAAACATGCCCAAGGACACAGCACAGGAACCCTTAGGAACTGAGCACCTTATCTGTGTCAGATGCTTTGTGTCAGTGTAACTCTCACCCCAACCCTATGAGGGTACCATCCTCCCACTTCACAGATAGGCAAACTGAGAGTCTCAAGGGGAGGGGACCAGCTGAAGATGGTGCCATGAGTTAGGGGCAGGGCAGGGTGGGACTCCAGGATGGTGACACTGGGGCCTGCATGTTCTGCTGCACCCTCTAGGGCCATGTAGAATCCTGGAGTGGGGGTGGGGTGGGGTGTGCACACATTGACTTGCAAACCTCAGACAGACCGATGCGGGCAGCCCACACTCAGACTCACAGGTGCACAGTTGTGCAGACAGACGGGAAGACACAGAATGTGGATGGCATGGATTCTCCAACATGGTGAAAATGCCAAAGTGTTTCCGCTCTGACTTTGAGAGTATCTGGTTTATTACTGTGGTTGTCTTCCTCGCTCTGCCTGGCTGAGGCTTCTGTTAAACGTGCACGTGGTGCCTGAGTCTGTGGGTGCTGGGCACACAGTAGGTGCACAGGGGGATGTGGGGAACAGTTTGGCTGCAGCCACAGGAATAGGATAGGGGCCATGTATGACTGCATGTGTGTGTCGGGGTGGGGGGCAGTCTGGGAAGGCTTCCTGGAGGAGATGTGGGCACACTCCCCTCTCTACCTTCCCACACTGGCCCACCAGGGTGCCCCTGCCGTGCAGGAGGAAACCTCGGGACTACACCATCAAGGTGCACATGAACCTGCTGCTGGCCGTCTTCCTGCTGGACACGAGCTTCCTGCTCAGCGAGCCGGTGGCCCTGACAGGCTCTGAGGCTGGCTGCCGAGCCAGTGCCATCTTCCTGCACTTCTCCCTGCTCACCTGCCTTTCCTGGATGGGCCTCGAGGGGTACAACCTCTACCGACTCGTGGTGGAGGTCTTTGGCACCTATGTCCCTGGCTACCTACTCAAGCTGAGCGCCATGGGCTGGGGTAAGTGGTTGGGCGGGGGGTGCCTCAGACCTGCCTCTCCCACTTGGCTCTGGCAAAACCCAGGCACCTGGTTCTGCCTCTCCACCTATCTCTCTGACTTCCCTCCTGGCCTCCTTCACTCATCCTCAGGTGTCCTTCACCTTGGCTGAATCAAGGTCCCCTTTAGGAAGAAGCAGTGAGCCCTGTCCCCAAGAAACACTTCCAAATTCTCCACATCACTCACTCCATTGCAAAGGGGATTTACGAGCAGGGCCACCGTGTGTGAATGTGCAGGTTGTGCACTGCTCAAAGGCACCCAGTTCAGAGATCAGAGGGGCTGAAATCCAGTCCCGCTCCAGTCATTTAATTCACTCGGGCTGGCAGTGGCCCTGCCTCAGGATCCCCCTGGACCTTGGGTAACAGATTCCCTGTGGCTTGGCATTTTGTTCTTGGCCAATGACTGTTCAATTCACCTGTGGCCAGCCCTCTTATGTCAGACCTACAGCCCAGGGGCTCATGATGCCACAAGTCTGTTTGGACATTGCACAGACCCCTCAACCTCCGCATGCCCCTGACTCCAGCTTGCTGCTCTTCGCGGGTTTGTCATTGGGCCCCTTCTTTGTCCATTCCCCCATTTGCATGAAATTCCTTTGGAGGTGTCTCTGTGTCAGGACTTTGTGTTTGGAGGTGGGCAGCCCCCTCTAGGGAGCTTCTAATCTCCACCGAACGGGCGAGGTCAAGGCCCAGTGCAGACGTCCCCTGATGGCAGAACTCTTGCCGTCCCTCCTAAACTGTCTGCCCCTCCCATCTCCCCTGTGACATCCAGCCCTGCAGCAGAGACCCACAGGCCTTTCTCCCAGGGGCCCCCAGGGTGACGAAGGGCAGGGCTAAGGTTGGAGGAGATGGCATCCCCTTATAGGAAACCCATACTGGAATGGGGAGGGGGAGGGTCCAAACTTGGGGGAACTTCCCCACCAGATGGGGCTGGGTGGGCTTCAGGAGCCCAAACTTCAGAGGGGCCCTTGCCCTCCAGACTCCCTGAGGCCAGCAGGGAATGGGCAGGCCTCAGAGAGCGGGAAGTAGAGCAACATGCATTGCCACCCTCAGGCTTCCCCATCTTTCTGGTGACGCTGGTGGCCCTGGTGGATGTGGACAACTATGGCCCCATCATCTTGGCTGTGCATAGGACTCCAGAGGGCGTCATCTACCCTTCCATGTGAGTGGCTGTGTGCAATGGGGGCAAGAAGGTGGGTCTCTGGGCACAGAGGCCAGAGTGCAGCCCGGGCCCAGGTCATGCTGGCCAGGGGACACCTGGGTTCCAGTCTCCTCGAGGAATTGGCCTGGCAGTGGCTGAAGCACTGGTCTAAGAGTCATGGAGGGTGAGAAAAGGCCTGGATCTACCACTCACTCACCAGGTGACCTTGCACAGGCCCCGGCCCTTCTCTGAGCCTCGGTTTCCTCATGCATGAATGGGGGTATGGGTTGGAGCAGATGAGCCTCACCACATTCCTCAGCAGCACCTCTCTGTCTCCCCATGCAGATGGGAAGACAGAGGCTCAGGGAGGGAAGAGATCCGCTCTTGGCCACACTGAGGGCTGGTGTGCTGTTCGGAGGCAGAGGATGAGTGGGGTTGAAGTCCAGTCCTTCTCCACTCACCTGATTCACCCAGGCTGGCAGCGGCCCTGCCTGTGGATCCCCTGAACCCAAACCGGAAGCCAGGGTTCCTGAGCTCCAGCCTGGGAAGGAATCCTTCCCATTGGCTCAGTGGTTTTGAAATTTTCAGCTCTTTATGTTGTGACCCAGTGATTTCTGCCTCACTTTTGTACTATCTATATTATTACTTACTTAACATTTTCCTTTAAACAATCTGACTTGTTAACTCAAATGTATTTTTAAAATTACATCAACACTGTAAATAGAAAACAAGCGCACTTGCTGTAAACAGTGGATAATCCTGAAAACAAACATGACAACCACAGCCCAGGAAATGCTGCCCGTGCTGGCCACACGCTGAGCCCTCCTGCCTTTGCCCGCAGGTGCTGGATCCGGGACTCCCTGGTCAGCTACATCACCAACCTGGGCCTCTTCAGCCTGGTGTTTCTGTTCAACATGGCCATGCTAGCCACCATGGTGGTGCAGATCCTGCGGCTGCGCCCCCACACCCAAAAGTGGTCACATGTGCTGACACTGCTGGGCCTCAGCCTGGTCCTTGGCCTGCCCTGGGCCTTGATCTTCTTCTCCTTTGCTTCTGGCACCTTCCAGCTTGTCGTCCTCTACCTTTTCAGCATCATCACCTCCTTCCAAGGTAAGGAGAAGACCCGTCCCTTGGCCCAGGCAGGGTGTCTACACATGGAGCAAGGGCAGGGAAGAGATCACCCAGGGAACCTGAAGACTTCCCTTCTCTGGGCCTCAGTCATCCCATTCATAAAATGGGGACATCCAGGCCACAGTCAACAAGTCTTGATTGAGCACCTACTATGTGCAGGCCCTGTGTTAAGCCACAGGGCTTATGGCTGAGCTGGTTGGGTGTGGGCCTTGTTCTTTTGGAACTCAGCTCTACTGGGGAAGACTGCGCATGAGCAGGCAAGCATATAGCCATCAAAGGTGGTCCCAGATAGTAGGGACATCGTCGTGAGCACGTGCTGCACAGGGCCTCGGCTGGGGTGGGGGACACCCTAAGAAGGGTGGCCAGGGAGGCCTCTCTGGATATGAGACGTGTGAAGACAAGAGAAGGATCCCCCCATGGAGAGATGGGGGGGCCTCCCTACTCCAGGCGCGGTCCACAGACCAGCAGCAGCAGCGTTGTTAGGAGCTTTTTGGAAACGCAGCCTCTGGGCCACCCGGGCCCTGCCACATCAGAATCTGCATTTTCACAAATGCCCAAGGGGTCACGTGCACATGATAGGATCAGGAGCCCTGGTCTAGGGGAAGGAAGCTCCAGGCAGAGGGAGAGGCAAGAACAAAGATCCTGAGGTTGGAACCGGTTGTGTGTAGGAAGGACAGTGAGGGAGAGCGTGGCCAGATGGCGGCGGGTCGGGGCGGAGAGGTGGGATCCCAGGGCAGGGTCATGATGGCTCTGGCTTGATGCCAACAGGGTCCCTTTCTGTGCATGTACCTGTGTGTGTACATTGAGGTGCACACACAGGCATGCACACCCCTCTGTTCCTGGCCGTGCAGAATGGAAGGGGGTTGTATGGCCAGGCCCAGGGGCTCTCATGGGGTTCAAGGCCAGCCTCCCATACAGGGTCACCCTAGAATGGGAGCTGGGAGTTGGTGGTGGGGAGATGTTACCACATTTCGGTTATTTAACATTCAAGCCTTCATTCCTGCCTGTGAGATGAGGGGACTCAGGATTGTAAGTGAGGCCCATACATTCACACAGACATTTACTAAGCTGTGGATACATCATAGTGCTATTAATTTGAGGGGTGCAAAATCTCACAGTGCTTAAGTGGGTGGACTTCAGAGCCTGTTCACCACAGTTTGAGCCCTGGCTCAGCCACGTCCCTTTACCTGAGCCTCCTGGGCCTCAGTTTCCTTGTTTACAAAAGAGAATAGTAATGAATAGGATGGGCCTAGGAAGTTTGTGACAGTGAGAGGCCACACGGGGACGCAGCACAGTGCCCGGCTCATAGGAGGTGCTCGCTGGGTCTCATGGGTGCCCGACAGCACGTGCTTGGCAAACACTATGGAGAGGTGGGGCAGACCCGAGTCACAATGGCTGGGGAGGGAGGAGGAGGGATGGGGTGGGGCTCCCCCACCTGCTGACCCCGTGCCCTCACTGCCCGCAGGCTTCCTCATCTTCATCTGGTACTGGTCCATGCGGCTGCAGGCCCGGGGTGGCCCCTCCCCTCTGAAGAGCAACTCAGACAGCGCCAGGCTCCCCATCAGCTCGGGCAGCACCTCGTCCAGCCGCATCTAGGCCTCCAGCCCACCTGCCCATGTGATGAAGCAGAGATTCGGCCTCGTCGCACACTGCCTGTGGCCCCCGAGCCCGGCCCAGCCCCAGGCCAGTCAGCCGCAGACTTTGGAAAGCCCAACGACCATGGAGAGATGGGCCGTTGCCATGGTGGACGGACTCCCGGGCTGGGCTTTTGAATTGGCCTTGGGGACTACTCGGCTCTCACTCAGCTCCCACGGGACTCAGAAGTGCGCCGCCATGCTGCCTAGGGTACTGTCCCCACATCTGTCCCAACCCAGCTGGAGGCCTGGTCTCTCCTTACAACCCCTGGGCCCAGCCCTCATTGCTGGGGGCCAGGCCTTGGATCTTGAGGGTCTGGCACATCCTTAATCCTGTGCCCCTGCCTGGGACAGAAATGTGGCTCCAGTTGCTCTGTCTCTCGTGGTCACCCTGAGGGCACTCTGCATCCTCTGTCATTTTAACCTCAGGTGGCACCCAGGGCGAATGGGGCCCAGGGCAGACCTTCAGGGCCAGAGCCCTGGCGGAGGAGAGGCCCTTTGCCAGGAGCACAGCAGCAGCTCGCCTACCTCTGAGCCCAGGCCCCCTCCCTCCCTCAGCCCCCCAGTCCTCCCTCCATCTTCCCTGGGGTTCTCCTCCTCTCCCAGGGCCTCCTTGCTCCTTCGTTCACAGCTGGGGGTCCCCGATTCCAATGCTGTTTTTTGGGGAGTGGTTTCCAGGAGCTGCCTGGTGTCTGCTGTAAATGTTTGTCTACTGCACAAGCCTCGGCCTGCCCCTGAGCCAGGCTCGGTACCGATGCGTGGGCTGGGCTAGGTCCCTCTGTCCATCTGGGCCTTTGTATGAGCTGCATTGCCCTTGCTCACCCTGACCAAGCACACGCCTCAGAGGGGCCCTCAGCCTCTCCTGAAGCCCTCTTGTGGCAAGAACTGTGGACCATGCCAGTCCCGTCTGGTTTCCATCCCACCACTCCAAGGACTGAGACTGACCTCCTCTGGTGACACTGGCCTAGGGCCTGACACTCTCCTAAGAGGTTCTCTCCAAGCCCCCAAATAGCTCCAGGCGCCCTCGGCCGCCCATCATGGTTAATTCTGTCCAACAAACACACACGGGTAGATTGCTGGCCTGTTGTAGGTGGTAGGGACACAGATGACCGACCTGGTCACTCCTCCTGCCAACATTCAGTCTGGTATGTGAGGCGTGCGTGAAGCAAGAACTCCTGGAGCTACAGGGACAGGGAGCCATCATTCCTGCCTGGGAATCCTGGAAGACTTCCTGCAGGAGTCAGCGTTCAATCTTGACCTTGAAGATGGGAAGGATGTTCTTTTTACGTACCAATTCTTTTGTCTTTTGATATTAAAAAGAAGTACATGTTCATTGTAGAGAATTTGGAAACTGTAGAAGAGAATCAAGAAGAAAAATAAAAATCAGCTGTTGTAATCACCTAGCAAACTGGCGTAAGCATTTTGGGTCATTTCCTTCTGAGCTTTTTCCTGTGCTTCTATTGAAAGAGTCACTGATACTAATACAAATACCTTGGGGCCAATCAGGAAACATGAAAGAGAGAAGAGGGCTGTGTGTGAAGAAAAAAAAAAAATCGACTGCTGGAAACCTCATCAACCAGGGCACAGGGGAAGATAAATGGCAACTTGGTGTCTGTGCTGGGGAGGCAATGGGGAGTGGTGGGGCCTGTGGCGAACTGGAGACTCCCAACCCCATGCTGAGAGCGTGGCTGCTCATCAGCTCCAGCTGGTCACTACCTTGCAGGGATGAGGGCCCATGTAGCCAGACCACCTGCCTTTTATGAGAAATGGGAAATCCAGACTGTGGTTTGACATCCCCTGATTTTAAAATTTTGGCGAATCCAAAACATTTTCTGGCCAAAGAGATTACAGTCAAAAGCTGCCTGGTCCTGGGATTTATGCAACCAGTTTACTGATCACTCTGCAGCAGGTGGGCTGCAAGAATTAAATCACTGGACTTCTCTCCCATCCCTGCCTTTAACCTTGTTCCACCAAATCAATCTCTCCTCCCGCTCCTAAGGCCCAGGTGAGGCAGATCACGCAGGTTCCCATCTTCCCTGTGATGAGGGCAGTCACAACGGATCATTGCTACTGTGTTCAGGTAAGAGGTCCCAGTGCAGCCAAAGTCCTCCCCAAGGCCCACAGTCCACTCTCTCCCTTCTGCAGGCTCCTCCCTCCTCCCCTGGCCACTCTAGGGGGATGCCCAGCAGGGGAAGAGGCTCAGAGTCTTGGATTGGACAAGGTGGGTGTGAGGCAGCTGGGTCTAGACTGGCAGTGCCCTCTGAGGGGCGTGAATGTGGGATCTTGGGACCTGCAGGGACCAAGAACCCCTGTGCCCTGCTGCTCTCCCAGCCCTCCCTCCACCCCCTCCACTCCCTCCACTGACCTCTGTCCCCACCTTTCTGCAGGTGGGGGGCTCCTCTTATGCCCCCAGCTCCAAAGGACAGAGGCCAAACCTTCCCAAGCCTCCCCTACCCCAGTGTCCGGATTGGGCAGCCCCGGGGGATCAAAGCCAGCTTCCCTCCTTACAGGCTTCTAGGTCTCCGTGAGGGGGGTCTCTCAGAGCCCCATGGCTGGGCTAGGTCCTGGGATGGGGGTTGAGGCAACTCCCCCCATCTTCCAGAATGGGGGGGAAATGACCCAGCCCCGTTCCTCCGCAATTCTCCTGCTTCTCAAACATTTTGTTTCTGCATCTGAGGCTGGCTCAGGTAGTGGGGAGGGGTCTTGGGTTGGGTCTCACCTTCTCAGGTAGGCCCTGCACAGGGCACCAACAGTTCCATGCTGATCCTTTTACCCCGATGGTTATTATCATGCACTTTCCCAGGCTGTGGGGCTTTGGACAGTGGGATCGCCCTTTCTGCCAGCATGTGGCCAGGCGTGCATCTGGAAACATCCCTTTAGCTTGGGAAATGGATTGGAGCAGCTGAGGGCTGAATGCTGGCTGGGTCTCGCTGGAGGACTTGAGGCCCTGCCCACTGGAGCCATTGGGAGAAGCTGGGGCAGGAGGCGGCAGGAAGGGACACTACTGTTTTGTTGGCCCTGGGGTTGGGGGGGGTCTCAGGGTTCTGTGAGTGGCTCCAGGCTAGTCCCTGGTCCCCAGGGGGCGTTTCAGGGAAGGGGCCTTAGGAAAAGGTGGCCCTCCTTCCAGCCCTGCCTGACCTTCCCCTGCACCTGCCCTCTGCCCACTTCCCAGGTGGGCTGGCTGCTCGGAATCTCAGTCTGCTCACCCCCAGGCGCTTCTTCACACACTGGTACCTGCGAGCCTCTCTGAGGGCCCAGGTGCCAGGATGGGGCTTCAGCGATGGGCCCAGCACATCCAAGTCCACTGCCCCACCTCACCCTCACCTGCAGCTGGGAGGGAGGTCTGCAGATCTTCCAGGAGAAGGCTGGCCAGGTGTGGAGCAGTGGCAGGCCCAGCCATTCATCTGCCTTCGCAGCCCTCCCTGCAGAGGAAGTTTCTGGGGCTCAGGAAGCCCTGGGCTCTGACCTGCTGCTCCATGCTGAATTCCCACCTGCTCCCACACCATGAGTGACCCTGACATCCCCTCCCTACCCCTTCCCAGACCCAGAGGGCTCAGCAGGAGACACTGAGTGGGAGGAGGAGGAAATGGAGGCCAGCAGGGGCTGAGCGGCTCCCCAGTTCAATCCCAAGGCTGAGTAGGGCTAGTGCCAGCCCCGTGGGCCAGAGGGGGATGCCAGCAACCACACACCTTGGTGGGATGCCCTTCACCTTCCAATTGCCAAGTGGCCATGGCCTCATGCACAGTGCATCCGTGGGGCCTCCAGAGTTGGCCCGAGTGGCTGGCGCCCTAATTCCTTTAGGCTGAAGCCCAGGAGTGTTTGCCACCCCCACCTCCCACCTGATCAGTGACCATTTGGGGTGTAAAGACAACAATTTCACAGCTCTGATGATCAGAAATGATGTAATGGCCACAGGCGGCTCCGCCTGCGTCATCCATGATTTCATCACACACCTCGGGAGGCTCAGGGTGACAGACAGTGCATGCAAGGTCACCCGGCCAGGAAGTGGCCAGGATGGATGTTAGCTCAGGCCTGACCAGCCCCCGGGGCCGCACTGCTGTCTTCCCGCTACCCTGCCTCTGGGTCCGTCCTGTTATCCAGGCTGGTGGGGGAAGCTCAGGCTGCAGGGCCAGCTCCTGCTCTCCTCCCACACCCTCCAGCCTGGTTCAAGCCATAGGCACCATCTGGGTCTTCGTCCTCATGCCCAGAGCCAGGCTCTGTGCCCAGCTTGTTGCAGGTCTCATCAAACCCTGACACAGCCTTAGGAGGCAGCCCCATTGCCATCTTCACTTTACAGAGGAGGAAACTGAGGCTCAGAGAGGCTCCCAGCTTGTGAGAGGAGGGGTCTGAGTAGGTGCGCCTGACTCCAAAGCCTGTGCTCACCACAGTTCCCAGGGATCCGCTCTGAGCCAGGCCCCTGTGGCCACCCAGCCCCTAGCCCCGTAGATCCCACCCCAGTGGGGCCCCGGGGGCACATACCTGGGTGGGCTCAGCAGCTCCCTCTGCAGGTGGACCCAGGGTGCGGTGAGACTGGGAGCACTGCCCAGTTCCCCACACTCACCTTTCACAACCCAACCAATGGCGCCATCGAGCAGGAAGGGTGAGAAAGAGGACACAGGAAGCCAGAGTGGTGGGGCTGCAGGGTGGGGGCAGGCCAGCTCAGCAGAGCCTGGGGCCAGAGGGCCAGACAGCCACAGAGCTCCTGGCGTGGGCAAGGCTGGCCAAGGATGGCGACGCCCAGGGGCCTGGGGGCCCTGCTCCTGCTCCTCCTGCTCCCGACCTCAGGTGAGTGGCTGGCACCTCATCCCCTCCTGCCACGCTGGGCCGACCCTGCCCTGCCGAGGGAGGGATCCAGGGACAGACGCAGGGACTGGAGAAGGTGAGGAGTTGGGGTGTCTGGGATGTGTCCTCCGATACCCCCCGTGGCCGCCTCAGCACCTTCTCTAGCCCTGTCCCTTTGGGTCAGTCCTGTCCTTCCACTAAACCTTGCTCAGGACTGGTCTCAGGTTCCCTTTGTTGCTCCACAGTGCCCTGGAGATAGGGGAGGTCGGAGGGTGCTCCCTGACTCCCCAACCTGGGCTGTGTCTCCCTGACAGGCCTGGCTCTGAGACAGGGGTTGGCCCCGGGCAGGCAATTCTCCAGCTGGCTTGTGAGATCCTGGGGACGGGATTCAGACACTCTGGAAGCTGAGGCCAGGAAGGTCTGTCACCTCGTTCTTCTGGACCTCTCCTCCCGCACATGTCACCCCACACCGGCTCCCTCTCCCAGTCTCAGCCACAACCTCTTGGTCCTCAGTGGCCTGAGCCAGGATCCACACTCCTCCCCGTCACTCTCCCGTCTCACACACAAACACATGGTGCGTCTCCAGAGGCCATGGAAGTGCCCGGGCCTTGCCTTTGCTGGCCTCTCTCCCAGGAAAGCTGTCCCCCTACCCCTTGCCCACTTAGCCAGCTCCATTTACCCTTCTTGGCCTCTGTGGCGTCTTAGCAACCCTCTCGGACAGAGGGAGGTGCTCCCCCGTTAGTGCTCCCTCCTCAGTGCTCCTGTCTCAGGGCCTTGCAGGCCACTCTCTTTTTGCTCCTGACTCGGTGAGGGGCCTGCATGTCCATCTCCCTGTGTGTCCAGCGTGTGGTCGCGTGACTTTGGCCACATAGATCAACTTATTTGGTCTTCAAATAACCCTCTTCTTTTCAAACATTGGAAGATTCAGTGGAGTGAATCAGTCCCTGGCTCAAAAAAGGGTGGGAGATGACAGCACTGTCCTCCTAGTGGCCCCGGGAGGCCCTGGTACAGAGCAGGCCACCAGGCAGCCCTTGATAGATGAATGAACGGAGCCACCGATGGCAGCTGTGACCAGGGCTCATGGGCGTCCTCAGGTCCCAGCTGTCATCGCTGGTTGGGCCTTCAAGCCTCCTCCAGGTGATGCTGTTTCCCCCATGGTGATGTGGGTGCTCTGGTTGGGGCAGAGCAGCAGCCATTTGATTGAGCAAGGAGCTCTGAGAGGTCTACACACAGGAAGGTCTGCACACTTCCTGTGTGGACAGTGATGTGTTAGTCTCCATTCTCCATTTGCGCATTCATTCATTCATTCATTCATTCAGGAAGCATCGATGGTGCCCTCTGCTCCTGCTGGTACCACTTGGCCCCTGCCCTCAAAAGGCTCACAGTCTGCAGGAGTGACACAGTGTGGTGGGGGCTCGCATGTGAGACCCAGCTGTTAGGGCTGAGCAAGGGGTGGATGCAATGGAGGGCCTGGCATGAAGGGACACGTGACAAAGGTGCGGGCAGGGCACGGGGAGCAAGGAGGGTGGTCACTGGGCAGGCTGGCACCTGGGGCAGCCTTCAGCACCGTGAGGTCTAAAGGGGCCAGGAGGGAGTGGCCCCCTGGGCTTCTACAGCCAGACTGTGGCTACAGGAGGGAAATGGCGGTGGTTTGCTCACGGTGAGCCAGCAGGGGCTGAAGGAGCCATGCGGGGTGGGGGCAAATGCCCACTCTGCCCTCCTCCTGCCCTCTGACCTCCAGTCCACTTTCCACTTGCTGACCCCCAAATGAGGCAGTCCATGGAGGCCAGGCTCTGGAGCATAGAGGGTCTGGAGAGGAGGGGAGTGCTATCCCACCCACAGGCCTAGCACAGGGTCTCCTTGTCTACATGAAATGCTTGCAGTGTCTTCAAAGAATAAACACAGAAAAGATATTTAATGATCCTGTCTGTGTAGGGTGCTTGCCAAGAGCTTCACTTACATGCCTGCGCTGAAATTCATGGCAATCCGGGAGGGAGGCCTGCACCTGGACCCATTCATGACAGCAGGGCCGGGATGGCAGAGAATGGCACCCGTCCTCAAGCTGACAATGTTATCTCCCCTCCTCTCCTGTCCTCTTCCTTCCCCTCTCAACCCCTCCTCCCCTCTCCTCTCTTCCCTCTCCCTGTTTCTGTCTTCTTCCTCCTCTCCCTCTTCTCCCCTTTTTTAAAAAGCCAACATAGATCATACTATATTCATGCTCATCTATCATTTTCATTTCCCATTAAACAATGCATCATAAATATCTTTATAAACTAACAGAAATTTACAGTTCCTTTATAAACTATCTAAAACGAATTATCACATATAGAGTCCATTATTACAAAATCCCCTCTAAAATGTTATTTTTTTACCCTGCTGTTACTCTTTATTCAGCCATTATTTTTATCATGTCTTTTTTGTCTTAATGATTAAAAATGAACAGTTTTTTAAAAAATGTGACAGTAATACTGGACATGATTTTTAAAAAATCAAATACCAGGGAGGGAAATAAAAAATGGAAAGCAGATGAGCCCCTGCCCGCCTCAGCCCCCAGCACCACCCATCGCAGAGGGAGCTCTCCTAACACTTCCTGGGGGTGGCAATCCGAAAAGTGACAATGCAGAGCCAAGACCCACTTCCCACCCTCAAAGGGAGAAGGATACAACAAAGCACTTCAGAGTAAAAGACATAAAAGTGGCCGCAGATATACAGGTAGATGCTCAAACTCCTTAAATGGAAATAAGATTCAATGTCATCCCTCAGACTAGCAAAAATCCAAAAGTTCAGTAAGCTATAGAATAATAGGCATGTGGATAGTCACTCTTATCCACTTTGAGTGAGAGTATAAATAGGTACACCATTTTCTGGAGGGAAATTCAATAATACCCGGCAGTTTTTTAAAGCACATACAGAAAGTCCTAGAATAGGAGTTTTTTTTTTTTTTTTTTTTTTTTTCGAGACAGAGTCTCTCTTTGTCTTCCAAGCTGGAGTGCAGTGGTGTGATCTTGGCTCACTGCAACCTCCGCCTCCCGGGTTGAAGCAATTCTCCTGCCTCAGCCTTCTGAGTAGCTGAGATTACAGGCACCCACCACCACGTCCGGCTAATTTTTGTATGTTTAGTAGGGCTTCCCCATGCTGGCCAGGCTGGTCTCAAACTCCTGACCTCAGGTGATCCACCCATCTCGGCCTCCCAAAGTGCTGGGATTATAGGCGTGAGTCACCGCACTCAGCCTTCCTGGCGGTGTTTTAAAGCACATACAGTTAGATACAGAAAGTCCTAAGATAGGAATGTTTTCTATGAGTTCTCAACACAAGCTGAAAAGATGCACACTCAAGAATTCTTATGGCAGATTGTGAAAAACAATGTCCACCAAGAGGGGACCGGTTAAAAAAGTGTTGCAATGCCCATGGAATGGAATAGTTTGCAACTATATAAAGAATGAGGTGGAAAAGTTCTTCAAGATATATTGCTAGTCCAAGCGTGGTAGCTCATGCCTATAAATCGCAGCACTTTGGAAGGCCAGGGTGAGCGGATCGCTTGAGCCCAGGGGTTTGAGATCAGCCTGGGCAACACAGCAAAACCCTGTCTCTAAAAAAATAAAAATAAACAACATAAAAAAAGGAAAAACTAGCCAGGCATGGTGGCATGTGCCTGTAGTCCCAGCTACTTGGGAGGCTGAGGTTGGAGGATCGATTGAGCCTGGGAGGTCTAGGCTGCAGTGAGCTGTGATCATGCTACTGCACTCCAGCCTGGGTGACAGAGCAAGACTCTGTCTCAAAAGAAAAAAAAAAGATATATTGTTAAGTGATCTTATTTGTGTAAATTTAAAAAACGATGTATCGGCAGGGCTTGGTGGCTCACACCTGTAATCCAGCAATTTGGGCAGCTGAGGCAGGAGGATCGCTTGAGGACAGGAGTTCGAGACCAGCCTGGGCAACATAGTGAGAACCCCCTCTTCTTAATTAAAACATTTTTTCCTTAAAAAAATGATGTACTTATAAATACTTGCATATGCATACCTTCTGCAAAATTTCCAGAAGGCTGTGCAATAAACCGTTAAAGATGGTAAACTCTTTGAACACCTACAATGAGCTATGTATGTCCTTTATCTCTAATCCTTCCCAAAACTTGCAAGGAATGTATTATTAGCTCCATTTTGCTGGCAAAAGATTGAGCCTCAGGTTGTTTAAGTAACTTGCCTCAGGACATACAGTTAGTAGATGACCCAAAGCTTCCATTTTGTGCCCTGTATTAGGTGAAAGGGAACCGAACTAAAAGTCACAAAAGCTGGTCTTTAGTCCTGGAGCAGCCTCCAACTAGCTAGTAACCTTTCTCAAGTCATTTTGCTCGAGGGGCCTTGGTTTGCTGTATTTTCTACCTGTCCCAGGAGGTAGCTGTGATGGTTGTGTGTGCTTCTTAGCACAGGTGTGAGCCACCACGCCCTGCCAATACATCATTTTTTAAATTTACACAAATAAGATAGTGTGAATGTGGGAGAATGAGGCAAACCAAGACAGAATACATCCAAGAGTTTAACCAGGAGGCCACAGTTGCAAGGGCTTTGGAAGGTCTGATGTGGAATAACTGAAAAGCCAGGCAGACTCCCTGGAGGAAGGGGTAAAGGAGTAATAGCACAAACATATGAAACCTTTTATTTACAGAGCCATGTGCCAAGCCTTTTGTACATGCTTTCCCCAAAGCATCCTACCAGCCCTGGGAGATGGGGTATTTGCTTTTACCTTGGAAACAGCCCCAGAGAGGGTCTGCATCCTGCTCAAGTGCACCGTTAGTGTGATGCATGGAGCTGGAATTCTAGCCCAACCACCAGACTCTGGAGCCCCAGCTCCTTTCCCTGCTCCTCATCCTTGCTGCCCATCTTCGTCCAGCCCATTCACACTCTCTGCATTCCTTCCTTAGGTCAGGAAAAGCCCACCGAAGGGCCAAGAAACACCTGCCTGGGGAGCAACAACATGTACGACATCTTCAACTTGAATGACAAGGCTTTGTGCTTCACCAAGTGCAGGCAGTCGGGCAGCGACTCCTGCAATGTGGAAAACTTGCAGAGGTGAGGGGGCCCCCTGAGCTGGAGGGGGAATCTGAAGCTGCTGGGAGGAGGACTATCAGGAAGGGATGGGGCCATCTTCCCCCATGGCCCCAGAAAATGTTGCTCCCATCTGACTCTTCCACCTTGTTTGACACCACAGTCCCCCTGACCCAACATCCCCATTCTAGCAGTTGGGGTACCTACTGATCTAGGGTATTCAGAGATGAATCCACTCCTATCCTGGCCCTTGGGAGTTGTGGAATGACAGACACAGACCCAAATAATGATGACTCCAGAGTGTATACAGAATGGCAGACAAGGTGCCAGGTTAGCCCAGAGGAGGGAAGTTGGCCAAGGCTTCACAGAGGAGGAAACCTGGAAAGGGCTTTGAGGGTGCACAGGAGTTTTCCAGCTGGATCTAAACAATGGTGAGGATACAGGCAACAGAACTTGAAAGTAATGGGGGATAACTGCAATGCTTTGAACTGTAACAATGTAAACCGCGTGGGGATGGAAGAGACAATGGGCAGATGCGATGGGTGGGAGATAGGACTGGAAATATAAGCAGAGACTAAGGTGTGAAGGGTTGTGTAAGTTATACCAATGGGTGAGGGCGGCAGGGCAATGACATATTTTAAGCGCAGGGAGAGTATAGTCAACTCTGCGTTTTGGAATGATTGCTCAGGCTTCAGGGACCGGTGATGCAGGAAGACATGACCCAGTAGGATGCATCACAGGGGTCTGGGTGGGAGTGAGGGCCAAGTCAGCACCACTAGCAGCAATTGGCATTGCGTGCTTGGAAAGGAGAGATGGATTGGGGAGATGATACGATGTAGACTCCGTAAGACAAGAGACTGGTTAGATGTGGGGGTGAGGGAAATGAAGGGGTTTAGAATACAACATCTTTAGGAGCCATCTCCAAAAATATCTCTGCCTCTCTTTCCTTTTCCCACTCCTAATCAAAGTTGCCCATAACTCTTCTGGGATGCCTAGAAAAGCACGTGGCTTACATTAGTACTTAATAAATATGTGTTAAAGGAATGAGTTAAAGCCCTGCGCTCTCAGGCTTGGTGTTAGGACAGCCATCTCATTGGATCATGTTATTTCAGTGGCCTGAAAAGGCTTCCATTCCCACCTGCAGGTGATCCAGGAGCTTCTTAGCACCCCAGAGCTGTTCAGAGGCTCCTCTTTGTGCTGCCCAGGTATATGCCCAAAAGAATTTAAAACAAGTCTCCAAACAAAAGCTTATACATGGGCCAGGCACGGCGGCTCACACAAGTAATCCTAGCACTTTGGGAGGCCGAGGTGGGCAGATCACTTGAGGTCGGGAGTTTGAGACCAGCCTGGCCAACATGGTGAAACCCTGTCTCTACTGAAAATACAAAAAAAAAAAAAAAAAATTGCCAGGCTTGGTGACAGGCGCCTGTAATCCCAGCTACTCGGGAGGCTGAGGTGGGAGAATTGCTTGAACCCAGGAGGTAAAGGTTGCAGTGACCTGAGATCACTCCACTGCACTCCAGCCTGGGCGACAGAGTGAGACTCCATCTCAAAAAAAAAAAAAAAAAAGCAGCAGCAGCAGCAGCAGCAGCATCTTGTACGTGAATATTTGTAGCAGCACTTTTCACAGTAGCCAAAAAAAAAAGAGGAAAATACCCAAATGTCCCTCAATGGATAACGGCATAATTAAAATATGATCTCTCCATATGATGAAATAGTATTCATCCATAAAAAGAAATAAAATACAGGGGCCAGGCACTGTGGCTCGTGCCCAAAGTCATCCCAGTACTTTGGGAGGCTGAGGCAGGAAGATCACTTGAGGCCAGGAGCTCAAGACCAGCCTGGGCAACAGAGTGAGACACCGACTCTACAAAAAATAATTTAAAAAAAGAAATAGGGCCAGGTGCAGTGGGTTCATGCCTGTAATCCCAGCACTTTGGGAAGCCGAGGCAAGCGGATCGCTTGAGGTCAGGAGTTCGAGACCAGTCTGACCAACATGGTGAAACCCCATGTTTCTCTACTAAAAATACAAAAAAATTAGTTGGGTGTGGTGGCTCACACCTGTAATCCCAGCTCCTCGGGAGGCTGAGGCAGCAGAATCGCTTGAACCCGGGAGGCGGAGGTTGCAGTGAGCTGAGATTGTGCCACTGCACTCCAGCCTGGGTGACACAGTGAGACAGTCTCAAAAATAAAATAAAATGGAATACTGATACATGCTACAACATAGATGAACCCTGAAAACATTATGCTGAGTGAAAGAAGTCAGAAACAAAAGGCTGCATGTTGTATGATTCCATTTGTGTGAGCTATCTGGAACAGGCAAACTCAGAGACAGAAGGCAGATTAGTGATTGCAGGGGCTGGGGGAAGGGGGAAGGGAGAGCTTCATGGGTACGGGTTTCCTTTGGGGTGATGAAATATTCTGGAACTAGGTAGTGTGACGGTTGCACAACATTGTGACTTACTTGATGCCATTGAATTGGACACTTTAAAATGGTTAAAATGGTAAATTTTATGCTATGTGTACTTTACCATATGCACAAAAAAAGACAAACACATAAAATACTCAGAGGGACGCCTAGCTGGAATTCTGCAGGAGCAGCCTGGACGGCCCCCAAGCCACTTTTCTTCCTCCTGTCCTGATCCCAGGGTCTTTACTTTGATAGTTTGGGTCAGCCCTCTCACCCCAGGAGCCTGATGAGTGAGTAACTCAGCCTGCAGGATCCTACCCTCCCCCCATCCCTGGCCCTTTGCAGATACTGGCTAAACTACGAGGCCCATCTGATGAAGGAAGGTTTGACGCAGAAGGTGAACACGCCTTTCCTGAAGGCTTTGGTCCAGAACCTCAGCACCAACACTGCAGAAGACTTCTATTTCTCTCTGGAGCCCTCTCAGGTGAAGAGCTCCCCAGCCCTCTTGGCTGGTTCGGACCCTATTTTTCTTGGACGTATATTTCAAAACTCTAAGAGAGTTATATCCTGTGATATAACTAGGGCTTGTCCCTCCCCCACGTCCCAATTGGCAGAGCTGCGTCTGTAAAATGAGCTCTAAGATTCCTCCAAGCCTAAAATTTCCGTGAGCTCCTCTACTGAGGGAACATATTTGAAATGAGGTAAAGGGTTCGATGGACAGACTCTGGGTTTATGCTGGTCTGGATTCAAATCCCAGCTCTGCCCTTCACCAGCCATTGTGATCATGGGCAAATTACTTTTCTGAGCCTCGGTTTCTCTGTCTATAAAAAGATGAAGGTATTGCCCACTTTCAAGATTAACATGGCCAGGTGCAGTGGTGCACACCCGCAATTTCAGCACTTTGGGAGGCTGAGGTAGGAGGATGGCTTGAGGCCAGGAGTTCTAGACCAGCCTGGGCAACACAGTGAGAGTCCATCTCTACGAAAACAAAACAAAACACAAAACAAACAAAAGATGAATGAGAGGAGCAAATGAGATAATGCACAGGGAATGCTTGGGATAGTGAGGGCTTAGAAAGCCTCCTGCCTTCTGGAAGAAATGGATGTGGTGGTGGAACTTCAGGCAGCAAGGTGAGTTGGTTAGCACTGAGGTACTTTTAGGTTTGTCTGGAGAAAGGGGAATGGAAGAGAGATTCTTTCTCAACCCTTTATTATGTCACTCAAGCAGCTGAGCCCTCTGCAGGGGTTATGTACTGGCCCCAGAAATCACCTACATGTCCTTTCGTTGGGAGTCTGGACTGGGAAGGAGAAAGTTGGGGCCTTCAGCTCCAGCCATAAACCCCCTGTGCCAATGTGCATGGGGTGTTTCTGAGGCAGGCCCTGGGTGGGTCAGGCTGTAGCCCTTAGGGGAACAGGGAGCTCAGAGAATGAATGAAACATGCTTTGCAGCCGGGCACAGTGGCTCACGCCTGTAATACCAGCACTTTGGGAGGCCAAGGCGGACGGATCATCTGAGGTCAGGAGTTCGAAACCAGCCTGGCCAACATGGTGAAACCTTGTCTCTACTAAAAATACAAAATTAGCTGGGCATGGTGGTGCATGCCTGTAATCCCAGCTACTTGGGAGGCTGAGGCAGGAGAATCGCTTGAACCTGGGAGGCGGAGGTTGCACTGAGCTGAGATAGCGCCATTGCACTCCAGCCTGGGCAACAAGAATGAGACTCCATCTCAAAAAAAACAAATGCTTTGCAATGACCACTGAAATGTATTTCAATATTCTGACGATTCTTTGTTTTTTGAAAATGTGTTGTTGTTGTTGGGCGGGGAGGATTTGACATTCAGAGTAAACGTGTGTGTCCTCCCTCTCTGCCCTTGTTCTCTCGCTTCCTGAACTTCCTTCCTGACGGTTTTATTCTTTCCATTTATTCCTGAGTCAGAAGCCAGACACTGTCACAATCAAGCCCTGTGTAAACACTGGGACTGTTAGGGCCCTGGCCAAAAGCACATGCCCTCCAGCCGTCCTCATACTTGCACATTCAGCTTGCCCAGGCATCAGGTGCCCAGACAGGCACAAGCTTAGCTCTACTCTCTGTATTGGGAAAACCGAGGCTCCACAAGGGCTATAACTTGTCTAGGGATGCACAGCCTGTGAGGAGCAGAGCTTGCACTGTGCCCCAGGTGTCCTGCCTCTCAGAGCTGACAGTCCCCAGGTGCTGCCCCCTACCCAGTGTGCCTGCTTCCCCTCCCAGCTGGGGGAGTGGCAGGACTCGTGTTGGGGGGTGGGTACAGATGGGAGCTGCTGTGTCTGTGGTTGTAGGTTCCGAGGCAGGTGATGAAGGACGAGGACAAGCCCCCTGACAGAGTGCGACTTCCCAAGAGCCTTTTTCGATCCCTGCCAGGCAACAGGTCTGTGGTCCGCTTGGCCGTCACCATTCTGGACATTGGTCCAGGGACTCTCTTCAAGGTGAGGACTCAGGGAAGCTCCAAGGTTAAGTGCTAGGTCCTCTGGGGGCTCCATGCCACAGTTTGCTGTCACTGGAGCCTGCCGAGGGATCCAATGGGGACAGAGCAGGCAGTGAGCCTCTTAGTGTTTCTAATGCAGCCCGTGGCCATCTCAGACACCTGTCACTAGAGTCTATGGTCTTCAGACTCACACTGGTCACACGCTCTCAGATGTTTGACCCCCACACATGAGTGCCCTTTGGCTTGTCTATGTGTCCTGTGGGTGCTCGTGTGCTCTGTGTGTCCTCGTGCATGCACAAACATGCACATCCTTTTCTATTCTTGTGCACGCACAAGCCCATGTACTCAGCTGTGATCATATCCACACGAGCAAGTGTACCCATGCCCTTGCACATGTGTATACCAGGTATGTGCACCCAGAGGTGTGCATCCACTCCTGTGCAGACGTGTGTACCCCTGAGGGCTAGTGTGCTCCCCCCACCAGCCTCCTTTCTACCGAATGCACACTCACGCTAAGACCCTCAGGGGCACGCTATCCTCCCCGCTGACTTCCATTTCTTGGCTGATCTTGGCCCCATGCCCCCTCTAGTTAAGAGGGCAGAGGAGCTCTGGAGGCCAGCAATGGAGAGCTGTCAGGTGCACAGCTTTGCAGCCAGTTGACCTGGCCCAGCCCAAGCAGGAGACCACTGGGAGCAGCAGGGAGGAGGCTGCCTGTGACTCCTTGGCTCCCTGGTCCCCTGGTCTCGAACTCTGCCCTCCAAGCAAAGGCCATGGGTTCCTGGAGGCTCCTAGGAACCCCAGCGTTGGTGGGTTGGGATGGCCCCTTCTGCAGCCTGGCCTCCCCGATCTCCCCTTTCACAGGGCCCCCGGCTCGGCCTGGGAGATGGCAGCGGCGTGTTGAACAATCGCCTGGTGGGTTTGAGTGTGGGACAAATGCATGTCACCAAGCTGGCTGAGCCTCTGGAGATCGTCTTCTCTCACCAGCGACCGCCCCCTGTGAGTCCCCTGCTCAGGCCTGGCAGCCACTGCAGGGCAGACAGGCGAGTGGGCACACCTGGGCCCATGGGCCCTGCATGGGACACTACATATCTGTCCCCTACCCTTCCACAGTCGCCCAGGAGGAGCCATTAGGGCCATACACATAATTGGATCCAAGGCCACACACCATAGAGGTGCACATGAGGACCTGGCAAGCCCACCTGCATACACATGGCATTCCACATCCTCCACACCCATGCTCCCCTGACACGCACACATGCATGCAGACAGGCAAACCCTCCTGCCCACAGCCCCACACCACAGTCGCACGCTTCACACGCCGGCCCAGGGCTCATCAAATGGTGCACTTAATTTTTCTGTGTGGCCCATGGGTGTGAACCTTGCTTTCTACCTAATGCACACTCACACTAGGACTCGGGGGAGCACACCGTCCTCCCGCTTCCCCTGCCCTCCCCCAAACTTCCCTTTTCCTCTCTCCTGACTTCCACTCTTCGGTTTCAGAACATGACCCTCACCTGTGTATTCTGGGATGTGACTAAAGGTAGGGCCCGGAGGACCTTCTCTGGGGTAAGACAGGAAGGGAGGGTATGGGCTGCATTGTGGGGCGGGGCTAGCTCCACTGGCTGAGTCCCTCCCCTGCCTTCCTCTCCCCTCCCCTCCCCTCCTCTTTGCTCCCTGCATCCCCTCCCTTCCCCTCCCCTCCCCCCCCTCCTCACCTCCCCTTCCTCCTCCCCTCCCTTCCCTATATTCCCTTCCCCTCTGTTCCCCTCCCCTCCCCTCCCCTCTCCTCTCCTCCCCTCCCTATATTCCCTTCCCCTCTGTTCACCTCCTCTCCCCTCCCTTACCCTCCCCTCCCTATATTCCCTTCCCCTCTGTTCCCCTCCTCTCCCCTCCCTTGCCCTCCCCTCCCTATATTCCCTTTCCCTCTGTTCCCCTGGCCTCCTCTCCAGGGACCACTGGAGACTGGTCTTCTGAGGGCTGCTCCACGGAGGTCAGACCTGAGGGGACCGTGTGCTGCTGTGACCACCTGACCTTTTTCGCCCTGCTCCTGGTAACAGCCCCCTCCACTCTGATCCCAGCCATCCCAGGGGCTTCCAGCTCCTGCCCTGGGGAGGGGGCTGCCTGGTGGTCTTTGGGTATATGGGCCTGGCCTCCAACTGACGTGGTCCCGGTTCTGGGGTCACCCACAGAGACCCACCTTGGACCAGTCCACGGTGCATATCCTCACACGCATCTCCCAGGCGGGCTGTGGGGTCTCCATGATCTTCCTGGCCTTCACCATTATTCTTTATGCCTTTCTGAGGTGAGTGATCCCCACCTCCCCACCATGTCTCCCTCCCGCCCTCAAGGGAGGCAGCAGGGCAGGGTGGGAAGCATTCAGGTTGTGCAGCCTCTGACCGTTGTCCCCTCCACACGTTAGTGTCCTCATCCCAAAATGGGGTTGGGGGTTGAAATGTGTCAGAGCTATTTCAGGAGCAAGTGGCAGAAACTCAACTCAAATTGGCTTAAACATAATAGGGAATGTGTGGTTCACGTAACTGAGAATAGCAAATAGCAAATAGGGTTCATGTAATTGAAAAACCCAAGGTGCATGGACTTCTGGCAGGGTTCGATCCAGGGGGTCAAAAGAGGTCCCCAGAACTTGGTCTCCCTCTACCTCTCACAGCTTTGCTCGCCCCTTGACAGTCACATCGGGCAGCTTTACCACCCTCAGGGGCCCTGGCTGCCTCAGGATTGCATCATAGCTCCTTAGCTGCTTAGGCAGAAATAAAAGAGATCTCCTCTTTCCAAGTATTCTAAGATGAATCCCAGGATTGAGAAGGATTTTATTTTGAGATAAAACAGAAAGATGCAAAAATAGTGCAGAGTCCTGTGGTTCGTTCTCCCAGATTCCCCCTGTGGATACATCATAGACAACTGTAGTTCAATATCAAAACCAGCAGCTGGTGGTACAGTACTGTTGACTAGAATACAGACTTTGCTCAGTTTTCACCATTTTTTATGTACATTCATGTGTGTGTCTGTGTGTGTGTCTGTGTGTGTGTGTGTGTGTGTGTGTGTGCGCGCGTGCGTGCGCGCAGGACATATCATTTGATTGGCCCAGTCCAAAATGAAAATAAAGAAGGCTGGGCGTAGTAGCTCATGCCTGTAATCCCAGCACTTTGGGAGGCCGAGGCAGGTAGATCACCTGAGGTCAGGAGTTCGAGACCAGTCTGGCCAACATGGTGAAAGCCCATCTCTACTAAAAATACAAAACAAAAGTTAGCTGGGCGTGGTGGTGCGCGCCTGTAATCCCAGCTACTCAGGAGGTTGAGGCAGGAGAATCGCTTGAACCAAGGAGGCGGAGGTTGCAGTGAGCCGAGATCACACCATTGCACTCCAGCCTGGACAACAAGTGCAAAACTCCGTCTCAAAAAAAAAAAAAAAAAAAAGAGAGAGAGAGAGAGAAAGAAAATATATGGCCCCTTATTCAAAAAATTTTAAGAATGTCAAGATGGCGACAGTAGAACATTAAGTCCTTCTGCGTATGGGGTCCTACAGAGGTCACATGCTCATGAAACTGGCCCTGTGTGAGCATGTGTGTGCATGTCTGTGTATATCAGCCTATGCAGTTTTATCCCGTGTATACACCAGAGTTGAGTCTTACTGGTCTAACTTGGACCATGTGCCCATGCCTGTCTGGGTCACTGTGGTCAAGAGCTGGAATACACAGATTGGCCGGCCAGGCCATGTGTCTGCTCTTGGGTTTGAGCTAACAAAGAACCCCTGGCCCCTGACTTATGAGAGTGGGGACGGGCGTTCCTTAGGGAAACCTGGGGCTGTGTCCAGAAGAGGTGGGAGTGAGTGCAGGACAGGCAGAAACAGCAGAGAGCACTGCAGCCTGGGCCCAGGCCATGGCTGAGGGACCCACAGGATCTGCCAGCTTGAAGGAGCCTAGGGGAGCTGCCAGTGCTCCAGCTTGTCCTGTCCCCTGCCTCCTGGGGGTCCCTGGGGGTGGCCTAAAGCAGCCCTTGGGTCTCCTGCCCCCGCATCCAGGGCCGTCCCTCCGCCCTCTCCACGTGCCTCTGTGTCAGCATTTGGCCCTAGGCTGCAGCCCCAACTAGGCCCACCCAATCCATCACAGACCAACCCATGAGTGTAAATGGTGCCCCTCACCCCCACCCTCCAAGCCCTGGCCTAGGACATGGTCCCCATCCCCAACAAGCCGAGTGTGACTTGCCAGCTGGCCGCATTGCTGGACCCTGTGAGCGGGGCTTGGAGCGCCAGGAGAAATTACCACCAGCTCCCCAGGGTGGGGCCTGGCATCTCAGGTGAGGTGGACATGATCCCAGATGCTCCTCCAGGAAGCCCCCGGCTCCCCTCCCTCGGCTGAGAGCCCTTTTGGATCTGGTTTGCTAAGAATTCAGAGTGGGGGCTCCAGAGAGAGGGAGGTGAGCCTGGTGAGTCACTGGACAGGGAGTCTGGAGCCCAGGGTTGGAGCCCCTGCCCTGCTCTGTGACCCCATAAGGCTCCCGTCCCTCTCTAAGCCTCACTCTCCTACTGCATTTTCGGCTTCATGCATCCACCCATCTGTCCATCCACTTCACCAATGGATCCCTGGTCCCACCACTGTTAGGCCTGAAGTTCACAGCATGGGAAAGACCCGAGGAGAGAGAGGATGGGGAGTTACACTATGCTGCTGGGAAATGTCCAGTTCAGCTCAGGCTAAGGGGCATTCAGAGATGGCCTCCCCAGAAGGAAACCTCCAAGGGGCATTTGAAAGGCAGAAGAAGAGGAGTCAGGCAAAGAAGGTGGGAGGAGCTGGGGAGCAGGGAAAGGCATTGAGAACAGTGGGAAGAGCTGACCTCTGCGAAATGAGATCAGCCTCACCTTGGTATAGTTTGGGTCATTCCAGGTGTTTTTTTTCTTCTCTTCCCAAGGCTGCCTAATCTCTAGCCAGTGTCTGGCTTTTGACTGATAGGTGTGTTGCTCAGTTACTTTGGGCCCGTGTACGTTTGTGTGTCACCTCCATCCCATAATTTTAAGTACATGCATGATATGCAGCCCATATGCATGAACCTTAAGTAGCTAATTATCATACAGGGTTATGTGAAAGAAACTTTTTCTCTCTAATGTAAATGCCCATCTCTGAAGAGCTGCCCCTTACTGGTTTGGTCCGGATCTTGCCGGCCACGGGGTCCCTTTTTTATGTCACTTTTGTCTTGCCTGCTGAACCTCTGCTTTTCATCTCACTTCTTGCTCACCCGTCCCATTCACCGTGCTTCTATTCTCTGCTTTTACTTATTCTGCCCTTTATCCAACTTTTAATTCCCTTTGCTATTCTCCTGCCTCATTTTCTGGCCTCATTTTCCCTATTATCCTGCCTCACATTGATCAAGGGATGAGGCTGGCAGGATCCGGAACCCACAGGGCCCCGTGGGCCATGAGAGGCTCCTGGACTTGAACCTCAGGACACTCCCACTCTGGCTGCCGGCAGGGATGGAAGCTGGATGAGCAGGCAGGAGCTGGCAGTGGGGGTGGAGAGCCATAGGCTATTGGGGTGGACAGGCTTGGGTGCCTCATGGGAGCTCCCCATGGGAGCTGTGGCCCCTTGGGGCCTCTTATTTCTCACCCCAGGCTTTCCCGGGAGAGGTTCAAGTCAGAAGATGCCCCAAAGATCCACGTGGCCCTGGGTGGCAGCCTGTTCCTCCTGAATCTGGCCTTCTTGGTCAATGTGGGGAGTGGCTCAAAGGGGTCTGATGCTGCCTGCTGGGCCCGGGGGGCTGTCTTCCACTACTTCCTGCTCTGTGCCTTCACCTGGATGGGCCTTGAAGCCTTCCACCTCTACCTGCTCGCTGTCAGGGTCTTCAACACCTACTTCGGGCACTACTTCCTGAAGCTGAGCCTGGTGGGCTGGGGTAGGTGCTGCCTGGATGGACAGAATAAACGGCCGGCCCTGAGGGTGCAGAGGGAAATAGCCTTGGGGAGAGAGAGGAGGGGTTCCCAGAGCTGGAGGGATGGCCATCTGGAGGGGACGTGGAGGAGGAAGTGCCAGTAAGCCCCAGTGGTGTCATGCCATTTCCCCTTGTGCCCAGGCCTGCCCGCCCTGATGGTCATCGGCACTGGGAGTGCCAACAGCTACGGCCTCTACACCATCCGTGATAGGGAGAACCGCACCTCTCTGGAGCTGTGAGTGGCGGCTGTGGGAGCAGGGGTGATGCCAGCTCCCCGGCTACACATATTGGGGCTGGAGAGAGGTGGGGAGAGGAGGGATTTCTAGGAAAATCTAGACCAAATATGTCAAGACCAGAAGAATCCTCAGATCCAGCTAGCTCATGGCACAGAGAAGTAAACTGAAGCCTAGAGAGAGAGAGGGGAAGTGAAATGAGAGAGGGGGCCTGAGAAAGGAGAGGGAGAACTGGACCAGGAGGCAGGATGCCTTACTTGAGCCTGGGCCAACACGAGCCCACATGGCACCTTGAGGCAAAGTAAAGAAGGTCACCCCGTCCGCATGCGGGGTGCGCAGCCTGGAGAGTGGAGGGTGTGTTGGATTTCAGCCCCCACCTGCTGCCCAGCCAGGTGTCCTTGTTCAGGCCACCACCTGCCCAGTGATTCACAGTAGCCCTGGGTCTAGTCTGGGCTCTGCCCTGCCTGCTATGTGTGTGATCTTGGCAGGCCCGATCTCTCCCAGGGCCTCAGTCTCCTCATCTGCACCATGGGGGAACTGATCAACATGCTCTTTGAGGCCCTTTGCCCCTGCAGTGCAGAGGGCAGTGGAGCTGAGTTCAGTTTCTAGACTCACACCTTGGGATCCATGGGGCACCCACCACTGGGCCCATGGCTCTGTGCTAAGAGGAGCTGGTGAGGCCTTGGACCTGTCCCCAGGCCTCAAAAGCAGGGGCCCCAGGAGCTGGAGGGGTCACAAAGGTGCAGGCAGTGGGCCAGGTGGGGACTGCAGCGGACTGGCAGTCACAAGCCCATCTAATTAGCGGTCAGTTACTATCCTTCAGGAGGGCATCCACAGAGCTGCCAGGTGTATGATTTTATAGGAGAAGCAGAAATCTAGGTGTTTATACCAAAGCTTCTGATTTTAAAGGCGGCCACTAATTCCGTTTTTTTCACAATGTAATATGGGGCAAATGAAACATGTCTTTGAGGTCACTTTGGCATTAAAGAGACACCAGACTGGAGCCAGGTGACGGCCCCTCCCACAGCGGGAGAGCCAGGGATTGATGGGTGGAAATGGGAGAGGCACCTTCACAGACAGAAAAGCTCAGCCAGGGGACTTCCTGGGTTTGCTGGCCAGAGGTACCACTCCCAGTCCCACCACAGCTGCCCCCTCCTCCAGATGCTGGTTCCGTGAAGGGACAACCATGTACGCCCTCTATATCACCGTCCACGGCTACTTCCTCATCACCTTCCTCTTTGGCATGGTGGTCCTGGCCCTGGTGGTCTGGAAGATCTTCACCCTGTCCCGTGCTACAGCGGTCAAGGAGCGGGGGAAGAACCGGAAGAAGGTGCTCACCCTGCTGGGCCTCTCGAGCCTGGTGGGTGTGACATGGGGGTTGGCCATCTTCACCCCGTTGGGCCTCTCCACCGTCTACATCTTTGCACTTTTCAACTCCTTGCAAGGTGAGGCCCCTGCACCAGGGAGGTGATGGGCTGTGTTGTCTGTCCCAGGAGGTATTGGGAGGTGGGGAAGAGGGTGGTTTGCAAGACACAGGACTCTGTTCAGGCTAGCTGAAGTCAAGGATGTTGATTTCAAATACTCAGAGCAAGGATCCAGGGCAGCAAAGTTTGGCTGCTGTATTAGTCCGTTTGTGTTACTAGAATACAAAGGAATACTCGAGACTGGGTAATTTATAAAGAAAATGGGGTTAATTGGCTCATGGTTCTGCAGGCTTTAGACAAAGCACAACACCAGTATCTGCTCCTGGTGAGGCCTCAGGAAGCTTCCAATCATGGTGGAAGATAAAGGGGAGCCAGCGTATCACATGGCGAGAGTGGGAGCAAGGGAGTGGGGAGGCACCATGCCGTTTTAAACAGCGAGATCTCGCATGAACTCCAAGTGAGCACTCACTCATCACCAAGGGGATAGTGCTAAGCCATGCATGAGGATCCGCTCCAAGGATCCAATCTCCTCCCCTCAGGCCCCACCTCCAACATTGGGAATCACATTTGGACATGAGATTTGGAAGCAACAAACATCCCAGACATATCAGCTGCCTTCATGGGAGCTGCTACCAGAATCAGAAAAAGCCACCCAAACCAAAGCAGATACGTTCTCTATCTTTTTCCTGGAGCTATGGAGTCTCTCACCTAGTGTCTGTGGAAACTCCTTCATTCTCTCTCCACTTACCCTTTACTACCCATGGCCCCAAATTGTTACCCAACATGGCTGCCGTAACCCTACCTGACCTTGCAAGTTGGGTGTCCATCGTCCATCTCTGGTCCAATCAGCTGCGACCAGAAGGGCAGAATCATGTGATATGATGTCCACATGACATGGATGGGATCTCCAGGGATCTATGGAGGTAGGAAGGAAATGCTTGCTGTATTTGTTACTGGCCCCCGCAGGGCCCTTCCTCTGAGATCCCAGCAAAGGGGTAAGAGCAGTCCATGTGCTATGGTTTATATGTGTTCTCTTTGCTCCTTACATCCACAGCCCAGAGAGGCATCACAGTCTGACTGTGAGAGAAACAGCCAAGACAGGAGTGACGAGACTCAACCTGTTCAGGGAAGTCACTAGAAACCCAGGCGTCCTAGATGCAGCGGGTATAAGCCCCCAAGACCAGGACTGGCTCCCAGCGCCCCATGAGAGATGTGTGGCTTAGTGGCTAGGGCCAGGCAGCCCTGGGTCCAAATCCTAGCCCCATCCCTGACCCAGCAAGTCACTCAGCTCCTTCCGTCCTCATTCATCGCGAAATTGGGATAATCCCGTACTTATCTCACCAGCTTTTTTTTTTTTTTAATTGAGATGGAGTCTTGCTCTGTCACCCAGGCTGGAGTGCAGTGGCACGATCTCAGCTCACTGCGACCTCCACCTCCTGGGTTCAAGTAATTCTTCTGGTTTCAGCCTCCTGAGTAGCTGGAACTACAGGCACATGCCACCATGCCCAGCTAATTTTTGAATTTTTAGTAGAAATGGGGTTTCACCATACTGGTCAGGCTGGTCTCAAACTCCTGACCTCAGATGATCTACCTGCCTCAGCCTCCGAAAGTGCTGGGATTACAGGCGTGAGCCACTGTGCCTGGCCTGCCAGATTTCACAATGAACAATGACAATGCATATGTGGGAACTACTAGGTCTTCAATATGTGGGAACTATATTAATAATCATAGAAATTATGACTGTAAGGCCATCTGAGGCTGTCTCCAGGTGGAGAATCATGAGTCCATGCCTGGAGAATCCCAGGGGTTGATGGTTGGGGAGAAATGAACTTTGAAACTATAGCTGACATCGTTATTCTTTCAGAGGTTACCTTAATATGTAAGCCTGCACACTTCACTCTACTAAGTTTCCACTGGGTCTGAGTTATTCTGTATTTCTCTCTTCCTCTCCAATACAACAGAGCCCTTGGTATACTTGAATTGCCCATTGAACTCTTCTCAATATTTGTCTTGCATATAGAGGTTTAGTTACAGATTTCCTTGAAACATAGAGTTTTTCTAAGTCATGTTCTGTACTTACTATAATTTCTTTCACCCCACACTTTCCCTTTTCCTCTTGCTGGAGTGCCTCCCATAATAATCCTTTATAGAGGGAGTGATGGTTGTTTTGTATGTCTGAAAATTCCTCTATTTTGCTCTTTCTTTTCTGTAATAGGCATAGGTAGATATTTTATTTGAAGGTCTCTGTTTTTCATTTCCAAGATTTCGATTTGGTTCTTTTTTATTTCATTTTTGAAATGGTTGTGAAATGGTTGCATTTTTGCCTTTCCCAGCAGTTCTTGAGTGGTTACGGTGGGTCTCCTCCCTCTCAGCAGCCACCAGCCCAGGCTGCCCCACTCTCTGCCCACCCCTTTCCAGGCTCACCGAGGCCTCTCCTTCCTAACAGGTGTCTTCATCTGCTGCTGGTTCACCATCCTTTACCTCCCAAGTCAGAGCACCACAGTCTCCTCCTCTACTGCAAGATTGGACCAGGCCCACTCCGCATCTCAAGAATAGGAAGGCACGGCCCTGCAATATGGACTCAGCTCTGGCTCTCTGTGTGACCTTGGGCAGCTCCGTGCCTCTCTCTGTACTCCCTCAGTTTCCTTCTCTGTACAATGTGGCTGGGGAGGGAGAGGATGGGACCAGGTTGGACCACGTGGCATCAGAGGTCCCATCCAGATCCAACTATAGGTCCAAGAGTCCACGTAAGCAGGTTTGCAAGGCTCTAAAGTTCCTATAGTCCTGAGACCCCCTGCCAGCAAAGAGTGACAGTCACCTCCATGCCCTGCCCTCATTGCAAAGCCCTCACTCACCTTCTGGTCTCAGCAAGGGAGGAGAGTCTGTTGCTGGCATAGCCCTGGAAGGAGCCCCCAGCCTCTCCCCTCCTCCTCCTTGTCACTGGCCTCCCACAACTCCCCTTCTGGCTGCCTGTAACCTTGAGGGGCATTCAGGAGGCCAGCGTTCCCTCAGGCACTGGGGGTTTGTTTTGGGGGGTGGGAGTTGATCCTCCCACCCAGTCTGCCCCTGGTCTCTGCCCATCCAATCAGAGCCCACCCTCCTGGAAGAGACCCCCGTGTTCAGAGTGCTGGCAGCCCTGCACGTGTCCAGGGACACTGCATTTCAAAGAACCACTGAGTGGGTGAGCTACCTTGGGCAAACCCCCCACTCCTGACTCTGACTGCCACGTGGGTGGCCCGACCTCTGACCTGCTGTCATCGTAGAGGTAGAAAGCAAACAATCTGGGGCTCAGCACACCTGGGGGTGCTCCCACTCATTCAGTGTGTGGGGCCCCTGAGCAGAGGCTGGGCATTGCCACTAGGACCTGAGCTCCTAGAGAACAAGGACCTGGGTGGCCTCGCTTACTGTTCCAGCCCAGGCCAAGCACAGGGTCTGGCTCGTGGCAAACCTTGAATAAATATTTGTTGGCTGAATGAGTGGATGTATGAGTTTGGCACCAGCCTGGCAGATCCCTGAGCCAAGGGGGGTGTCTCAGGCCAGACCTAGGTTGGGCAGGGTACTTCCAGCAGCTGGGGCTCCATGTCACAATCGCATGCAGGTTTCTCAGTAGGAAACAAAAAGAGGCAGAGATAGCAGAGATGGGGTAGAGATACAGAGATGGAGAGAAGGAGAGAGAGACTTAACAGACAGGCTGACACAAAGAGGGAGAACGGTGGCGGAGAGACAGATGCAGAGAGATGGCAGCCCCACGCCGGCTCCAGCGACCCCCCTCCTCGGGGGGAGCAGTGAGTGTTGACATCATTCCCCTCCCTGGAGCCTCACCGCACAAGTCCATCCCTCACTCTACTCACAACTTACCAACCATTCTCCCTACCCGGCCCCCGACCCTCTCCAGGGAGCTCTGTGGACTGTCAAGCCCTGTCTGCAGGTGAGAAGTTACTGTCACTGTTAGGCCTCCCCCAACAGCCCTGGAAGCTGCGGGCTGCAGCCCACCTCCCCGTCCGGATGCTGGGTGCTGACGTTGACTGCAAATGGATGCGCTTCGCTTCCCCTCCCAGCCCACAAGCAGTTGAAAGACAGGAAGGTGGGCCCTCACTTTATGCAAGGCGCTGTGTTCCTGGAAGGGAAATTCTGGGGCGTGGACATTGCATCATTTGAGCCACAGGAGCAGTTCTGGTGGACAAACTTGGTGTGTTTTGGGGCTTATCTTCACAGACATCTGTTTCTCACACTGAAGGTCTCAACTTCCTTATCTCAAAGCCTCAGGGATGGTAACCTGAGAAACAGCTGTTCCACCATCTGATAGGTCTGGGCTTAAATCCTGGCTCGGCTACTTAGGAGCTGTGTGATCCTGGGCATTTTACTTCACCTCTCTGAGCCTCAGTTTCCCCATCCATAAAATGGGGATTATAAAGTCCTCACCTCATCCTGACAGCATTAAATGAAGTGACAGAAATAAAGTGCCCAGCACTGACTCCGCAGGAGTTAGTCAGCTCCCCCACCCTGCCTTGATTTAAAGAAAGACCAGCCAAGGGTAATGGCATGAGGAAATGGAGGTCCAGACAGGCCCAGCCACCTGCCCAACTAAGGTCACTCCATGGGCTGGGTTGAAGCTAGGGCCAGGCCTCCCCGGGTTGCCCTCATCCCAGAGTGGTCCCTGAGTTTAAGGATTATCACCTGGTCCTTGACTGGGCTTGGTGGCTCACACCTGTAGTCATAGCACTTTGGGAGGCCAAGGCAAGAGGATTGCTTGAGCCCAGGGGTTCGAGACCAGCCTGGGCAACATGGTGAAACCCCGTCTCTACTAAAATACAAAAAAAATTAGCTGGACATGGTGGCGTGCGCCTGCAGTCCCAGCTACTCAGGAGGCTGAGTCAGGAGAATTGCTTGAACCTGGGAGGTGGAGGTTGCAGTGAGCTGAGATTGTGCCACTGTACTCCAGCCTGGGCAACAGAGCAAGACTCTGTCTCTTAAAAAAAAAAAATATATCTAGGCATGGTAGCTACTTGGAAGAAGAAGCAGGAAGACCACTCGAGCCCAGCAGTTCAAGACTGCAGTGAGCTATGATGACGTAACTGCACTCCAGCCTGGATGACAAATCAAGACCATGTTTTTAAAAAAAAAAAGGAGGAGAAGAAGGAAGAGAAGGAAGGAGGAGAAGGAAGAGGAGGGAGAAGGAGGAGGAGGAGGAAGAAGGAGGGAGAAGGAGGAGGAGGAAGAAGGAGGGAGAAGGAGGAGGAGGAGGAAGAAGGAGGGAGAAGGAGGGAGAAGGAGGAGGAGGAAGCAGAAAAAAGAAGAAGAATAAGAATTATCATCTGGTCCCAGCCCCCAGTCTCAAGGAAAATCCTGGGTTGCAGAGTTTCCCAAACTGCTTAGTGGGATGCTTAGTGCTTGTTGTGGGACCAACAAGACCGCAAGTCCTGGATGGCTGGGCCTCCTGGCTCAGAAGGAGAGGGCAGATAAGAAGGTGTGGCTAGCATTGGGGGTGCACTGCTTTTCTGGCTTGCTCTCCATCCTGGGGCTAGGCAGGGGCTGAGGGGCTGGAGTTCCTCATCACCTGCGGTTCCTGCAAAAGCAGCTCCAAGTGCCATGTTGAGCACCCATAAGGCCAAGGGGGCTATGGTGAAAATACACCCCAAAGCCCAGAGCAGATGGATGGAGTTCCTCCGTCATTGCACAGCAGCAATAGCAACCTAGGAGGTGGGCCATCATCACAGGTGGGAGCACAGACCCTGATCTCCGTTCACCAGTTTCAAATTCTGTCTTTGCAACTTGTCTTGGGCAAATTCTTCAACTACTGAGCCTGTAAAGCAGAAACAGCAGTAGCTGCCCCACAGGGTTAATGAAGGAAATGAATAAATGAGACAGTGCCTGCAAGGACTGCCCACTGCCTGGCCTGCCTGGCCCAGAATGAATGTGACAAAGCCAGAGCTTTGCCTTGGCCATCATCTCATCAGGTCCTGGGTACAGAGAGGGTCCCTTCTGCCATGGCTCCTGCCTGGTTCTCTCTTCTGCCCAAATCTCTTCATTCCTTGTATTTTTTCATTACAACATAACAAATACACAGGAAAAAAGAAGACTTATTTGCTCCATGCTGTCAGATAGGCAACACTAAAAGATATAAATCCTTCATCAGTTAATGAATTCAATGAAATTACAGTAAAGATTTTGGGGCGGGCACGGTGGCTCACATCTCTAATTTCAGCACTTTGGGAGGCTGAAGCAGGAGGATTGCTTGAGCCCAGGAGTTCCAGAACAGCCTGTGCAACATAGCAAGACCCTGTCTCTACAATAAAATAAAATAAGGGAAAAAAATAAATATTCTAATTTATTTTTTTTTGCTTCTCCAGAAACTTTTAAAATTGATATGGAGGCATATAGACCTCAAATAGCTAAGTCAATCTTAATGAAAGAGGGCATACAGGAGGTGGAGGTTGCAGTGAGTCGAGATCATGCCTGTGCACTCTAGCCTGGGCGACAGAGCTAGACCCTGTCTCAGAAAGAAAAAACAGAAAGAGGGGCATAGAAGGAAGACTTGACCTCTAGACATAAAGATATTACAAGGCCAGTTTGGTAAATGCAACGTGGTGTCTGTGCAGGGATAGGAAAGAAGATCAGTGGAACAGCACAGAGTGCTCAGAGGCAGACCCATGGACACCTGGGGGATTTAATACGTGACAAAGGTGGCATCATTATTTTCAGAGGAGGAAATACCTAAAACTAACACATTAGTTCATGAAGACACATTTAAAATCATTAGTCATCAGAGAGCTGCAGACTGAAATGACAATGAGACCTCATTGTATCCTTATTAAACTGATGAACTAGAAAGCTAGATGGTACCAATGGGCAGGGACGATATGGGAGCCAGGGAGAGTCTAGACTGCTTCAGCTGCCTGGAGAAAAACACAGTGCTTCTGCTGAGCCAGCAATCTTGCTACTGGTTGTTTATCTTGAAGAAACATTCTTCCAGATCTAGACCCCTCTAGACCTGTGTAGCATTGTCTGTGATGGAAGGGAGCTGGTAGCAAATCTGAGTGGTCTGTCCAGCCCACCCAATGTCTGCTGGGGAGTTCCCTCAAGACTGCCCCAAACCGTCAAGAGGTAGGGCCAGTTGGAATTCCAAAGAAATAAACACTAAGCGCCGGGGTGATCCGTATCCATCCAAAGCATTTATTAGGGAAACGTACATAGGGAAGGCTGTAGTGTTCTCATGACAGACAGCAAGAAGGGAGATGAGTCTGTTCATAACGAGGAGGTGGGTTTATGGAGTTTATATGAGTGTTTAAGGGATTCGGTTCAGGGCTGGGGCACGTTTAGCATTTGTTTGATCTTTCCATGTTTCCAGCAACAACCTAAACAACTATCAGTGCCTGGGGACATTGAAAGCTCCCTCTAGAACACCTGGACACCGAGTGCCCGTCACTGGAAGGACGAAGAGGTAATAAGTGTGGATCCACACAATAACGTGGAGAGATCTTAAAAACACAGCCCTTCATGAAAATATAAGAACCAGAAGGATATATTTGTTCAGTCTCATATTAAACATATATTAAAAACACCAGCATGCCAAACAATACTCATTTTGGAAAAAAAAAATACACATCAGAATGGTTACTTTATAGAGGTGGGAAATGAAAGTGGGTATGAAGAGAAAAAGGAATGAATAAATATGTAAAAGGAATGAAGTGTTGCATAGGGTTGAAAAAGGACAATGAAGCCTATGCTGCATCCCACTAGCATAACGCATCACCTGTTTTCCTTTCTCCTCCCTCCTCCCTTCCTGCCTTCATCCCAGCCAGTTCCCCACAGAGGTAATTACGAGTTGCTTAGCACCAAGTCTGAAATACTACACACACTGTCTCGTGAGCTCTCCACAGTGCAATTGATCCTTTAGCACCAAGTCTGAAATACTACACACACTGTCTCGTGAGCTCTCCACAGTGCAATTGATCCTTTACAGCTTATTTTTATGGCTGCATGATATTCCAGCTGGGAGGGGGAACATCATTCTCTATTCATGAGAATTGAGGCAATTCCTAAGTTTCTAGCAGTAACACTAACTGTGCAAACTTGTCAGCACAGTGACAGTCTGGATTCCCTCCTGGCAGCCCTATCCCCTGACCAAAAAAGGCCCATGCACCCCTCCCTCCAAAAATAAAACAGTGAAGATTATATTTTAGGACTGTATTGGTAAAAACACAGATATAATTCAGGGCAGATTCACACTTATATAGTCATTATTATTCTCATTTTTTTCTTCTGAATTTAAAAGAAATTAAACATTTTCATGAGCCACTAGCCTAATGGATAGGTTTTCCCCGTACTTCGAGGTAATGTTCTACATCACAGCTCCGGCCTGGACTAGAACCCAGGACTCAGTCAAGGCAGCCTGGTTCTGTCCACCGCAGCTGGCAGCTACTCCAGGCCCCACACTGGTTTCTGTCTGTCTCGATCAAGGCCACATTCGGCATGCCGTGGGGCAGGGGCTGTGCTGTGCTGGTAAATGTTTAACAACTGGCTGGCTCAGAGGAAAAGCCCTGGTCTTGGCGTTTGCTAATTTTTGTGGTGTAAATAACCCCATGGCCAATTTTTTTTTTTTTTTTTTTTAGAGAGGTTCTCACTATATATTGCCCAGGCTGGTTTTGAACTCATGGGCTCAAAGGATTCTCCCGCCCTGGCTTCCCAAAGTGCTGGGATTACAAGTGTGAGCCACCGTGCCCAGCCCTCTTAATTTTTAATAATGGCTGTGTTTCACAAAAATTTTGGAAAGTTTAACAACTATCAAGTTGATGCCCCACTATACCAGTGCACCGCTGGCAGAAGGACCCATGAAACCTGGGAAGACTACATTTCCCAGAAGCCTCCTCTCCCAGGACCGGCGTTCAGCTTCCCAGGTTGTTACCATGGAGATGGCTAACAGCTAGAGCAGGCTGTCCTCGGAGGGGTGAGGAGGGAGCAAGGGACTTGGGGTGGCTGGACCCTGTCTGGCAGGGAAAGGGTGAGGCTGGTGGCCCCCTTCTGCCTGGGGGCCTCCAGCCCTGATCTTTCTGGGGAAGTTGTTGGTGGGGTGTGTGTGCGTGTTTATGTGTGTTGGGAGGAGGAAGTTGCTGGTGGAGAGGGGGTGCAGGGAAGGGCCGGTGGGTTGGGGCAGAATCTAAGGAACCTTGAGATAAGACTGCCTTCCCCACACTGGGCTATAGCTGAAGAGGCCACCTGTGTAGGGAATAAAGTGCTGTGGGTTCTTCTCCCCAGCTCTGCCTCTGATGGTGTTCTGGGACTGACACGTCGGCTTCCTCTTCAGCCTACTTCTTTCCTTGCCCACCACTCCCCCACCCCCACCATCCCTTCTAGCACTTCCCCATCTCATATCTCTTCCAGCCTGAGACACACAGGTTTCACAACCAGAAATACAGGGGTTCAAATCCCAGACCTGCTACTTACTGGCTGTACCTTAAGCAGTGCACTTAACTTCTCTGGGCCCCAATCTTCTCATCTGCAAAGTGGGTGTCCTCAGTGTCTGCCTCATAGAGTCAGTAGAGGATAAGTGAGATGATCTCCGTACAACCCTCAGCACAGGTCTGACACACAGTAGGCATTCAGCAAACTGTAAATGCCTTGTAATGGTGATGACTGCCCTTCCTGGGCTCATTGTCTCTGGGACCAAGAGGCCAACAAATGGATCTGATCACTGAGAAGTGCTGCTTGGCTAGAGGTTCTCCCCTGAGGATCTGGGGTCCTGAATGGTGTTGGGCTACCTAGGCCTTGGGTGGCTTCCAGCCAGATGAGCATTCGTCCCCTCCTGAGTCCCAGAGCACAGAATGTCAGAATTGGACAGAAAATATCTGCCCTCCCTTCCTACTATAAAGAGAAACTAAGGCACAGAAAGGCGCAGACAGTGACCCAAGGGTCCAGCAGGAGCTACTGGCAAAGCCAGGGTTTCCCCAACCAGGCTCAGTCGTGGCTGGTGGCCAGGGACTCACCTCCCTAGGAGGCCGAGGTGGCCCATGTGGGTGTGGAGTTGGAAATTGGGGCCAGCCTTTATCTGCTGCTCCCTTCTGCCCTCTTGCTCCTGGCTTCACCCAGGGAAGTGGGGGATGATTAGAAAATCAAGGGGATTCTGCTTTTTTTCCTTACTACTCGCCCCCTTTGTCCTGTGGGTTTCGTTTGTTTTCCTCATCTCTGGACCCCCATTTGCCGTAAGGAAAACAGATGTTCGAGGACAGAAATGGAAAGACCCCAGCTGGGAGGCTGCAGATAGTGCATCAGCTGGGATGGCGTTGGGTGGTGTGGAACAGGGACCCCCATAGAAGCTGAGGTTTCTTATATAAGGAAAGGCTAGAGGTGGCACTCCAGGCCTCTGTGGCACTGCTGGGGACCCCAGCTCCCCCATCTCTCGGCCCTGCCGTCCATAGCAGGCAGCTTTAGCCCTCATGTGTGGCCACCTCATGGTCTCGCCTTGGCTGCCCCACCTCCCACTTTATCTCCACATTCCAGGTGGGAGGAGGAGAAGGGCAGAGGGCTCCCCAATCACTTCTGCCCACATCTCATTGGCCAGAACCGGGTCACATCGCAGGGCCACCTCTAGCTGCAAGAGAATCTGGGAAGCTGAGCAATTCAAACCAGGCACACTGCTGCCCCCCACACAACTGGGGTTCTGCCGTATAGAAGAGGAGACTGGATCTTTGGGTAGGTGACTAGCAGTCCCCGCTCAGTGTGGCTCTGCTCTGTGACCACAGGACATATGGTGAGCACATGTGGCGTCTCTGCGTGGATCACAGAATGAAGCCTGTTCTCTGGGCCAACACAGGCCTTGGCCAAGAGAGAGTAGGCTGTGTTACCCCCACCCCCCACTCCCTGTTTGTATGCCCTGGTGCAGGCACCTTCACTCTCTGTGCCTCGGTTCCCAGTTTGATCAGGTGAGATATCATTCACCTGCCATCCTCATTTTTGGGTGGGTTGTAGATCATATCACCTTACCGTTAGGATTTTCTTTAAACCAATCTATTTATTTATTATTTATTTGAGACAGAGTCTCACTCTGTCACCCAGGCTAGAGTGCAGTGGTGCGATCTCAACTTACTGCAACCTCTGCCTCCCAGGTTCAAGTGATTCTCCTGCCTCAGACTCCTGAGTAGCTGGGATTACAGGCGTGTGCCACCACGCCTGGCTAATTTTTGTATTTTTAGTAGAGACGGGGTTTCGCCATATTGGCCAGGCTGGTCTCGAACTTCTGACCTCAAGTGATCCACCTGCCTCGGCCTCCCAAAGTGCTGGGATCACAGGCATGAGCCACCGCACCCAGCCAATTCATTTATTTAAATAAGAAACTTGACAATACTATAGTAATCCCCACAGCATTCACAGTACTTGTCATTGATAACTGTCAGCTGGCACAATGGCTCATGCCTGTAATCCCAGCACTTTGGGAGGCCAAAGCAGGAAGATCGCTTGAGGCCAGGAGTTTGAGCCTGGGCAACATAGCCAGACCCTGTCTCTACCAAAAAAAAAAAATAGCCAGGTGTGGTGGTGTGCACCTGTGGTCTCAGCTACTGGGGAGGCTGAGGTGGGAGGATTGCTTGAGCCTGGGAGTTTGAAGCTGCGGTGAGCCATGATCGTGCTGCTGCACTCCAAGCCTGAGTGACAGAGCAAGACCCTGTCTCAAAAAAATAAAAAATTTAAAAAAAAAGATAACTGTCAAATATACTAAAAGCAAATCGACACGTGCCTTTCCCTGTCCTGTCCTGAGGATGGCTTCCAACCGGAGGCCTGCTTTGTCTTTGTTGTAAAGGAATATTTGCCAGGATTAGAAAGGTGTTACAGATGGGGTAGCACCAAACAGAGACTTTCTCCATGTTTGAAAGGAAGTCAAAGAGGGAATCACTCCCTATGTGTTCGACACCTCCTCAAAACCATCTCCCAGGCCTCCCGGGGATGCCCAGATGGTGTTGGTGGCTCCTGCCTGGGCTGACAGTCGGCCATGGAGTATACTTACCCTTCCCCACAGAGACATTCCATCTCCAGACACCCAGAGACGCTCCAGAATGGAGGTCCTGAGGGAGAAGGTGGAGGAGGAGGAGGAGGCCGAGCGGGAGGAGGCGGCCGAGTGGGCTGAATGGGCGAGGATGGAGAAAATGATGAGGCCAGTTGAGGTGCGGAAGGAGGAAATCACCTTAAAGCAGGAGACGCTCAGAGACCTGGAGAAGAAGCTGTCAGAGATCCAGATCACTGTCTCAGCGGAGCTCCCGTGAGTGTGGCAGGGTGGGGGCCCTGGCAAGGGTAGACCGGGGCTGGGCACAGGGAGACCCAGGCAGAGTGCTGGTGCCTGGTCTGGTAGGGTGACCAGGAGATAGAGGGAAGCAGTTATGAGTGAAGGCTTTCTGCTTTCAAATGGCCTGGGCCGAGTGTCCATGCTCTCCCAACTAGCTGTGTGACCTTGGGCAAGTCACTCAGCCTCTCGGTGCCTCAGTGCCTTTATCTGTCTAAAAGTGCAGGTGCTGGCCAGGCGCTGTGTCTCACATCTGTAGTCCCAGCACTTTAGAAGGAAAAGGTGGGAGGATCGCTTGAGGCCAGGAGTTCGAGACCAGCCCGGGCAACATAGCAAGACCCCCCCACCCATGTCTACAAAAAATACAAAAATTAGCCAGGTGTGGTGGTGCCTATAGTCCCAGCTACTTGGGAGGCTGAGGTGGGAGGGTCACTTAAGCCCAGGAGTTCAAGGCTGCAGTGAGCTATGATTGTGCTATCACACTCCAGCCTGGGCAACAGAGCAAGACCTGTCTCTTAAATATATATATGAAAATGTGCAGATGTTAATGATACCTGCCTTCTCAGTAGCCGTGAGGATTAAATGAGGAAGGGGTAGAGCCAATGGCAACTCAGTGGAACCAGGGCTCCTGTGTGCCAGGCATGGCTTCCCTAATGCCATCCCTGTTGTGGCACAGGGCCTTTACCAAGGACACTATTGACATCTCCAAGCTGCCCATTTCCTACAAAACCAACACACCCAAGGAGGAACACCTGCTGCAGGTGGCAGACAACTTCTCCCGCCAGTACAGCCATCTGTGCCCGGACCGCGTGCCCCTCTTCCTGCACCCCCTGAACGAGTGTGAAGTGCCCGTAAGGCTGGCATGTTGAGGGCAGGGCTGGGGAGCCTGGGGCTGGAGAGCAGAGGGCACAGGGAAGTGGGGCAGGTTCTCCAAGGTCACTGGGCCAAATCACGGACCTCCTGTGGGCCAGAGCGCTTCTAGTCTGGGGGCAACATAAAGTCGAACGCCAGCAGGCCTCAGCAGGCTCAGTGCAGATTACCCTGGAGGGCGGTGGTGGTCTGGAGACCCCATGCCCCCGCCTAAAGAGGCAGCTGCTGATTGCTGCGGGGAAACTGCAGGCCTGGGGTTACCTGATCAAGAGGAGACTCGGGATTTGTGTGGGAGTCTCTGGTTTTTAAATGCTGGCAGCTGACATAAATGCTAAACATTGCCACGTGGGCCAAATAAAGCGGGTCTGTGGGTCCCTGTCAGCTCGTGGGCAGCTGTTTCCCACCCCCTGGATGAATCCCATGTCATTCCATCTACAGATGGAGAAACTGAGGCCCAGAAAGGCTCAGAGACATGCTCTGGGTCACAGGGCTGGAAGGAAAAAGCCAGAGCTTAGGTTCTTATGCCTGTCCTGGTCCAATTTGTCTTATTTCTCTGTCCTTCCCTGGACAGGCTGACCTCTGAGGCTTCAGACTGTACTGGTCGCCAGCTGGCCCCAGCCCAGAACCTCTGTAGGCCCCAGGGAGAGCATCGCTCCTGGGAGGAGAGCACAGTGCTCCCAGGAACCCCAGGAAACAGACCTGATCTCCTCATTCAGCCCTGACTTGCTGGGTCACCTCAGGCAGCTCTCAAGCCTGCTCTGGGCCTCAGGTGTCTCCACAATGCCCTAGGGGTTGAAGGCGGCAAAACTTCAAAGCCCTTCAAAGTCCAGATCCAGAATATGCTTGTGCTGTCTCCGGGTGCTGGCAACATGATAAGGGCCTCCCAGTCATTGCCACTGCGCCACTGATGGCTGCCATGTGCCAGATCTGGGCATCACCTTCCCAGCCAAGGGCTGCTCTGCCACCCCAGGTCATGTGGGCCTGGCCTCCTGCATTTGCTCAGGCCTCTAGGGTCCCCCTGTGGATTCAAGGAAGGCCCCAAGCTTGATCTCACAAGTTCTTATTGCCTTGACCCCACTGGCACCATCTCTCTCCTTGCAGAAGTTCGTGAGCACAACCCTCCGGCCCACACTGATGCCCTACCCCGAGCTCTACAACTGGGACAGCTGTGCCCAGTTTGTCTCCGACTTCCTCACCATGGTGCCCCTGCCTGACCCTCTCAAGCCGGTAAGCACCACTCACAGGCTGCATGCCTGAGCCCACCAGGACTAAGATGGTGTGAGAAACAAACTCACCCATCCAAACCCAAAGAATGGACTTAGAGGCCGGGCGTGGTAGCTCATGCCTGTAATCCCAGCATTTTGGGAGGCCAAGGCGGGCAGATCACAAGGTCAGGAGTTTGAGACCAGCCTGACCAACATGGCGAAACCCCGTCTCTACTAAAAATACAAAAATTAGCAGGGCGTGGTGGCACATGCCTGTAATCCTAGCTACTGGGGAGGCTGAGGCAGGAGAATCGCTTGAACCTGGGAAGCGGAAGTTGCAGTGAGCCAAGATGGCACCACTGCACTCTAGCCTGAGTGATAAGAGCAAAACTCTCAAAAAACTCTCTCAAAAAAAAAAAAAAAAAAAAGAATGGACTTAGAGACCTGGAGAACAGCGAAAGTGAGACTTTTAATGATGGTCTTGCAAGATTGGGTGTCTGATAGGCAGACACACCCAGCATAGTTTTAACAAGCAGTTTATCCCCTAGTGCGCAGGTCCCTCCCCTGGTTCCTCACAGGCTGAGTACTATGGGGTCACAATCTTCCCAGACATCGCCTATTGATTGTTAGGCAGGGGCTTTAGGTGTTTTTTCTAGGGTTGTTTTGCAGCATTTTATTGCAACCCACAATGCATTGCAATCCTAGTTAGCTCAGGGGCTCTTTAAGTATTTGACTTATGACCTGAGTAGCTGGGCAGGCTGATAAGAACAGACAAAGCGAGCTATTTTGCAGACTAGTAAACTTTTATCTTAGGCTAAACTTTTTTGGTTTGAGTGAGGGCAACTAAGGCGGTAGGTAAGGGGGAGGAAGGAGAAGGCTGACAAACAGGCATTGGCTATTCAAGCAGGGGCCTAGTATATCCTGGGGTTTTTGTAGTTTGCTGACCTAAGCCTATTCAAGGCACTTTGCCTTGGAAACGGATCACTGTGTACATGATTTCCTTCAATGGGATGTCAGGCACGGTCTGGGAAAAGGAAGCTCAGCCAGGCTCAGGGTACAGCCTCTCAGGGCCCCTAAGGGCAAACAGGCCTAGAGAGAGACAGCCACTTGCCTGAGGACACACAGCAAGCCTGGGCTTCTGGTTCCCACCTCTTTTCTCCTTTGCATTCAGAGCTTCCCTGCCATGGCTTCAAGCGGTACAGGAAAGAGAGAGGGGAGGCCCGGCTGCCCGTGGCCCTAACCCCATCTTTGGGCTTCTGACCAAATTCGTCAGCTTCTCCTTCAGAATAGAGGGAGGGAGGAAGAAAGGGCAAGGTCAACAGTGGAGAACTGATAAAGGGAGGAGGAGGAAAGGTGGGTATCGAAGGAAGGGGGAGCATTGGAGCAAAACAGTAAACTTACCAGTCAGAGGGCATTAGATCAGACACTCCTACAGTCCAGAAGGTTTCCCCCTATCAGGAAGTCCATAGCCCCTTCAAATGACAGGCAAATGTGAATGGCATGGTGTCTGGTTGTCATTCCATTCTTAGCAGGCTCCCTGACCCCACAAGGGTTAGGGGCCCAAAGCAGGTCCAGCCTGTGCATTGGTCCTGGCTCCCCACCCTGACAGGTGGTGGGCTGTGACCGGTGGGGAGGACAGGCTGGGGCAGCGGGGCCCCAGCTGTGCTGACCGTCCCACTGTGACCAGCCCTCGCACCTGTACTCCTCGACCACTGTGCTCAAGTACCAGAAGGGGAACTGCTTTGACTTCAGTACGCTGCTCTGCTCCATGCTTATCGGCTCTGGCTATGATGCTTACTGCGTCAACGGCTACGGCTCGCTGGACCTGTGCCACATGGACCTGACGCGGGAGGTGTGCCCACTCACTGTGAAGCCCAAGGAGGTATGGTCGGGCTTGAGCTGCCCGGGTTTCCCAAAGGATGAACATTCCCGGTGCTGTCGTGCCATCCTTAGAGACGTCCATCACTGCCGCCTCATCCCCAGCCCTGGCCACGCGGACACAGATCCCTCACCACCAGCCCTTCCGCTGCCCTGGAGTTCATATTTCAAACCACCAGTGATTTATGTCCTCGGTGTCTTAACACATCCAGCCCAGTTTTCCAAGCTGGCTGTTCTTCTCTGTCTGTTGTAACTCAGTTTTCAGCTACTATGCTCCCTGCTTGGTAAATTTTATGAATGCCACATAGCTTATATCTTAAGTCAAACGATTCCAAATTTACCCTATGCATTTGATAAAAATCCAGCCAGCCATTTTTATATAAGAAAATAGGCCAGGTGCGGTGGCTCATGCCTGTAATCCCAGCACTTTGGGAGTCCAAGGCGAGCAAATCACTTGAGGTCAGGAGTTCGAGACCAGCCTGGCCAACATGGCGAAACCCTGTCTCTATCAAAAATACAAAAAAATTAGCCACGCATGGTGGCATGTGCCTGTAGTCCCAGTTACTCAGGAGGCTGAGACAGGAGAATCACTTGAAACCCGGGAGGCAAAGGCTGCAGTGAACTGAGATTGCGCCATTGCACTCCAGCCTGGGTGACAGAGCAAGACTCCATCTCAAAAAATAAATAAAAGAAATAAAAAATAACAGACAAGTGAACAGACATTTGGTTCTCAGTCCCACACTCCCGAGGTAAAAAGCCTGCTTTTTTTTTGAGACAGGGTCTCTTCCACTCTGTCACTCAAGCTGGAGTGCAGTGGCATGATCTCGGCCCACTGCAACCTCAACCTCCTGGACTCAAGCCGTCCTCCTGCCTCAGCCTCCCAAGTAGCTGAGACTACAGGCGAGTACCACCACGGCCAGCTAATTTTGTTTGTTTTTTATAGGTTCTCACTATGTTGTCCAGGCTGGTCGTGAACTCCTGGACTCAAGCAATCCTCCCGCCTCAGCCTTCCAAAGTGCTGGGATTATAGGCCTGAGCCACCGTGCCTGGCCCTCAAGGCCCCTTTTTAATAGCAAAAAAAAAAAAAAAAAAAAAAAAAATCACCAACTGTTCAGTGGCTGGTGGCTGTGTTTTTAGATCTGCTCATTAAGATCTCCATAAGGACCACAGGCTGCTACAGACACAAGAAATACTCTGGAATGAATATCAGAATCACAAATGCATCTCTTTACATTTAGAAAATAGTCATGCTACAGACAGAAAATGCTCTTCATGAGGTGGATTAATTCCAGGACTCTGGGATCAGGGTCAGGCTCCTGTGGGTGTCCGCAGCTTGGAGATGGGGATCCAGGGACCTGAGGCATCCAGCAGGATCACTGTGTACCTGGGTTATACCTGGGTGAGCACCCAGGGACCCCAGGGTGGGTGCTCTGGTGGGAGAAGGGCGAGACAGAAGGGGAAGCACAAGAAGAGCCTTGCTCTCTCAGGCCCACCTCCCCAAGAGAAGATGGAGCACGAGCTCCGCCATGGCTTTTGGCTTCAAAAGCCTCTGGCTGGGCACGGTGGCTCATTTTGGGAGGCTGTAATCTCAGCATTTTGGGAGGCTGAGGCAAGTGGACCACTTGAGCGCAGGAGTTCCAGACCAGCCTGGCCAACATGGCAAAACCCCGTCTCTACTAAAAATATAAAAATTAGCTGGGTGTGGTGGTGCATGCCTGTAAACCCAGCTACTCGGGAGGCTGAGCCAGGAGAATCGCTTGAACCTGCAAGGTGGAGGTTGCAGTGAGCTGAGATCGCACCATTGCACTCCAGCCTGGGCAACAGAGGGATACTCTGGCTCCAAAAAAAAAAAAAAAAAAAAAAAGCCTCTGAGCTCCCACCCGGGCATCTCAGCTCTCAGCTCAGCCAAAAGCTTAATGATTAACATTATATCAATAACAAACAGATGCAGAGAACTTTCGGGTTTAAAATCCGCTTTCATGTCCATTGTGCTTGTTGCTCCCCACGATGGCCCAGTGTGGTAGATATTGTCACTTTTATGTTACAGATGAGTATGTTGATGAAATCAAAAGGTAACATAATGTGGCCAAAGTCACACAGCAGGAAAATGGAGACTCAGGGAACTTGAAACGCTGGAGATTCACTATTTCTCCTTCATGACTATCACAGGCCCACCTCTGCAGCCTCTGCAGTGCTCTTTCCTGGGAATACTTCTTGCCACTTAGCACACATTTGTAGACACGCAAGCGTACACACACACACACACACACACACACACACGGTTTCTTCTCCTTCCTGGCCCAGCAAACTGTTAAAGTCAACATATGAGGCCCTCCGATGACAAGATCTGAAAAATCCAACTCCTGACAATTCTCCCCACTTCTGGATCAGACCCAGGTCATGGCTAGGATGGGTGGTGAGGATTGAAGAGGAGAAAGCCACACCTCCTGAGCTCCTGGCCCTGACAGGTACCTCCCTCGGGCATTTTTTCTGTCTTTACTTCTCAGAAAGAGGCTGGGGAGAAAGTTCCTATTATTCTCACACCATGAACCTGAGATTCAGAGAAGTGAGAGGACCTCCCAAGGTCATGGAGCTGGAGCTGCATTTAGAGCCAGAAAGGCCACAGGCTACAGGAGTAGCTGCCATCCCCCGGTCTGAGGGACTGGCTGGGCGGGTCTCACCTCTTGGAGTTGCACATGTAAAGGGGGGATGCAGGGCCACTGACCCTTCCTCTTCTTTTGGGTGACAGACCATCAAGAAGGAGGAAAAGGTGCTGCCTAAGAAGTATACCATCAAACCCCCCAGGGACCTGTGCAGCAGGTTTGAGCAGGAGCAAGAGGTGAAGAAGCAGCAGGAGATCAGAGCCCAGGAGAAGAAGCGGCTGAGGGAGGAGGAGGAGCGCCTCATGGTGGGTCCTCAGCCCTGAATCCCCTGGGCTCAGCTATCGAGAAAGGACTGCTAGGGATGGGAAAAGAGGCATAGGTCATGGAGGGGATGTGTGTATGGACCCCCCAACTAGGTCCACCTCACAATCACCCCCAACCTCTACCTGGCCCTGCAGGAATCTCCCACTGGTGGTCAGCCAGCTTCTCATGATGGACTCCTAACATCAGGGCACTGTACTGCCTGGGGCAGCCCATTCTATGCTAGGCAGCTCTGGTGTCCTCTTTGCTCTAGACTCTTACTGGGGATATACCTGCATACACCCTCCCATCCATTCATCCTCCCATCTCTCCTCCCATCCATCCTCCCATCTCCCCTCCCATCCATCCTCCCATTCGCCAATCCATCCATCCATCCATCCTCCCATCCATCCTCTGATCTCTCCTCCCATTCATCCTCCCATCTGTCCATCTCCCATCCATCCATCCTCCTACCCAACCTTCCATCCATCCATCCTCCCATCCACCCATCCTCCCATCCATCTGTCCTCCCACCCACCTCCCATCCATCCATCCTCCCAACCATCCATTCTCCCATCTCTCCTCCCATCCATCCTTCCATCCATCCATCCTCCCACCCATCCTCCCATCCATCCATCTTCCCATCCATCCATCCATCCTCCCATTTATCCTCCCATCCATCATCCTCCCATCCATCCATCCTCCCATCCACCCTCTGATCTCTCCTCCCATCCATCCTCCCATCCATCCATCCTCCCATCCATCCATCCTCCCATTTCTCCTCCCATCCATCCTCCCATCCATCCATCCTCCCATCTATCCACCCTCCTACCCACTTATTCTCCCATCCATCCATCATCCCACTCATCCTCCCATCCATCCATCCATTCTCCCATCCATCCTCTCATCCATCCATCCTCCCATCCATCCTTCCATCCATCCATCCTCCCACCATCCTCCCATCCATCCATCCTCCCACCATCCTCCCATCCATCCATCCTCCCATCCACCCATCCTCCCATCCATCCATCCTCCCATTTTGCCTCCCATCCATCCATCCTCCCATCCATCCATCCTCTCATCCATGCTTCCATCCATCCATTCTCCCATCTTCCCATCCACCCATCTTCCCATCCACCCATCCTCCCATCCTCTCATCCATCTATCCTCCCATCCACCCATCCTCCCATCCATCCATCCTCCCACCCACCCTCCCATCCGTCCATCCTCCCAACTATCCATCCTCCCATCCATTCTCCCATCCATCCTCCCACCATCCTCTGATCCAGCCATCCTTCCTTCCATTTCTCCTCCAACCCATCCTCCCATCTGTCCATCCTCCCATCCATCCACCCTCCTACCCACTGTTCTCCCATCCATCCATTGTCCCACTCATCCTCCCATCCATCCATCCTCCCATTTCTCCTCCCATCCATCCATCCTCCCATCCATCCGTCCTCTCATCCATGCTTCCATCCATCCATCCTCCCACCCTCCCATCCACCCATCCACCCATCCTCCCATCCTCCCATCCATCCATCCTCCCATCCACCCATCCTCCCATCCGTCCATCCTCCCACCCACCCCCCCATCCGTCCATCCTCCCATCCATTCTCCCATCCATCCTCTCACCATCCTCCGATCCATCCATCCTTCCTTCCATTTCTCCTCCAACCCATCCTCCCATCCGTCCATCCTCCCATCCATCCACCCTCCTACCCACTGTTCTCCCATCCATCCATTGTCTCACTCATCCTCCCATCCATCCATCCTCCCATCCACCCATCCTCCCATCCATCCATCCTCCCATCCACCCATCCTCCCATCCATCCATCCTCCCCTCTCTCCTCCCATGCATCCTCCTATCCATTTTTCCTGCCATCAGTCCTCTCATCCATCCTGCCAGCCATCCTCCTACCCATCTCCCATCTCTTCTTCCAACTCCACACTCCTATCCTTCCTCCAATCCTCTTTCCCCACTCCCTTCTTTCCTTTCCTTCCATAGAGTATTCCTTGAGCTTCTTTTCTGGTCCAGACCTATTTATACATAACAATGAACAACAAGACAGTCACAGTTCTCTCAGAGGGAGGCAGATAAGAAAGGTACTTGGTCTCCCATTTCCTTTCTGTGGATGAAACCTCACCCAAAGTCATAACATATAAAGCCGGTAACCCCCAGATGCCCAGTGCCCCAAAGAGTCCGATTTGTAAACCACAGATCTAGTCAGACTCTCCCATTGTTTTGATTTTACAAATGGGCTCAGTGGTTGGGTGATGGGAGGGGAGATGGGCCGTCACACTCCGGTTGATGGTGCAGTCTACATCAGAACTCAGCTCTCCTGCTGGTTCCCCAGCCCCAGGGAGATGTCTGGGCCCCTGACACTCCTCTTCCAGCCATCTGACTCGTAGTCACCCACCTTTCCTTGGCAGGAAGCGGAGAAGGCAAAGCCGGATGCCCTGCACGGCCTGCGGGTGCACTCCTGGGTCCTTGTGCTATCGGGGAAGCGCGAGGTGCCTGAGAACTTCTTCATCGACCCATTCACAGGACATAGCTACAGCACCCAGGATGAGCACTTCCTGGGCATCGAAAGCCTGTGGAACCACAAGAACTACTGGATCAACATGCAGGATTGCTGGAACTGCTGCAAGGTGCCTAGGGAGGGGGAGCTGGGTGGGTGTGGCAGGCACAGTGCAGGTGATAGGAATAGAGGGAAGCAATGGCAGCCAGACCTTGGGGAGAGCGAGACACCAGGCCACGAGGGCTTTGAACCTTCTCCATAGCTGCGTCTCCATGGCCCACTCCCTTGCCCATGAATAACCATTCTGATACGATTATTGTCTCTCCTGATTTGTGTATCCTTCTAAAGTGTGGATTGTTTGAATGCATTTTTTAAAAACTCTATATTGAAGTGTAACCTACATGCAGAAAAGTACACTCATCCCATGCATACATACAGTTCAGTGAAATCCCACAAATTTAACACACCTTGGTTTCCTACACCCAGACCAAGAAATAGAATATTGCCCAAACCCCACAAAGTCCCTTTGCACAATTACTATCTTCCTCCAAATGTATTTTTAACTCACGTATGTGGCACTGGTACACACACGCGCCTACAAGAGGGTACAGAGGAGGTCACAATCCTAAGTGTACATACCATTGAATTATCACACACTGAACACACCTGTGTAGCCAGGACCATTAGAAGCCCCCTCATGTCTCCTCCTGGCCACCAACCCTACCATCGTCCCCAGAGTTAAGCACTATCTTGACTTCTAACGACATCCATTAGTTTCATCTGTTTTTGGAGTTTACATCAGTTGAATCACACAGTGATTCAATACTCTTACTCTTGGATTCCTTCACTCATTATGTTTATGAAATTCATTGTGGTTTTTTGTGTGGTTTGTTCATTTTCATTTTTTATTACTTTCCATTATTTGAATACACCAGAACTTATTTGTCCTTTCTACAGTTGCACATTGAGACTGTGTCCAGTTTGGGACTATTTTGAATAATGCCGCCATGAATATTTGTATACATATATTTCAGTGAACACATACACACATTTCTGTTGGGTAACTACTGAGGGGTGGAATCGCTGAGTCACAGGGTGGGCACATACTCAGTTTTAGTAGATACTGCCCGATTTCTCAAGTGATTGCATCCATTTACACTCCCACCAGCAATGTATGAGGGTTCTCAGAGCTCCATCCACATCCTTGCCAATACTGGATACTTTCTTTTCCATTTTAGCTATTGTAGTGGACATGTAATGGTATTGCACTGTGGTTTTATTTAATGCAATTGATTTTTGGCTGAGTGTGGGGGCTCACACCTGTAATCCCAGCACTTTGGGAGGCTGAGGAGGGTGGATCATTTGAAGTCAGGAATTCAAGACCAGCCTGGCCAACATGGTGAAACCCCGTCTCTACTAAAAATACAAAAAATAGCCAAGTGTGGTGGTGGGCACCTGTAATCCCAGCTACTTGGGAGGCTGAGGCAGAAGAATTGCTTGAATCTGGGAGGCGGAGGTTGTAGTGAGCCTATATTGCGTCACTGCACTCCAGCCTGGGCGACAAAGCAAGACTCTGTCTCAAAAAAAAAAAAAAAAAGCAATTGCTTTTTGCAAACTGTTCACATATCCAGTAAGTTTTAAACCTGCTTATTCATTTTAAAAATTAATCTGTAAAGACTTTGGGGTTTTCTGCATATACAATCAGTTCTATAGCTGAATGATGGCCGTTTTGTTTCTTCATTTTTAATCCTTATACTTTTTCATTTCTTTTTCTTGTTTTATTTCTCTGGTTAGTACATCCAGTATAATGTCAAATTGAAGTGGGGATTCTGAACATCCTTGTCTCAGTCCTGATTCACAAGTAACGCCTTAGTATCATAACATTTCACTATTTGTGTGATGTTTATCTTGACTGTAGGGTTTTTATAGCTAGCTACCCTTTATTTAACTAAGGGATTTCTTTCTCAGTTCACTAGCAGGTTTTTTTTTAATCAAACAAAATTTGTTTATATCAAATGTTTTTTTCATCTATTAAATGATCATAATTTTTTCTTCTATTAAGTGGTAAATTAGACTGATTGTGTTCCCCCCTTTTTAAAATTGAGGTGTAATTGACATAACATAAATCCACTAAAGTGCACAAGTTAGTGGCTTTTAGTATATTTACAAGATTGTGCAACTATCACCACTATCTAATTCCAGAATTTTTTCATCACCCCAAAAGAAGATTTTTATTTTTGAGACAGGGTCTTCCTTTGTTGACCAGGCTGGAGTGCAGTGATGCAATCACGGCTCACTGCAACCTCTGGACTCAAGCAATTCTTCCACCTCAGCCTCCCGAGTAGCTGGGACTACAGACTGCAGGCATGTGCCACTATGCCCAGCTAATTTTTGTATTTTTTATAGAGACAAAAAATGGGTTTTGCAATGTTGCCCAGGTTGGTCTCAAGCAAGCCACCCACCTTGGCCTCCAAAAGTGCTGGGATTACAGGCTTGAACCACTGTCCCGGGCCCCAAAAAGAAGATTGTGGTTGAGATTATACTGGATCCATAGATCAATTGAGAGAGAACCGTTTTCTTAACAATATTGAATTTTTCACCCATGAACCATGGTATCTCTCTTCAGTTATTTAAGTCTTTTAAAATTTCTATCAGCAACATTTTGTAGGTTTCAGTGTACAGTTCTTGCACATCTTTTGTCAGATTTATTCCTAAATATTTCGCTTTTTGATGCTATGATTTTTTTAAATTTCACCTTCTGACTATTCTTTGTTAGTGAATAGAAATGCAGTTGATTTTTACATATTGATCTTCTATCCTGAAATCTTCCCAAATTCACTTATTTGCCCTAATAGCCTTTGCGTGGATTCCATCAATGTTTATACAGATAATTATGTTATCTGTGAATAAAAACAGTTTTACTTCTTTTCCCATCTGGATGCTTTTCTTCCCTTATCACACTGGCTGGAATCATCAGTAAATGTTAAACAGAAGTGATGAAAGCAAACCTGTTTATTCCTGATCTTACGGAGAGCATTTAGTCTGATACCATTAAGTATAGTATTAGCCACAGGTTTCTCTTATTGGTTCCCATTATCAAATAAAGGAAGTTTTTCTCCAGTCCTAGTTTGCTGAGAGTTTTTTCAGAAATAGATGCTAGATTTTTGTCAAATACTTTTTCTGAGTCTATTGAGATTATTATGATTTTTCTTTTTTAGTTTATCTACATGGTAAGTTACTTGGATTGATTTTGAATGTTAGACTAACCATGGTTTTCCTGGGATAAACCTCATTTCATTGTGATGGTTAAATCTTTTATATATTATTGGTGTTGAACTGAAAATTTTGCTTAGAATTTCTGTATCTTTGTTGAAGAGAGATATTGTTCTGTAGTTTTCTTAGAATATATTTGCCAGGTTTTGGTATCACAGTAATGCTGGCCTCATGGAATGAGTTGGGAAGTTTCCCTTTTCTTCAGTTTTCTGGATGAGTTTCTGTAGAATTGGCATGATTTCCTTTGTACGTTTGCTGGACTTCACAAGTGAAGCCATCTGGGGCTGGAATTTTCTTTGTGGAAGGATTTTAAGGTACAAATTCAATAGGAAGACTCAAGCTGTTTTTGAGTGAGGTTTGGTGTTTGTATCTTTCAAGAAATTTGTCCATTTCATTTGTTTTCAAATTTATTGTTATGAAAGTGTTCAAAATAGCTCCTTATTTTCCTTCTAATATGTTAAAGTCTTTAGTGACATTACCCCATTCATTCTTAATATTGGTAGTTTGTGTGTTCTCTCTTTTGCTCCTGATCAATCTGGTTAGAGGTTTATCAATTTTGTTGCTCTTGATGCAGGGGCAGGCCCCAAAATCAGGGCTTTGCCAGTGAGGATTCGTGGCTTTTTCCAGGAAAGAATTCAAGGGCAAGCTGGTGGTGTTAGAGGCAACTTTACTTGAAGTGGCAGCGTACGGCAGCAGCAGATGGACTGCTCCTTGTGGAGCAGGGCTACCCCATAGGCAGTGTGCCCAGATTGTAACCACCCAAGGGGTTCACCTTGCCAGCTGCCTAGACAGAGCTGATTCAAGACTGGGGAATTGCAATAGAGAAAGAGTAATTCACGCAGAGCAGGCTGTGTAGGAGACCAGAGTTTTGTTATTACTCAAATCAGTCTCCCAGAGCATTCGTGCATTCAGGGAGCAGAGTTTTTAGGGACAACTTGGTGGGTTGGGGGATGCCAGGGAACCAGGAGTGCTGATTGGTCAGAGATGAAATCACAGAAAGTCAAAGCTGTCTTCTTGCACCAAGTCGGTTCCTGGGTGGGGCTCACAAGATCAGATGAGCCAGTTTATCCATCTGGTGGTGCCATCTGATCCATCAAGTGTAGGGCCTGCAAAATATCTCAAGCACTGATCTTAGGAGCAGTTTAGGGAGGGTCAGAATCTTGTAGCCTCCAGCTGCATGACTCCTAAACCATAATTTCTAATCTTGTAGCTAATCTAGTCCCTAAGCAAGAAGGAGGTCTGCTTTGGGAAAGGGCTGTTATTGCCTTTGTTTTAAACTATAATAAACTAAGTTTCTCCCAAAGTTAGTTCAGCCTTCACCTAGGAATGAACAAGGACAGCTTGGAGGTTAGAAGCAAGATGGAGTCGATTGAGATCTCTTTCAGTGTCTTAGTCATAATTGTGCAAAGGCGGTTTCAAGAGTAGCGGCTCAGAGGCAGTTCCACAGTCACATTTATATCCACTTTAATCATATGCAAATTAAGGGGCAGATTATGCAGAAATTTCTAGAAATAGAGTGGTAACCTCTGGTTCACTTTGTCATTGCCATGGAAAGGTGTAATTTCTGGGTGTTGCCTTGGCCCCGTTTTAGCTAGTCCTCAATTTGGTCCAGTGTCTGAGCCCCCAGCTTGGAAGTCAAGTCCCACCTTCTGGTCAGTAAGTCCCACCTTATTGTCAATAAACCAGTTTTTGGTTTTGTGGTTTTTCTCCGTTGTTTTTGTTTTCTATCTCATTGATGTCCACTCTGATCTTTATTATTTTATACTTTATGCTTACTTTGAGCTTCATTTACTTTTTTCTAGTTTCTTAAGGTGGAAGCTGAGATGATTCATCTAAGACTGTTTTTTGTTTTGTTTTTTTTTTGAGACAGAGTTTCGCTCTTGTTGCCCAGGCTGGAGTGCAATGGCGCGATCTTCACTCACTGCAATCTCCACCTCCTGGGTTCAAGCGATTCTCCTGGCTCAGCCTCCTGAGTAGCTGAGATTACAGGCATGCACCACGCCCAGCTAAGCCTGTTCTTTTCTAACATAAGCCTTCTTTCTCTCGGAAGTACTACTTTAGTGACATCCCACACATTTTACTCTATCATGTATTCATTTTCTTTCCATTCAATATGCTCTCCAATTTCCCTTTTAATTTCTCCTTTAATTCATGGGCCATTTGAAAATGTGTTTAGTTTACAGATATTTAGAAACTCTCTAGAGATATTTCTATTGTTGATTTCTAATTTAATTCTGTAGTGATTAGAGAATATAACTTGGTATGACTTCTATTATTTTACACTTGCTATAGTTTGTTTTATGGACCATAATATGGTCTGTCTAGGAAATTCACCAAATTCTTAATATAGTGAATTTTCTGTGTGTACTTGACAAGAATGTGTATTTTGCTGTTGGGTGGAATGTTCTATAAATGTCAATAATCTCAAGTTGATTGGTAGTGTTATTCAAATCTTATATATCTTTGCTGATTTTCTGCCTACATTTCTTTCAATTATTGACAACATTATTGAAATGTTGGGCTACAATTTTGGATTTCTCTATTTCTTCTTTCAGTTCTATCAGTATTTGCTTCATGTATTTTGAAGCCCTGCTATTAGATGAGTAAATGTTTGAGATTGTTATGTCCTCATGATGAATTAACCTCTCTATCGGTATGAAATAATCAGCTTTATCCCTAGTAATATTTTTCATTCTGATGTCTATTTTGTCTGATATTAATATAGCCACTGGAGCTTTGATTTGTATTAGCATTGGTTATCCTCTTTGCAGAACTGTGAGTCCATTAAACCTCTTTTTCTTTGCAAATTACCCAGTCTCGGGTATGTCTATCAGTGCTCTTTCGTTGTCTCGAAGGCACTCTGTTTCTGACCAGGCCAGTTTCCCTTGGGCCCTTTTTAAGGTGACCCTGAGGAACGGCTCGCTCATTTGTTTGGTGGCTTGGACTGTCTGTCCATCTGCATGGCGGACGTAGCCAGTCTGCTGCTCCTGAACTCCCGTCTCACCATCCTGTCCCAGCTGCCCTCATGGTGTATGAGCCTCTTCCTGCAACAACAGGTCAGAATACTTTGGGGCAGCAAGTAGGTCAGCTACCTGGTCCCTTTAGTTACACTCAGTACATTGCCAGCATTGATGGGAGGTGCAGGTTGTTCACAGGCTTAACACCAAAACTGCCTGGGAGTCCATGGTCAAGTTTTGCAGTAGTCAGGACCTGGAAATGTACAGAAAGCTGTCTCATCTTCCTTTGACCGAGTTATCATGGAGATAACTCAAGTGATAATCACTCGTTCTGTTGCTACCGCCATCACACATCCCTTCTGCATGATTACTGAGATTTGTGGTACAATTCACTGACAGAGAGTCCAAGTACTGTGAACTTTGTGACTCCATAGTAACCATCTATTGAGAAGAAGGCATCCTAGGATTTCTCATGTGTCTTATTCCTCACCTCCTAGGCAACATCATTTCTTTATGGCTCTGTAACTCACTGGCCTACCTCATCAATACCTATGCACTCTGGTGGGGCATGGCGGCTTACGCCTGTAATCCTGATACTTTGGGAGGATGAGGTGAGAGGATCGCTTGAGCTCAGGAGTTTGAGACAAGCCTGGGCAACAAAGTGAGACCTCGTCTCTATAAAAAAAAATTCAAAAAAATTAGCCAGGCATGATGGCATGCACCTGTAGTCCCAGCTACTAGGGAGGCTGAGGTGGGACGATTGCTTGAGCCCGGGAGGTCAAGGGTGCAGTAAGCCATGATTGTGCCACTGCACTCCAGCCTGGGCAACAGAGAGAGAGAGTCTCTCTCTCTCTGTCACACACACACACACATACATATGCACTGGACAGTGAGGTTTCTATCGGGAATGAAATGAAGAGTATGAAGAGTTATTCTCAAGATGTCACAGCACTGTTTGCCAGTATGTTGACCTATCCCTTTGTGCTTGTCTCTAATCTTATGGCTGTCAACAGCCATGGGCTTGCTGGTGGACCCCCTTCTTCCTTCCCAGTATATACTACTTGCATACATTGCTGGTGCATGCTACAAAAAGAGGGAAATATGAGCCGAGGAAATAGCTTGTTTTTCCCAAAGCATCCCTTTGGGAAGACTTGTTGTGACCTGAGAATGCTAATTTGAAGATGTAGGGCAGGACAGTGACATTTCTATAGTCCCAGATGCACCAAATTATGGGAGACAATGTTGATTTCTATATAGTTTTCCACACTTTTATTTTATTTTATTTTTGAGACAGACTCTTGCTCTGTCACCCAGGCTGGAGTGCAGTGGCGCGATCTTGGCACACTGCAATCCCCGCCTCCCGGGTTCAAGTGATCTTCTCACCTCAGCCTCCTGAGTAGCTGGGATTACAGGCATGCACTACCACAAGTGGCTAATTTTTTTGTATTTTTAGTAGAGACAGGGTTTCACCATTTTGGCCAGGCTGGTCTTGAACTCCTGACCTCAAGTGATCTGCCCACCTTGGCCTCCCAAAGTGTTGGGATTACAGGCATGAGCCACTGTACCTGATGACCTGCTTTTTTAATGGTCATTTAGTCTTGGGGAATGAATAAATAAGTAAATAAGTGTCAGAGGGGCGACTGCCAGCCCCTGCGGGAGACAGGCAGACTTGATGCATGATTGCTTTGCCGGTTGCTCTGTCTTTGTGAAGAAGTCAGAAGCTCTGAGATGAGAAACTTCTGCCTTCAGCAAAGGAGATGCCTCTCATCACTCTGCCTCCCTTAGGCACTGATTCCAGGGTTGTGGGAAGTAACACTCAGTAGATGCTTAGAATAGTCTCTAGCTGTTCAATAAATGTTAACTATTGTTGCTCCCATCTTACAGGTAAGGAAACTGAGGCCAAGTAAAGTGAGATCATTTCTCCCACGCCACACAGAGGGGGCAGAGCCGACACTGCCCTCCCCCAGGGCCTGGGCTCATAAGCACCATGGTGGTCGGTGTCCTCTGAAGGATAACAGCCCTTCAGAGGATGCTACAGTCCTTCAGCCCCTCTTCCAGCCTGAATGTCCTCATCTCATCCATCAGGCTCCGAGGTGAAGGTGGAAGTGAGGCCAGAGGGGCAGTGCTGTGCCAAGTGAGGGCATGAGGAAGAGATGATGGCATAGGCTGTCACTTTTACCAGCACACGAACATTGGAGCAGCTGCTTTGTTTCTTCAAAGAACCTTGAAATAGCGAGGGGTTGGAGGAGGATGGCAAGGCATCCACAGAGTGACTGCCTGGCGCAAACGTACCCTGGGCACATGGATGTGGCTGTTGTCCATTCAATTATGCTTTTTCTAAAGAAATAGAACTTAAGTTAAAGTAACAAAGCATAATATCTAACTACTGCTTACACTGGTTTACAAAAGTAACAAAATTTAGGCCAAGAGTGCGAATAGGTTGGCCGGGCACAGTGGCTCACGCCTTTAATCCCAGGACTTTGAGAGGCCGAGGTAGGTGGATCACTTGAGGCCAGGAGTTCAAGACCAGCCTGGCCAACATGGTGAAACCCTATCTCTACTAAAAATACACAAATTAGCTGGGTGTGGTGGCGGGCACCTGTAATCCCAGCTACTCAGGAGGCTGAGGCATGAGAATCGCTTGAACCCAGGAGGCAGAGGTTGCAGTGAGCCGAGATCATGCCACTGCACTCCAGCCTGGGCAACAGAGCAAGACTCCATCTGAAAAAAAAAAAAAAAGAGTGAAAAAAGGCAAATATCTATACAATTGGGTTCCTATCCACTAAGCCCATTAAGCTTTGCCACAGTCGCTGTGACATCTACCAGCAGTTCTCTCCCCAACTCTCCTCTGCTGTGCCCCCCACTTCTCTCCCCTCCACCCACGAGCTAGGGCAGAGAAATACTCAGGAGCCCTCCCAGGACCCACACATGACAGTGAGTACTAGGCTTAGAGTTGGCTTCAGGACAGCTTAATATTAACACCCCTCCAGGCAGCTGTTCTGCAGCCTCTGATTTCCTCTGGAACATGATTTAGGGTGGGGAGAACACCTTGCTCTAGGAAGGTTGATTAGAATGTGAGGTGCTCCCCACCTTCTAGGAATTATCTGACAGATGAGCCACTTTTATTGAGGGGACTGAGGACTCAGGTGGGCTGGGTGAAAAGAGGTCAGGAGTTTGAGACCAGCCTGACCAACATGGTGAAACCCTGTCTCTACTAAAAATGCAAAAATTAGCTGGGCTGTGGTGGCGAGCACTTGTAGTCCCAGCTACTCAGGAGACTGAGGTAGGAGAATCACTTGAACCGGGGAGATAGAGGTTGCAGTGAGCCGAGATCATACCACTGCACTCCAGCCTGGGCAACAGAGGGAGACCCTGTCTCAAAAAAAAAAAGAAAAGAAAAATAAAAGAAGGTGGCAGACACACTCCATGGAGGAGAAATTCCCACCCACCTGCTGTTTTTTTTTTTTTTTTGGAGAGACAGGGTCTTACTCTGTCTCCCAGGCTGGAGTACAGTGGTGTGTTCACAGCTCGCTGCAGCCTCAACTTCCTGGAATCAAGTGATCCTCCTGCCTCAGCCTCCCAAGTAGTCAGAACTACAGGTGCATAACACCATGCACTGGCTTAAAAAAAAAAAAAAAGGCCAGGCACGGTGCCTCATGCCTGTAATCCCAGTACTTTGGGAGGCCAAGGCAGGCGTATCACTTGAGGTCAGGAGTTCGAAACCAGCCTGGCCAAAATGGTGAAACCCCATCTCTACTAAAAATATAAAAATGAGCCAGGCATGGTGGCATGTGCCTGTAATCCCAGCTACTCAGGAGGCTGAGGCAGGAAAATCGCTTGAACCTGGGAGGCAGAGGTTGCAGTGAGCCGAGATCACGCCACTGCACTCCAGCCTGGGCGACAGAGTGAGACTCTGTCTCAAAAAAAAAAAAGAAAAGAAATTGTGGAGATGGGATCTCCCTTTGCTACCCAGGCTGGTCTTGAACTCCTGGGCTCAAGTGATCCTTCTGTGTTGGCCTCCCAAAGTGCTGGAACTACAGGCATGAGCCACCATGCCCGGCTCTCCACCTGCATCTTATGTATAACTTCCACGTGTGCCTGCCTATTTCCCTTGTTCCTGGCATGGGTAAAATAAACAGGAGGAAGCCTTTTTAAAAAACCTTCCACTTCCTGGGAGTTGCTAGACCCTTCTGCCATCAAATCTTGCTGGTTTGTTTTCATTGGCTCTAAGCACTGCCCAGCCGATGCGGAAAGACCTGCACATCCAGGTCTAGCCCAGGCCAGAGAGCCTCCTTGTCTTTCACAGAGGTCAACACGAGATTTCCTCACAGGGAGGCTGAATGATGGGCAGGGAGTTCTGCTCCCCCTCGGGGCCTCAGTTTCCCTGTTGGGATGAGGAGTGTGGGCATGGACTCTCAGAGCCACCTGGGACTGACGTTCTGCTTCCCCAAGCCCTGGGCCCAGGTCCCTTCTCTGCCCCGGAGTAGCCATCTCCCAACTCCCCATGGATCAGGTGGGGACGTGGTGGCTGTGGGGTACACTCAGTTGACTGCCCTCATCCCCAACAGGACTTGATCTTTGACCTGGGTGACCCTGTGAGATGGGAGTACATGCTCCTGGGGACTGATAAGTCTCAGCTGTCCTTGACTGAAGAAGACGACAGTGGGATAAACGATGAGGATGATGTGGAAAATCTGGTGAGTCTCAGCAGCTCGAGAGCCCAGGGAATGTGTGTGAAGGCTTCAGGGAGCCTGACAAGTGTCCCCAGCAGCATATGTGTGGCAGTGGGGGATGGCCCAAGTAGACCAGTGATGGGTTCCTCAAAGCAGGAAGGCTTGAGCAATTCCCTTATTTTACAGATGGGCACATTGAGGCCCAGAAAGGCCAGAAACCTACCCAGGACCTCCCAGTGGGTTACGGAAGGGACAGGACTTGACGTCAGGTCTTCTGCCCCCCATATCGTCCACCTTGTTCAGGAGTTGCCCTGCTCCTTTGGAAAGCATGTCCCTTGCCAGCCTGGGCAACATAGTGGGACCCTGTCTCTACAAGAAAATTTAAAAATTAGCTGGCTGTGGTGGCATGCACCTGTTGTCCCAGCTACTTGGGAGGCTGAGGCAGGAGGATCACTTGAGACTGGGAGGCCGAAGCTGCAGTGAGCCATGTTCATGCCACTGCATTCCAGCCTGCGCAACCCCACCCCACCACAAAAAATAAAAATAAAAATAAATTTAGAAAAAGAAAGTTGCAGAGCGGGGTCATAACACCCCGCTCTGCAACCCCCTGGGAGTCCCAGAGCTGGCTGTTCTCAGTTCTATCCCAAGTAGCCATCATGAGCCCCACATGCTGCCAGGCCTTTCTTGTCTGTTCTGTCAGTTCCTCTGAATGTCGTTGGCCAGGGCCTTACCCACATCACCAGCCTCCCTTCTCTGAATTCAGTTTCAGCCTTTATGTGAAATGGAGGCAGAAGGATCATAGTTGTATTCATAGTAATTCTAATAAGTGCATTCGTCTGGCATCACAAAGCACCACAGATGCGGTTGCTTAAATGACAGAAATTAATTTTCTTACAGTTCTGGAGGCTGGAAGTCTGAGATCAAGGTGTGGACAGGGTTGGTTCCTTCTGAGCCCCCTGTCCTCGGCTTGTAGATGGCTGTCTTCTCCCTGTCTTCACATTGTCTTCCCTCTGTACAAATCTATGTCCTAATCTGTTCTTATAAGGACACCAGTCATTTTTCTTTTTATTTTTTTTTGAGACAGGGTCTCCTCTGTTGCCCAGGCTGGAGTGCAGTGGCACGATCATAGCTCACTGCAGCCTCGAACTCCTGGGCTCAAATGATCCTTCCACTTTGGCCTCTGGAGTAGCTGGGACTACAGACACACACCACCATACCCAGCTAATTTTTGTTTTTCAGAGAGACATGGTCTTGCTATGTTACCTAGGCTGGTCTCGAACTCCTGGGCTCAAGAGATCCCCTTGCCTTGGCCTCCCAAAGTGTTGGTATTACAGGCATGAGCCACCATGCCCAACCAACACCAGTCATATTGGGTTAGGGCCCACTCTAATGAACTCATTTTACCTTAATCACCTCTCTAAAGACCCTGTCTCTAAAAACAATCATTCAAACAGTAAGTGATCAAGACAACAACAACAACAAAGAAAAAATAAGAAAAATAAATAAAACAAATACAGTCACTTTCAGGGCTTAAAACTTCAACCTATGAATTTTAGGGGGATGCCATTCAGCCCGTAGCAAAAGGTAGCACTCACATGGTCCTTACTAAGCACTGGGATCCATTGTATCTACTTAACCTGAAGTAACTCATTTAAATCCCCACAGCCACCTGGTGAGGTGGGCACTGGTATTACCACCTGTGATTAATATTATCCCATTTTACCGATGGGAAGACTCACACACAGAGAGGTTAAGTCACTTACCCAAAGCGATACAGCTGGTAAGTGACAGAGCTGGGATTTGAACCTACACAGTCTGGCTCCACAGTCTGGGTTCTCAATGGTAACTCTGTTCTACCTCCTGGGGCTGCTTGATGTGATGTGCTTGGCACAGCAGTGTAGACCATCTCAAAAGGGTGCTAAATGTTCTCAGCATCCTCATCTCCAGAGACTGGGGACATCTTGTGTGCAGTAAATCCAGGCATAGGTGCCCCCTGCTGGCCTTGGGGCATGGACCAGCCAGGGCCTGAGAGCCCAGCCCTGCAGGCAGCCGGCTGAGCACCCACATGGCTAATAATCAAACAGTTCCAGTCACAGAGTCCTGGTCCACCCTGGCCCAAGAGCCCTCATTACAGCAAAGACGGACAGAGGGCAGCCCAAAGAGTCAGAACCCAGTCATGGACCCCCAGGAAAAACCAGACCCCGGGTGACAGCCCACCCACCTGACCATCTTAGAGATTTTTGACAATACTAACTGCTGACTGCTCACTCATTTTTGTCCCCTGCAAAATGTCACAATTAGATAAACAGTTGTCAGAGGTATGAGCAATGTTTGTGGAAAAAAGGTTTTAAGTCGAGAAAGTCTTATCCAAGTTTCTGTGATTATCTAGTTTGAGGACCATTTATCTAGATCGGGCCTTATTTCACAAATGGGGAAATTAAGGCTCAGAGAGGAAATAATAATAGGCCGGGCATGGTGGCTCATGCCTGTAATCCCAGCACTATGGGAGGCCAAGGTGGGCATATCATTTGAGGTCAGGAGTTCAAGACCAGCCTGGGCAACACGGTGAGACACCACCCTCCTCCCCCGGCCGTCTCTACTAAAAATACAAAAATCAACTGGGTGTGGTAGGTGCATGCCTGTAATCCCAGCTACTCAGGAGGCTGAGGCAGGAGAATCACTTGAACCTGGGAGACGGAGGTTTCAGTGAGCCAAGATTCACTGCACTCCAGCCTGGGCAACAGAACAAGACTCCATCTCAAATGATAATAATAATAATAATGTCAGCCAATCAGAGCCCCAAGGCCTTTACAGACATTATATCATTTAATCCTCCTAAAAGGTCCAGTTTACAGTTAAGAAAACTAAGGCTTAGAGCAGTTAAAGGACTTGCCCAGGACCCCTTAGCTGGTCTTGGAGAGAGGGTGGGGCTTGGGTACCCTGACTCCAGAAACACCTCTCTAATCACGAAGGGCCTGCAGCCAGGGCAGGGGGTGCTGCTGTCCTAAGCCAGGCAAGTATAGGGAAGGGCTCCCTGCCCAGAGTCGACTCCTCCTTTTCCACATCATGGGTCGTGCTCATGACCTCCAGTTCCCCTGCGGAAGCCAACGGACCACCTTGGCTTGGCTCTGCAGGCAGAGACAGAGCTTTGACCATAACTTCTGCTTCAACACCCTGACCAGCACCACCTCCCCCACCCCCTTCTCTCCCATCAGGGCAAGGAGGATGAGGATAAGAGCTTCGACATGCCCCACTCGTGGGTGGAGCAGATTGAGATCTCCCCGGAAGGTATTTTCTATTTGTGTATTCACTTATCCTCTCCAGATCCAGTTCCTGGGCCTCCAGAGAGGTCTGCAACAGCGAGGCAGGGGGACACAGCAGGGAATGCCATGCCCCACATTTCCACCCTTCTCACCTTCAGCTGCACCCTCCCTCCCTCCCTCCCCCCTTCCTGCCACACGCACTCAGCTCTGACCCCGAGGGCCTGACGACCAGTCTGGCACACGGGGCGATGCAGTTCAGTGAGCATGTGTGGGATGATGGCGTGTAGGTGACAGCAAGGCCTGGAAACCCAGCCCATTCCCCTCTCACACTCTTCTACCCAGAGGAGGCCATGGGCAGTGCCCAGATGGTGCGGGGGGTCTCAGGACCGGAGAGGGGCAGGTAGAGAAGGCAGGAGGGCAGGGACTGTCATGCTCCATGTCAATATCTGCTGGTGCCCACCTAGGGAGCACCCAGACCTATGGGGAGGGCATGGGCCACTTCAACAGGGTGGGAAGTGCCAGAGAGGCTGTCATGGGAACCCAGAGGGGGGCGCACCCAGCCCAGCACTGGGGCTAGGGCCTGGGGATGGGTGAGCAGAAAGGGGTACCAGAAGTAGGCTAGGGGTCACCTGGGTGAAGTTTGGAAGGATCTGAAGGAGTCAGTCCAACAAGGGGAGGAGGGGATGACGGTGTTTCTGGCAGAGACCTGTACAAGCAAAGGCCTGGCAATGTGAGAGTGTGGTTGGCTGCAGGGCAGACCCTCTGATGGGGCTCAAATCCCATTCTTGGGTGGATCTGTGCTTCTGCCTGGCCTGAGAACCCCTCTAGGGCTGGAGCCACCCCTGGTGATTATTCTCCTCGGCCTCCCTGGATCAGGCTTGGGGCTGGAGGAGTTCAGTACACAGAGAACGGGCAGTGGATGGATGAATGGCTGGGCGGGGCTGGCCCTCCCTTCCCCCAAACTAGCAAGAAGAGACCACAGCTGACTGTGTCCACAGCATTTGAGACCCGCTGCCCGAACGGGAAGAAGGTGATTCAGTACAAGAGGGCAAAGCTGGAGAAGTGGGCCCCGTACCTCAATAGCAATGGCCTTGTGAGCCGCCTCACCACCTATGAGGACTTGCAGTGTAAGGGGGATTGCTCTGGACATGGGTCCAGGCCAGCCCAGGGGCGGGGGCGGCTTCTACTCTCTCTGGGGTCATTGCTGGCCTCTGTGTGCCTGGAATAAGGGGGGTTGAAGGCTAGGGGAGCTGGCCTGGCTGCGGCAAGTGTCCATCGGCCCCACAGGTACCAATATTTTGGAGATAAAGGAGTGGTACCAGAACCGGGAAGACATGCTGGAGCTGAAACACATAAACAAGACCACAGACCTGAAGACAGACTACTTCAAGCCTGGCCACCCCCAGGCTCTGCGCGGTGCGTGGCTCCCCTTTCCTGGGCCACCCAGGAGCCTGGGGTAGAGGCCTCACACACCCTGTGGCAGGTGGTATGTGGTGGCAGGAACCAGCATACATATTATACATGGGTTCTTGGGCAGCAAGCAGTAGAAGCTGCCCTGCCTCCCTCAGCAAACCCGATGTGTGGGAGGTCAGGGAAAGCTCAGAAATTCTAAGGAAATATAACAAATGCTCCTCCAGGAAAGCTAAAGGGGGCGCCACATACCCGTTCTGTGGTTGGAATCAGGCCGGAACCTCACCATGGGGTCACACGGTGGAGGCCACATTTAAAGGAGGCAGTGCCGGACACAGGGGCTCACACCTGTAATCCAAGCGCTTTGGGAGGCCAACATGGGCAGTTGAGCCCAGGGGTTCAAGACCAGCCTGGGCTATATGGTGAAACCCCATCTCTACAAAAAATATAAAAATTAGCCAGGCATGGTGGCATGTGCTTGTAATCCCAGCTACTCAGGAGACTAAGGCAGGAGAATCACTTGAACCCAGGAGGTCGAGGCTGCAGTGAGCCGAGATTATGCCACTGCACTCCAGCCTGGGTGACAGATAGAGATCCTGTCTCAAGAAAAAAAAAAAAATCCTGACCAAGAAATTTACAAAAGAAAAGCATAGGAGTAATATACATTTTTTTTAAATGATCAACCTCATTTGGAAGTTGATAATAAAAAAAAAGAAACTAATAAGGTCCCTAACCAATAAAGGACCATCTTATAACCCCCATGTTGGCAAAGATGAAAAAAATGGTCCTACTGGGTATGAACAAGTATGGGAGCAACAGTCACTCTGTGTCACTGTTGATGGGACAGCAGATTGGAACTTTTCTGGAGGACAGTTGGGCAAAATATTGATAATGACCATAAAACGTGTACGCTTTTGGCTGGGCACAGTGGCGCACACCTATAATCACAGCACTTTGGGTGGATCACCTGAGGTCAGGAGTTTGAGACCAGCCTGGCCAACATGGTGAAACCCCGTTTCTACTAAAAATACAAAAATTAGCCAGGTGTGGTGGCAGGTGCCTGTAGTCCCAGTTACTTGGGAGGCTGAGACAGGAGAGTCACTTGAACCCAGGTGGCGGAGACTGCGGTGAGCTGAGATCACACCACTGCACTCCAGCCTGGGTGACAGAGCGAGGCTGTGTCTCAAAAAAAAAAAAAAAAAAAAAGTACACTTTTGGGCCCAGCAATTCCACTGCTGAGAATTTATTCTTAGCAAATAATGGACAAGAACAAAAAATGCACGATGCAGATGTTCATCATGGTGTTGGTAATAATCAGAAAAAGTTGTACGCAACCTAAACACCCAGCAATAGGGGACTGGTTCATAGCTAACCTCATCCATAATGTGGGTCTGTCTTCTCCCTGGGCCTGGGGTTGGGCGACCAAGCCAGCAGCCATACTTCCTAGTGCTTATGAAGCTGTCTCCTCCCAACTCCCGCTCCCCACCCAGTGCACTCGTACAAGTCCATGCAACCTGAGATGGACCGTGTCATTGAGTTTTATGAAACGGCCCGTGTGGATGGCCTGATGAAGCGGGAGGAGACACCCAGGACAATGACAGAGTACTATCAAGGACGCCCAGACTTCCTCTCCTACCGCCATGCCAGCTTCGGACCCCGAGTCAAGAAGCTCACTCTGAGCAGTGCAGAGTCAAACCCCCGGCCCATTGTGGTAAGAGCTCGCGGGGGCTGGGGACAGGTCGCCCTCCTTCTCTGGCAGCTGATGTCACCTCTGAATGGTGAGAGCCCTGGCTCTGGGGTGGCATTAAGGCCTGAGACATATCCAAGGGCACCAATGATGAACCAAGCATTTTACCAAATGTATTAGTCTGTTCTCATGCTGCTTTGAAGAAATACCTGAGACTGGGTAATTTATAAAGAAAAGAAGTTTCCTTGACTCACAGTTCTGCATGGCTGGGGAGCCCTTAGGAAACTTAAAATCATGGCAGAAGGGTCCTTTTCACCTTCTGCCTAGTGAAAAGGGTCCTTTCCACCTTCTGCCTAGTGAAAAGGGTCCTTTTCACTAGAATCAGGGCAGCAGGAGAGAGAATAAGTGCTGAGCAAAGGGGAAGCTGCTTATAAAACCATCAGATCGTGGGAGAACTCACTCACTATCACGAGAATAGCATGGGGGAAACCACCTCCATGATTCAATTATCTCCACCTGGTCCCGCCCTTGACCTATGGGGATTACAGTTCAAGGTGAGATTTTGGTGGGGGGACACGAAACTAAACCATATCACCAAATGCGCCATCCTGGGGTTGTCTGGTGTCAGACTGTGCCCTCAGCCATGGGGCCAAGGATGTGTTACTTCCTTATTGTTATACAAAAATACACACTCATGACTAAACATTTGGAAAATATGTAAAAATGTAGAGAAAAGTAAACATATCTCAGAATGGCATCTCTCATATGTTGCCACGGATTATAGGTTTGGTTTTGAGAGTTTTTTCTAATGTAATTGAGATCGGGACCCAGGGATTAGAGTCCCTGTATTACCCACTTAACATGAAATTGTGCATTTTCCCCTTCATGTCATTACAAATTAGTTGGCAACTGTGTGTAATGGCAGCATGCCAAAGAAGCTCTTTCTAGCAGTAAGGGATGTCTAGCAATGGAGTAGGCTGCCTGGAGAGGTGGTGAGCTCCCCATCTCTTGAGGTAGGCAAGCAGAGTCTTGAAGGAGCTGAGGAGGGGCCCAGCACCATATGGGAGTGGAGTGGCCTGGCCCTGAGAACCCACGAAATCCATTGTCTGGCTAGGAGGGGCTATTCCACGTGAATCGCCAAACGACCCCAGACTCCAGTGTCCTGAACGTTCGTTGCTCCTGCCTGCGGGCATGCACAGAAATCTCCTCTCACACGCTCATCCTTTGCTCATCCTTTGCATGTTCTGGCCTCCCAGAAAATCACAGAGCGGTTCTTCCGCAACCCAGCGAAGCCCGCGGAGGAGGACGTGGCAGAGCGCGTGTTTCTGGTCGCGGAGGAGCGCATCCAGCTGCGCTACCACTGCCGTGAGGACCACATCACGGCCTCCAAGCGCGAGTTCCTGCGGCGCACCGAGGTGGACAGCAAAGGCAACAAGATCATCATGACGCCCGACATGTGCATCAGCTTCGAGGTGGGCCTGGGGGCCACGGCGGGCAGGGGTCGGCTGCAGGAGGAACCGGGGCTCTCTGTCTTATTCCAGCCACTTGGGAGAACCAGGATGGGCGCTGGTGAATCCCGGCGAGGAAATTCATCTTTGCTCTTTGGGAAAACCAAAAGTTCCCATCTGGGGACCCTTCTCTTTGAGCTCCTCTGAAAATCTTCCTTTTCCACCAAAAAAGCGAACTCAGCAGGCTAAGACGACTCTGCAGTCCTGGTCAGGGCAAACCTCAGATCCTAGGGAGGCTCTGTGGGAGGGGAAGAGTCTCACTACCTCTGAGGGGCTAGCTTTCCTAGTCAAACGCTCACTCTCCCGGCACAGTCCCCAGCTTTTCTGAGTCTTCAGTTCCTCTTTTATTATTATCTGTATTTTTATAAGTGAGAAAATTAAGGCTCAGAGAGGTTTAGCAACTTGCTCGAGGTCACACAGCTGGAAAGTGGCAGGGGTAGATTTGAACCCAGGTGGTCCTATGCCCCGATCATGGCAGCCTCTCTGTGTTACTAAGGTGGTTGTTGTCCCAGGTGGAGCCCATGGAGCACACCAAGAAGCTGCTCTACCAGTACGAGGCCATGATGCACCTGAAGAGGGAGGAGAAGCTGTCCAGACATCAGGTCTGGGAGTCAGAGCTGGAGGTAGGGTCCTGTGGGAGAGTGAGCAGGTGGGCGGTATCTTTGTTTTTGAGATAGGGTCTCGCTCTATAACCCAGGCTGGAATGCAGTGGCGCAATTATGGCTCTACATCCCGGGCTCAGGTGGTCCTCCCACCTCATCCTCCCAGGTAACTGGGACCACTAGCGCACACCACCATGCCTGGCTAATTTCTTGTTTTTGTTTTTGTTTTTTAACAGATGGGGTTTTTCCATTTTGCCCAGGCTGGTCTCAAACTCCTGAATTCATGCAATCTGCCCTCCTTGGCTTCCCAAAGTGCTGGGGTTACAGGAGTGGAGGAGGGGTGTCTCCATCACGCCCTCCAACACTTCTCATTTCAGGTGCTGGAGATTCTGAAGCTTCGAGAGGAAGAGGAGGCGGCGCACACACTGACCATCTCCATCTATGACACCAAGCGGAATGAGAAGAGCAAGGAATATCGGGAGGCCATGGTCAGTCCCAATCCCTTCTCCAGGCCCCAGCTTTTCCTAGACCCCCCTGGTCTCCAGGGTGGTGGGGACCATGAGGGATTCTGCTGAGAAACCCTCTGTGGGGGATACGGTTATTGATACCATGCGGTCATCCTTGCTGCTGAACTGACCATTTCTATGGTTCATCCCAAAGAGTACTTGGGATTTGGGCAAGGTTTCCCCCCATCCCCAGGGGCTGTAGCCAAGCCAAGGCCTGTGGTTGGGAAAAGAATTAAAATTATGTGCCCACCTCTACTCAGGGCTCCCACTGAGGTTGCACCCTGGGCCAGTGGCCCCAGTGAGCTACCTCTGGCTCCAGGCCTGAGCTCTCCTGCTCTCCAGCACAGGGAGGGCATTCAGGTTACACCTTCAGGTTGCAAGGCCCCGCCTGGTTTTCAGGGCCGGCTTCTGAATCCCTTTCACCAACCAAGTTGAGATTTTAGTTTGGGGGTCGTGAGGCAGGATGGGCATCAGATGACTGTTCTCAGATCCCAGGGGAGGGTGTCAGCCCCCACGTCTCCAACTTCACTGCCCCCTGTCTGCAGATGGAGGACACAGGCCCCAGGGTGGAAAAGAAAAGTGAAGGGAGTTACTGGCAGTTTTTAACTAACATCGTTAATAACCACTACCGTTGACTGAATAAGCATCTACTATGGATTGTCAGGCATCAGGCTGCGTGCTTTACAGACATGATCCTGTCAGATCCTCAGATCCTCAGAGAAGGAAACCAAAGCTCAGGTAGTGAGATACAAATTCATGTAAGAAAAAAAGAGTTGGCTGTCACCAGTAAACACAGGTCCAGAGACCAGCATGTGGGCCCTTCTAAGGCCCATCTTGGAGGCGCCATGCACTGGAACCTGGCTGTGAGGTCTGGCTTTGTGCTGGCACACTGCTGATGCAGAGCTGGTGGAGAGGTCTCTGTAGTTCCTGCTGATCCAGCTATCTGCCCCTCACCTTTACAGGAGCGCATGATGCACGAAGAGCACCTGCGGCAGGTGGAGACCCAGCTGGACTACCTGGCCCCATTCCTGGCCCAGCTCCCGCCAGGAGAGAAACTAACATGCTGGCAGGCGGTGCGCCTCAAGGATGAGTGCCTCAGCGACTTCAAGCAGCGGCTCATCAACAAGGCCAACCTCATCCAGGCCCGCTTTGAGAAGGTGCCACCAGGGCCTTTGTTGGGGAGGGGGGGATCTCAGCATCTGCATCCAGGAAATGGGCCCACGGCTGTCCGCCCACTACCTCACAGGCTTGTGAGGGCCTGATGACGGGATGAATATGTCAATGCTTGGGGTTTCCAAATGACTGAGTTGTTCCTCCTCACACTTGTTTATCGGATAGATGAATCGATAGGGGGATGGATGGATGTAGGTATGGATAGGTGGGTGGGTGGGTGGGTGGATGGATGGATGGATAGATGGGTGGATGAATGCATGGGTAGATGGATGAATAGATAGATGGGTGGGTGGATTGATGGGTAGATAGAGGGATGGGTGGGTGCATGAACAGATGGGTGGGTGGATGGGTGGATAAATGGATGGATAGATGGATGGGAGGATGAATGGATGGGTGAGTAGATAGATAGGTGTATGGGTATAGGTATGGATAGGTGGGTGGATGGATGGGTGGGTGGGTGAGTGAGTGAGTGGATGGATGAGTGGGTAGGTGGATGGATGAGTGGGTGGATGGATGAGTGGGTGGGTAGATGGATGAATGGATGGATGGGTGGATGGATGAATGGATGAGTGGGTGGGTAGATGGATGAATGGATGGATGGGTGGATGGATGAATGGATGAGTGGGTGGGTGGGTGGATAGATGAGTGGGTGGGTAGATGGGTGAATGGATGGATGGGTGGATGGATGAATGGATGAGTGAGTGGGTGGATGGATGGATGAGTGGGTGGATGGATGGATGGGTGGATGAGTGAGTGAGTGAGTGGGCAGATGGATGAATGGGTGAGTGGATGGATGAGTGGGCGGGTGGATGGATGAATGGATGGATGGGTGGATAGATGGATGGATGGGTGGGTGGATGAGTGAGTGGGTGGGTGGATGGATGAGTGGGTGGGTGGATGGATGAGTGGGTGGGTGGATGGATGGATGGATGGGTGAGTGAGTGGGTGGGTGGATGGATGAGTGGGTGGGTGGATGGATGAGTGGGTGGGTGGATGGATGGATGGGTGAGTGAGTGGGTGGGTGGATGGATGAGTGGGTGGATGGGGTGGGTGGGTGGATGGATGAATGGATGGGTGGGTGGGTGGATGGATGGATGGATGGATGGATGATGGATGGATGGGTGAGTGGGTGGGTGGATGAGTGAGTGAGCAGGTGGGTGGATGGATGAGTGGGTGGGTGGGTGGATGGGTGGATGGATGGATGAGTGAGTAGGTGGGTGGATGGACGAGTGGGTGGGTGGATGGACGAATGGATGGATGGGTGGATGGATGGATGGATGAATGGATGGGTGGATGAGTGAGTGAGTAGGTGGGTGGATGGATGAGTGGGTGGGTGGATGGGTGGGTGGGTGGATGGATGGATGGATGGGCGAGTGGATAGATGGACGGTTGGATGGGCGAGTGGATAGATGGACAGTTGGATGGATGAGTGGAAGGACGGATGGACGGATGGATGGATGGATGGATGATGGATGGATGGGTGAGTGGGTGGGTGGATGAGTGAGTGAGCGGGTGGGTGGATGGATGAGTGGGTGGGTGGGTGGATGGATGGATGGATGGATGAGTAGGTGGGTGGATGGAAGAGTGGGTGAGTGGATGGATGAATGGATGGATGGGTGGATGGATGGATGGATGAATGGATGGGTGGATGAGTGAGTGAGTAGGTGGGTGGATGGATGAGTGGGTGGGTGGATGGGTGGGTGGGTGGATGGATGGATGGATGGATGGGCGAGTGGATAGATGGACGGTTGGATGGGCGAGTGGATAGATGGACGGTTGGATGGATGAGTGGAAGGACGGATGGACGGATGGATGGGCAGGGATGGGTGGAGGGATGGGCAGAGGAATAGATGGGCAGATGGCTGGGTAGACAGAGAGATGGTACACTGTAACAACTCCTAGTCCTTGACCCATTTTTGTTGGTCAGGCACACACCATGTAGTTCCCGTGCACTACTAAGATTATGTCACTTAATCTTCACAAGGAGCTCTACAAGGGGAGGGGGGAGTACAATGACCCTCCTTTTGTAGACAAGAAATTGCAGGTTCTGAAAATGCCAGTAACTTGTCCAGAGCTACATGGCTCTCTCAGTCTTGCCCCGTTCTGATCTCATGGACATGACATCCCTATAAACATGACCCCACTGGCTCCCACCCAAGATATTTTGTGGCCCCTGCCTCTGTGGCAGGTATGGATAGGTGGCTTGTGTGAGTGGGGACACTGGGGCCAACCGTCATGGTGCTGTCTAGTGACCCATGGGATTGCAGCCTGCAGCCTGGGTGAAGGTCAGCCTTGTCAGTCCTCCTTCTCTGTCTGCCCTATGACCACAGGAGACCCAGGAGCTGCAAAAGAAGCAGCAGTGGTACCAGGAGAACCAGGTGACGCTGACACCCGAGGATGAAGACCTGTACCTGAGTTACTGCTCTCAGGCCATGTTCCGCATCCGCATCCTGGAGCAGCGCCTCAATCGGTGAGCAGGCAGGGCAGGTGGAGAGAACCCACTGGGAGGCTGGACCACCAGCTTTGTAACCCCTCACCCTCTTTCCTTGCCTCTCTGACTTCAGACACAAGGAACTGGCCCCACTGAAGTACCTGGCTCTGGAGGAAAAGCTCTACAAGGACCCACGCCTGGGGGAGCTCCAGAAAATATTCGCTTGATGTCCCTCCTGGGGCCTCAGCCAGAGCTGCCAGAGAAAGGAAACCTCTTCCCGCAGCCTGGCTCCTGTGTTCCCTCTATCCAGCCAATGCCTGTTTACACAGACACCTGGCCTCACTGCCAGCCCACCTCCCCTACAGCCCTGTTTGTTCCTGCTTCTCATGATTTTCCTGTAAATAAACACACTCTTAATTTGCCATTTGTGCCTTGCGCTTCACAAGCTCCAGCAGCAGCCTTTCTCTTCTTCTGTTATCTATAGCCTGGGACCACCCCCTTCCTCCCCTTGGCCTGTCGTTTGCTTCCTGTCCTTCTCTCCGTTGGAATGTCAGGTCTTCACAGCACCTCTGCAGATGGTCCCACAGCCATCTGCAAACAACTGGTTATATCTCAATGTGACTAGGGTGGCCCACCTCACCAAGTGGGATGGGGAAGGCTAAGATGCATGCCCCAGAATTTGAGGACTGAATCCCAGCTCCTCCTCTTACCAGATACCACTTACCCATCTGTGGAATGGGGTAGCATTGTTGCATTAAATAAGACTTATGGCCAGGTGTGGTGGCTCACACCTGTAATCCCAACATTTAGGGAGGCTGAGGCAGGAGGATCACTTGATCCCAGGAGTTTGAGACCAGCCTGGGCAACATAATAAGACCCCATCTCTAAAAAAAAAAAAAAACAAAGAGCCAGGCATGGTGGCATGAGCCTGTAGTCCCAGCTACTCAGGAGGCTGAGGTAGGAGGATCACTTTCACCTAGGAAGTCAAGGCTGCAGTGAGCCATGATTGCACCACTGCACTTCAGCCTAAGCAACAGAGCAAAACCCTGTCTCAAAAAAAAGAAAAAAAAGACATAAATTATAAAGCAGGGAGGCTGGGAATGGCACATAGAAAGCAGTCATTAAATGTTAGCTTACAAAATAGCCAAAAAACACATGAAATGGTTGTCAAATTCATGAGTCATCTGGCAAATGAAATGTCACAACACCCTCCGGTATGAAAAAAATAAAAAGTACTGGTGACGATGAGAAACAACTGGAACTCCCAAATAGCCTTCCTAGTGAAAGTATAAATCAGTACAACCATTTTGGAAAACTGCTTGGCATTATCTATTAAAGCTAAACTAAAGCCCAACAATTCTACTCTTAGGTTCTACTCCAATCCATCATTCATCAAGTAAGAATGATGAACAACTCAACCGAAATGTAGATAGATAGTTATCTGCTAAAAGGCATGTGCTAGAACTTTCATAGCAGCATTATTGATAATAGCACCATACTTGGAAGTTACCCAAATGCCCATCAAGAGCAGAATGGATACATAAATTGTGGTCTTCAGATATTTTGGGTTGTCTTTAACTGCTTAGGGAGAACTGCTTAGGGAGAATGCTACTGGCATCTAGTGCATACAGGCCAGGGATGCTGCTAAACATTCTACAATGCCCAGAACAGCCCCCCACAGCAAATAATTATCTAGGTCTAAATGCCAATAATGTTGAGGTTATAGAGTATATTAGTCTGTTTTCACACTGCTGATTAAGACATACTCAAGACTGGGTAATTTGTAAAGAAAAAGAGGTTTAATGGACTCACAGTTCCACACGGCTGGGGAGGCCCCACAATCATGGCAGAAGGCCAAAGGCACATCTTACATGGTGGCAGACAAGAAAGAATGAGAACCAAGCAAAAAGGAAAATCCCTTATAAAATCATCAGCTCTCGTGAGACTAATTCACTACCATGAGAACAGTATGTGGGAAACCCCTCCCATGATTCAGTTATCTCCCACTGGGTCCCTCCCACAATATGTGGGAATTATGGGAGCTACAATTCACAAGATGAGATTTGGGTGGGGATACAGCCAAACCATATCATAGAGCAATGAAAATGAATGAACTGCAACACAACTATATGGAATGATATGGTCAAACTGCCTAAGTATAATGTCAAAAGATTCAAGACACAAAAGTACATACTCTATTATTCCATTTATGGAAAGAACAAAAATAAGGAAAATTAATTGGTGATATTAGAAGTCAGGACAACCGTCACTCTTGGAGTGTGAGGGTTAGTGAATGGATGTGAGCATGGAGCCCTGGGAGGGGAGGTTCTGGTTTCTAGTCACGTTCTGCTTTTTGACCTGGGTGTGTTCGGTTTGTAAAAATTCATCAACCTTGTGCACTTACAATGTGTCCTCTGGAGTGTTTTTGACTGCTTGTTGTCATGAATCTAATCAAGCCTTTAGCCCTAACTTAAGAAATTCAAGGGAAGAAATGCATTTAAGAAGAACGTCCATCTAACAAGAACTTCAGGAAATTCAGGTAAATGATACTAAAAGGAAACATTCCTAACGTGGGACAATCTAGGTAAATGGCCTGATCTCTTCAAAAGATCGATGTCATAAAAATAAAAGTTTGGGGACAGAAATGGAAAGAACTTAAGAGTCAAGTGTGGTGAATACTGATTGGTTCTTAGTTAGAAAAAAAAAGTCCTAAAAGGTTTTTGGGATGACTGGGGACATACGAATATGGACTGGTTGTTACAGAATTAAATTTTCTTAGCAGTGGTGATAACAATGGTTATTGTAGAATAAGGGCTTTATTTTTATTTTTTGAAATGGATCTCACTCTGTCGCCCAGGCTGGAGTACAGTGGCCCCATCCCAGCTCACCGCAACCTCTGCTTCCCAGTTTCAAGTGATTCTCCTGCCTCAGCCTCCCCAGTAGCTAGGATTATAGGCACGTGCGCCACCACGCCCGGCTAATTTTTGTATTTTTTTGTAGAGACGGGGTTTCACCATGTTGGCCAGGTTGGTCTCGGACTCCTGACCTCAGGTGATCCGCCCGCCTTGGCCTCCCAAAGTGCTGGGATTGCAGGCGTGAGCCACCGCGCCTGGCCAAGGGCCTTATTTTTAAGAGATACATGCTCAGTATTTGGTGTTGGGGTGAAATGTCATATCTACAATTTTCAAATGGTTCCGAAAAGACACACAGACGAAGCAAATATGGCAAACTGTTAACAAGTACTGGAATCTACGTGGTATCATTATATTGTCTTTTAAAGTTTTCTCTGTTTAGTTTTCTTTTTATAATACAAAATTAAGGGGAACTGCAGGCTAGACAGTTTTGATCCGATGTTATTCTGCTAATCTTTTAAAGGTGTCTTGCGGTGACTCACGCCTGTAATCCCAGCACTTCGGGAGGCTGGGGCGGGTGGATCACCTAAGGTCAGGAGTTCAAGACCAGCCTGGCCAAAATGGAGAAACCCCGTCTCTACTAAAAATATAAAAACTAGCCTTAGCCCGTCGTGGTGGCGGGCGCCTGTGGTTCCAGCTACCCAGGAGGCTGAAGCAGGAGAATCTGAAGCAGAAGGCTGAAGCAGAAGGCAGAGTGGGGACTCCCCCACGCTTTGGCTTTCAGAACAAGGGTTCGAATTCTGGGGCTATTACTTTCTGACCGTGTGGTTTTCTGCAAGCATCTTAACCCGGGCCTCAGTTTCCTCATCTGTAAATGGGAACAGGAATTCCTACCTCTTATGGTTGTACTGGGCGTTATGTGAGCCCAAGGAGCCCTGACCTGCGGTGAGAGGCTGGAGGCCGAAGGGCAAGGTTCGAGGGGCTCTGGGTGCCTGGGACAACCTCTGGGCAACAGGGAGAGGCGGCTGCGGGGCCAAGTCCCTCCTAAGCGGCCACGCGAGAGGCCCTGAGTCGAGAAGGGTTACGGCGCTTCCCAGAGCCCACCCCGCCCAACGTGTCACAAATAAAGCTGGCCTTTCTCCGATTCCCTGATTGCAGCCATTCAGGGAGCAGCCCCTTGCCCACGCATCCATTAGTCGAGGCGGTGGCTGCGTGTGCAGTGCTACAGGGTTCAGCGCCTGCCTCGGCTCCGGAATCAGGCTGTTTCCTTCTAGACCTCCCATGGGGGATTCAAGCCGGCGTCCGGGTCAAAGAACAGGGACAAAGTCCTCCTGCCACGGGGGACCATCTGCAGGCAAAGTGAAGAATGAGGAGCTTCGGCAAAATGCCGACTAAGGCCTCCTTAGGTTTTGCCCCACTCCAAGATGGAAGGCCTGAGGCTTCACACTGCCCCCGAAGTTCCTTTCCCATTGGCTATCTGGGAATTGAGTTTTCCAATAATGCGGACGCTGATTGGTCAATCCAGGACGGTTGCTCAAGCCATTGGCGCAGCCGCCATTGGAGGGCGGCTCTCAAAAGTTTTCAGACACAAATTAGGTTCGAGGGAGGAAACGGAGAGGAAAGGGAAAACTTGAGACGGAGGCGGGACTAAGGAAACGGCAGCTTGCATTGGTTTATTAGAGGCCAAGGGGCGGCTCTTGAACGTTCCTTCCTCTTGATTAGTCCTATTTAGGAAAAGAGGGCGGGTACTGAGGAAAAGCGGCAGAAGCGCCTGCTTCCATTGGTCAGTCCTGGCAGGAGGCGGAGCACCCGCGGCAGCTGATTGGTGCGGGAGGCAAGGTGGGCGGGGCTCTGAGCCGGAGGTTTTGTTGTGAGGGTCGGTTGTCAAGCAGCGGCCAATCAAGGCAGGGGATGGAGGCAAGTGGGGGTCGCGCCTGGAGCGGAGCCTCGGCCTCCGGAGCCGCAGCTGCAGGTGGAGTGGGCAAGGGGACGAGGTGGCGAGGGGACGGTGGGCCCTGGGCTGGGCCGAGCCAGGCGGGGCTGGCTGGGCTTGCGGGCAGAGAGCTCTGAGCGTGGGGAGGCTAGAGCCCGTACTCCGCAAGCAGAGGGTTGGGAGGATCAGCCGTGGCCGAGGGACCTGCCCCCGCCCCCGGACGAGAGGGGTCGGGGTGGAGGCCGGAGGGGGCAAAACCAGGGAGGCCGGAAGCAGAGCTGGGGGTCTGCAGAAGGACAGGTAATGAATAGGGAGAAGAGAAGTAGGAGAATGAATGAATGGGAGACCCCGCGAGCATATGGGAAAGGGCAGTAACGGGAGTCTGGCGAGGCAGGGGCCACGTGAGGGATATCGGGAGACAGGATGTGCATAAGTGGGAGACTCAGGGGGCAGGGAGAAAAGGGGGTGTGAACGGAGGACTAGAGAGGCAGACCCGGGGACCCAGGAGAAAGGGGACGGAGGGGAGCGGGCTCATGGGAAAGAGGTGAAGTGGCTGTGGGAAGGAGGTGGGAGGCTCCATGAGGAGGCCTTTTAGAGTTGAAGAGTCATAGCCACTTACGCCCAGACTGGAGGCCTAGTTCCTAGCTCTGTCCTTGGGAATCGCAGGGAGCAGGAGCGGTTCCCTTGCCAGGAGCTGGGGAATTGGACCATCAGGGTCGTCTTCGAGATTCTTTCCAAGGAGGACTTCAGTGGCCGTCTCTGGGATGCCTTTCCTAGGCCCCTAAGCTTAGCTTCTGACTCCGCTCTCCCACATCCCACACGTCAGACAAAAACAACGACTCGCAGGAAATCTATGTGAATTGCAGACACGTGGTCTTCTCCGCCCCACTGCGGCTGCTGCACTTTAGGCAGCCAGCATCCCGGAACAGAGCTGCAGCTCATTATCCTGGCCTCTGGGAGGAGTTTCTTTTTCCTTACGTTCCAAATCACCCTACCTGAGGTGCCCCCTCTGCAGATTCCCAAACCTAATTTGCAGTGCAGCTTCTGACTCTGGTGGCTTTGGTGGGTGTCAGTCTTTATCAAGTGGTCTTGGTGATCCAGGGAGCAACAGCTCTTACCAAGCATTTTCTAACATGACGTCACCTCTTGTTTGTATTGCAGCCCTGTATTGAGCTGAGATGGCTCGAGCCTAACATTCCATGATCCAGGATCGTGACAGATGTGCACAGGCTGCTGCTGTTGCTGCTGTGGGTAATTTGGAACCACGAGGCACCCCAGGGCCAGAAGACGAGGCATTCTGTCTGCCTGGATGTGTGGGAACTCTCTGCCAACTTGATTGGTGGATCTGGGGGGGGATCCACCCCCACCCCACGAGGAAAGCACAGTTTATTTTGTGGGTGGGGCTTCAGGTGCCAGCCAGCTGAAGGATGGCCACCCCTGTGGTCACCAAGACAGCCTGGAAGTTGCGTGAGTGGTTTTCATTTTTCTTTATCACCCCATTTATTCTGTTAGCGGCTTGTTGCTGGGAGGCCTGAACCCACAGCTTTGTTTCCTGTTCTTGGCACAGGAGGAGACTCCTAGACTTGGGAGTAAGATAGACCATTATGTAAATCATGACTGTGGCACTTCTTAGCTGGGTGACACTGGGCAGGTGACTTAACCTCTCTGAGGCTCAGTTTTCTTATATGTACAATGAGATGACGCCTGCATTCTATGGTTGCTGTGAAATTCAAGTGACAGGATGAACCCATCCTAAAGCACTTAGCACAGCATTTCCAGTTAGGCTGACAGTGGGGTGAGAAATCCTGAAAGATGTTCACAGCATTCTCAGACATCTCACAAGTCAAACTTCCCCAGTCAGATAAAAGCATCTTGGGCCTGGGATGGGGGAAGGAGTGGGAGCGAGGAGGGGCGGGCAGAGGGATGCAGACAGGGCTCGGATTGTAACTGATGGGCACTGTCCACTCCCACCATTGCCCTATACAAGTGGATCTGGACTCTTTCATCTGAAGACTTCATACTTTAAGAATTATTGAGGACCCCAGAGTGCTTTTGTTTGTTGGAGTTATATATCTGTCAGTATTTACCACGTTAGAAGTTAATACTGAGACATTTTCAAACAAGAGTATATAATCAAATAGGCCTCTAGTGATGTTCTGGGAAACTCCACCATATGCTTGAGAGCAAATGAGAGTGCAAAAGGCAGATGCCATCTTAGTGTTATTGTGAAAATCCTTTTGTCTTCTCAGACCCCCCGAAAGGATCTTGAGGATCCCAAGCATCCCCAGATCATATTTTGAGAATTCCCCTACACATTGGCACCTTGGTGGGCCCTGCCCCACCTATTGTAACTGGTTGGCATAGCTTTTGTGTGCTCCACCTGGTCACTGTCTGCTGCCAGCTGTCCCTGGGCTGGTTTTCAGGAGCTGGGACAAGACTCCACACTTTTTTTTTTTTTTGAGACAGAGTCTCACTGTCACCCAGGCTGGAGTACAGTGGTGCAATCTCAGCTCACTGCAACCTCTGCTTCCCGGGTTCATGCGATTCTCGTGCCTCAGCCTCCCGAGTAGCTGGGATCACAGGCACCCGCCACCACACCCGGCTAATTTTTGTATTTTTAGTAGAGACGGGGTTTCACCATGTTGGCCAGACTCGTCTCGAACCCCTGACCTCAGGTGATCCACGTGCCTCAGCCTCCCAAAGTGCTGGGATGACAGGCATGAGCCACCATGCCTGGCCAAGACTCCACACTTTTTAACCATGAATTTAACCATAAGACTCTGGGCAAAGCTCTTTGCAGGGCCTCTGTTTCCTTGTTTGTAAAGTGAGAGGTTTGGGCCATTTTCATGTTGTTCCCCAAAACTCTAGGGCTCTGGGAGAACCCTGTTATGGTTCCCCAAGGAAGGCACACTTTGGTCAGAGTGGCTTTGTAATTATTGGGATTACGTATTCATCCCTTCGACAGCTGGCCTTTCCCCAGAGCTAGGCACTGGGGAGCCACTGGGGGACAAAGTAGTCAAGGTCTCTGTACAGCGGGAGCTCAGAGCCTGGGGAGAGCAACAGGCAGGAACTGGATAACCGTATCCCTCTGTGTCTCCTCTAGTTGCAAGCTGGTGCCTGTGCTTTGAATCAGTTAGCTGGGGGGTAGGGGTAGGGGTGGGGTGGGAATGCTGCAGGCTGCATGAACAGCAAGTGCAAAGGCCCTGAGGCAGGAGGCTCAGTGTATTGGAAGGACTCAAGGGAGGCCATGGGCAGTGGCACAGCAGCAGGAGGAATGTGGGGCCGCACGGACCTACTGAGTTCTCAGGACCCCAGCCCTCCTGAGGCTGCCGTGCTTTATCATAAAGGCAAGGCCAAGCCATCAGTGTGTGCGAGCAGGAGGTAATGAGATCAGGCGTATTGGGCATCTGCTGCTGCTGCTGATTTCATGTGCACGGTGGTGTCCGTGGGAATCAACTCTGAAGAGCCCAGGGCCACGTGACCTCTGGCTCCTTGTGGCTCCAGGGTCTGGTGAGGATCAGAGGTGCGTGGCCCACATGAGGTCGTTGAAACCTAGTACTTTGTATCTTGCATTTGGGATGCTGATCCTCAGCCCCTCTGGCCACGCCGCACCATGTTCCCCAGCTTTGGCTGGATGTGGGGCCCAGGTTGTACTCCCAGAGCTTGGCCTGCCAGTAGACACTGAGGATTTTTATTTTTTATTTTTGGTATGAAAATCAAGTATTCGGCCTGGGCTGTTGGTTGCTGTCCAACAAGCCAGGATGAAGGAGGAGCTCTTGGGGTGGTGCCCCGTGCCTCCTTTGCAGGTGCCTGTGCTGTGTCCCTGCCCCTCTGCCCTCCCTCTGTGGGCTCCAGTCAGTCCCTGGTCAGGCTGCTTAGAGGGGAGTGATGTGGGCTCCTCCAGAAGGGCCCAACTTCTAAATCTTTCTCACTCCAAAGTCTGCGGTTTTGCCAGCTCAGTGTCCCGCCCCCACCACCATCTGATTATACTGGGGCATATTTCGTGCAAGGCCTAGAACAGGCACCCAGGAAATACTGATATTATGAATGAATGCCCCTGACTCCAGGGGCAGCAGTCCTGAGGCCCAGTGAGGTGGGGCCCAGCCAGACACTTTCCCTGGGAGGAGTGAGGGCCAGGGGACAGACAGAGCCCTCCAGGTAGGCCAGGGGGAGCGAGCAGTGCCTCCACGGAGAGGACACCAGGCTCGGGCACGGAATGCCAGGGAGAAGGTGCTTTGCCCTCTTTCTGGGTCAGGTGGAAACCTTGAACAGACACGTCTGTGGCTGGAATTCCTCAGGTTTCTGTCCCGACAGTGTCCAGAGGACAGAAGGCTCTCATCGAGACGGGACTAAAGTGGGGCCCAGCTCCCTGGGATCCCCATGGCGAACTCCCAGCGCCCTGGCCCAGGTTTGGGCCCACAGGGAACCCTCGCCCTTGCTGGCGCTGCTGCCTGTGCTGGCTCTGCCCCGACCGGCCCAGGAGGCAGGGTGTCATCAGTGAGATTCAGCCTGCGACTTGTCCCCTGGGTATTCCTGGTGGCCCCTTGGAGCCCAGGTTTCTGGCAAGCAGCTTCCCTGGGCCCAGTTTCCCAACCTCCTTGTGGTCTGAAGCCCGCAGCAGAGACACCCAGGCAGGGTGGAGTCGGAGCTGGGGTGCAGGAGGGGCCTCTGTGGAGCGCCGTGGCTCCAACACCCTTTTCCTTGGCGTCACCCACGCTGGCCTTCCGGGTGCCTCGGGGCGTCAGCACCTTGGGGTTTTCCCCTGGCCTGTGTGGGGAGAACTGTCTTTTTTCTCCCTTCTTTCCAGGAGGAGCTCATGCAGGGATGGGTTCTGAGGCCCGGGCCGCCTCTTGGTTCCCTGCCTGTGCTTTGCTCCCTGCGGAGTCCTCCGAGGCTCCTGTCTGCCATCTCCACGGACCAGGCCAGGGCCTTGGGCTGTCTGCACAGGCTCCTCCTCTGTGTGGTCAGCCCTCACCCCCACCCCAGCTGCTCAGTCTGTTGCCTCCTGCCCCCTCCTCATGAAGCCCACCCTCTGGTGCCCGCCCAGGCCCCCATGCCCACTCTCTCATGGTGACTAGCCCCGAGCCTGCCCAATGTCACGGAGCCCTCGCCTGCTACTAAGCAGCACGTAGGCGCGCTCTGAGGGAGTCCTCAGCATCAGGTGTGAGCAGACACCACGGGCATCCCCACTTTCCAGACGAGGAGCCAGGCCCTCAGAGGACAAGTGACCTAGTAGCCAAGGCCACGCAATAGCAGATCACAGACCTCAGACCAGAACCTGATCCGTGATTGTGAATCTGAGCCGAAGCCCTGTGCAGGCTTACCTGGGGGCAGCTTGTCTAGAGGTGACTTCGGTTGTTCTTAAAGTGTGTTCTCCAAAGCAGGGTTTGTATGTACACACAAGCAGCAGCTGAGAGGTGTGTAGGCAGTGCATGGGTCAATTTTTTTTATTTCAATAATTGTTTTTCTTTTTGTATCATAGAAAGAGTATCATGAGTATATCAAACTTGTAATTTCATGGACATTGCTTAAGCCCAAGCTAATAAAAATAGCAAGTCAATTTTAAAAATTGCGTATAACTAGTCAATATTACCAGGTGATATGCAGAAACAGGAAGAAAATCGTGAAGTCTAAAGGTAGGAAAGACAGGCATGATGAAAGTTGAGAAACAGTGATTTCCGTCTCAGGCCCATGCCCTGCCCTGTCTGCTGGTCCTGCAGCTCATGGTGGACACCAAAGGGGGAGCTGAAGGAGGCAGATCCTTCCACTGGGCTTCAGGTTCCAAAGCGGGTAGCCGAGCAGGGTCACCCCTCCTTCACAAGGCCCCATCGGGCCGCCCTGATGGCCTCTCCCTCTCCTTCCCTGTGTAGAAGAGATCGTCGCGCATGCCAGCAACGTGTCCTCACTGGTGCTGGGCAAAGCCTCCGGGCGGCTGCTGGCTACAGGCGGGGATGACTGCCGCGTCAACCTGTGGTCCATCAACAAGCCCAACTGCATCATGGTGAGCCCCGACAGCTGGCGGGGGGTCAGGACAAGGGCCTGGGGAGGGGACGGGGACAGGGGTTGGAGGCTGAAGAGTGAGCAGCTTCTCAGACTCTCTTGAGCCCAGGGCCCCCTATCCGCTGGGGCCCAGCTCAGGGGTGGAGGGGGCGTGGTGGGGACACCATCAGTGCTTCCCCCAGCTGTCTGCTCAGTGAGGCCCAGGACAGCCCAGCATGGCTGGGACAGTGGCCAGCCCTCAGGAGCGAGGGAGTCACCTGCCTGTGGTACTATTAAGAACTCCAGGCAGGCTGCGTGAGAAGATTAAAATAAGCCCTGGGCCTGTGGTTGAGCCAAAAGACTTGTACCCCTCCCCTCCCACCTGCCCATCTGCCTGCCTGGCAGCAACATGTGGGCGTTTATTTTAATTCATTCCCAGCCTTCATTCCCCAATGAGGATTTGAGGGGACCTGGCTGGAGCTGGTTAGGGAGCTAGTTCTTAAATAGCATCTCCCCACTATTTATGCAGCTATATGTTCAATGCTGGAAACTGTTTTCCAAATAGGAGTGCATAAAGGAGAAAACACAAAATTAACTACATATAGTTCCGTTATCCAAAGGCCACCACAGTTGGTGTTTTGGTGTGAGTCCTTCTAGATGCTGAGACAGATACATATACGTGTACATGCACGTAAGTGCACACTTGTACATGCATGTACACATGTATACACACAAATACTCATACAAGCACACACACATAAATAAAAATACACTGCCACTCTTGTGCAGCCTGGTTTTTAAAAATAACAATGTTGTAAGGATTTGCCTGTGTCAACAAGTATTCTTTTACAACATAATTTTGAATGGCTTAATGGTGTTCCATTGTAGGGATGAGCCGTAATTAGCTTAGCCACACCCTGTTATCAGCAGAGAGGTTGTTTCCGGCTTTTTTTGGCTCTGCTAAAGCACCCTGTGGTGAACATCCTCAGCCACCTAGATCCTTGAGCAGATCCGTGATCACTGCATTCAATCCAAGGGTGTGTGCTTTTGTTAAAGCTTTCAAAACAGATTGCCAAATTGCCCCCCAGAAATCATTTTACATTCTCACCAGCAGCATCGGAACCTGCCCTTTCCTCCCTGCCCCAACCCCCATCCCTTGCCAACCAGGGAGTATCATTGTTGTGACTCTTGGTGAAATAAAGATGAAGAGGAATAGGCCGGGCACAGTGGCTCACGCCTGTAATCCCAGCACTTTGGGAAGCTGAGGCGGGTGGATCACCTGAAGTCAGGAGTTTGAGACCGCCCTGGCCAACATGGTGAAATCCTGTCTCTACTAAAAACACAAAAATTAGCCGGGCGTGGTGGCAGGCACCTGTAGTCCCAGCTACTCAGGAGGCTGAGGCAGGAGAATCGCTTGAACCTGGGAGACGGAGGTTGCAGTAAGCCGAGATGGTGCCACTGCACTCCAGGCTGGGTGATAGAGCAAGATTCCATCTCAAAAGAAAAAGAAAAAGAATATGGCAAAGGATGAATTTCTTAGTAGAAACTTAATCACCTCAGTGTTTTTCTGAGATCCAGGGGGAGAACTGAGATCCACCCCAGCCTCAGCAAGGGTGCCAGGGGTCAGTAATGATGAATTGAATTGTTTTGTTTTACTTTGTTTCTAGGATTCAAATGTGTTTTCTACCCCCATGAAATGCCAAAGTAGTAGCATACACAAGTTGAAAAAGCATCACCAATGACTGACCAAAAATAGGACATGCCACGACCCCCAGAGAAACGGGGCCAACCGTCTGGGGCCTGGCCTGCAGGCTTGTTTTAGAACGCCAGGTGCAGCTGTCAGGCCCCAGCCGGCCTCACCCCGGGCCCCTGCCCTGGCTCACACACACCAGCCTCCCAGGCCTCGCAGTGCCTCCAGCCTGCCGGGGTCTCTCTCCCCTTGGGGTTTCTGTGCACGCTGTCCCCCTGCAGGCCGTCCACTTGGATTTATTTTTATTTTTGAGTATGGGATACACTTATTCTGTTCAACATCCAAAAGATAGAGGATCCACAGTGAAAAGTCTTCCACCCTCCTCCAACCGCCACAGCCCTCTCCTTTCCACGGGGATGGGCAGTCAGGGAGAGCCAGGGGTTCTAGAGGGGCGAGATGTGTGCCCAGGACTAGGCAGGCCTTGGTTCCGCTGTGGCTTACCTCGCTGAGGGGCTTGCCTGGGGCAGAGTGAAGATGGGAACAGAGCGGGGGCAGGGTTGCTTAACTTAGGGCTGAAGGGACAGCATCCCTTTATCTTGTCCAGTCGCTCCCCTCCAAGGGGCCCAGGGCCATTTCTGCAGGTGACGCCCATGTCAGAAGCACAGCAGGGAAGAGGGAGGTGGTGGGGGGATGATTGGGGTTTGGCCACTCTTAGCCCTGGGAGCTGAGGCCGAGAGGAGTAGGTGCTCAGAAAGGGCCTGCAGGAGGGCTAGGCTGTGGCCCCCATGGGGCTCCCCCTCCTGCCTTAGCCATTTCTTGCTGAAGCCTTTCCGGGGGACTTGGAATTCAGGGCGCAACTGCAGGGGTCTGTCCAGCAGTGCACGGAAGCTGCTGCTCTCTCTCCACAGAGCCTGACGGGCCACACATCCCCAGTGGAGAGCGTCCGCCTCAACACCCCCGAGGAGCTCATCGTGGCCGGCTCTCAGTCGGGCTCCATCCGTGTCTGGGACCTGGAAGCTGCCAAAAGTAGGCCTCCGAGCTTGCCTCCTGTGCACGCACACCTGCCTTAGTCTTCAGGCTCTGCAGTTGTACTGCTTCCTCCAGGAAGCCTGCCTGGACTACGTTGGCTGCTTTGCTCCTGGAGCACTAACCCGGCAGTGTGGCACCCACTCCACCCCCATTAGCCTGGCATTGACATGCACTGCTGCCTCGTGTGGGTGGGGGGATGTGCGGGTGTGTGTGTGTGTGTGTTTGGATGTATGTGTGTTTGGATGTGTGTGTCTGCGGGCACGTGTGTGTGTGTGTGTGTGTGTGTGTTTAGAACCTAGAGGGATGTCACATGCCGCCAGGGGCCCTGCAGGTCACATGAATGAGTGAGGTGGCTGCGTGGGACAGCCATGAAGAACCGGGGAGCTTGTACCCTGACTCCAGGTGGTCCCCACTCTGCCTTGGCTCCCTGGTGCCATTAGAGGCAGCCTGGAATGGCCAGATCTGTTTCCTTGTGCTCTGTTTTAATTTAGTTTTCATCTGTATAGAAGTTGTACATAGCCTAAAATTTAAAACCTCAAATACCAGTATTTCTACAATTAATTTCAATGGAAAGAGGAAACTTCTGCCCCACTCCTTCCCATTCTCCATGAGCCTAAACTTTCTGTGCTTTCGTCTGTGCTTTGCTGATCGCCTCCACCTTTCTAGACCACATGGTCATACCACAGTTTCTTTCTTTTCTTATTTAAAAAACACCGTGGCCAGGCGCAGTGGCTCACGCCTATAATCCCAGCACTTTGGGAGGCCAAGGCAGGCGGATCACCTGAGGTTGGGAGTTCGAGACCAGCCTGACCAACGTGGAGAAACCCCATCCTGAGGTTGGGAGTTCGAGACCAGCCTGACCAACGTGGAGAAACCCCATCTCTACTAAAAATACAAAATTAGCCGGGTGTGGTGGCACATGTCTGTAATCCCAGCTACTTGGGAGGCTGAGGCAGGAGAATCACCTGAACCCGGGAGGTGGGGGTTGTGGTGAGCCAAGATCGCACCATTGCACTATAGCCTGGGCAACAAGAGCGAAACTCCATCTCAAAAAAAAAAAAAAAAGTTAACACATTAGTTATTCTCTTCCTACTGTAAAGGATGAGAATTTAGCTCTCTCATGGCACCACTCCCAGCCCCATGGCTCGTGTTTCTCCTCCCACCCTCCCAGTAGCACCATTTCAATAGGTGGTGTTTATAATGTAAGGACGCATAAGTGTCATTTACCACTGACTATTTCTTTTTAATAACTTGGTTTCCCTGGAGTTAATAATAGTTCCTTTTTTTTTTTAATCTGTGTGTTTTCTATGTCCATATTACTCATTCATCCCCAAATTCTCTGCCAGAAGAGTAAAGCTCCTCCTGTTTCTTTGAAACCCATCCCATAATCCAGGCGCCTTTTCTCAGAGCCTCTCCTCTGGTCCTAGTGACCTGCAGCCCAGCTGTCATCCTGGGCCTCTGTGTCTCTTCTCTGGGGAATTCTCTCCATCTGTTGTTCCTGGTCCCACGCCGCAACCTTTCTTGGTTTTCTCCCTCTTTTTGATGGAGCACATTCTTTTGTAGCTTTCTGAGAAAATGTGCTGGGAAGGCATAGTTTTGGAGAACTTCCATGGCTGAAAATGACTTTCTGCTACCCCCATCATTTGCTTTTGTGTTTGTTTTATGAGTTTGAGTATAGAGTTCTATGTTGGCAATAAAATATCGCCCTCAGAATTTGGAAGGTGCAGCTTTTCTGCCTTTTAGGTTCTAGGTTGCTATTGGGAGGGGCCGGTGTTGTTCTGATCCCAGATCCTTCACAGGGGACTGGCTTCATTCCATGTTCTGTCTCTTCCTTCCTCTCTCTCTCTCTTTTCTTTCCTCTCTCTCTCTGTCTCTGCAGGCTTTTAGGGTCTTTGTCCCAGTGTTCTGGTGTGGTGAGCCTTGGGGTGGGTCTGCTTCCACCCTGTGCTAGGTCGTCACTGGTTTCATGCGGTTGTGGTCTGGAAACTCATGCCCTCAGTTCTGGGCTGAGCGGAGAGTCTCGCCCACTGCTCCTGTGCTGTGCCTCGGTGCCTTAGCAGGTGGTGCCAGCTCTACGGATTTTTCAAGAGAGGCTGGAAATCTGGAAATTCATGTGCCTTGGTGCCTTAGCAGGTGGTGCCAGCTCTACGGATTTTTCAAGAGAGGCTGGAAATCTGGAAATTCATGTGCCTTGGTGCCTTAGCAGGTGGTGCCAGCTCTACGGATTTTTCAAGAGAGGCTGGAAATCTGGAAATTCATGTGGAATCCACCCATTTAAAAATGTTGACAGCTCATTCAACATTTGTTTTAGAACACCATGCAGGCCAGCACTGTGAGGTCCAAATAAGACCCGTTTGCCTGATGCTTTTCTTTTCTTTTCTTTTTTTGAGACAGTGTCACTCTGTCACCCAGGCTGGAGTGCAGTGGTGTAATCTCAGCTCACTGCAACCTCTGTCTCCCAGGTTTAAGCGATTCTCCTGCCTCAGCCTCCTGAGTAGCTGAGACTACAGGCACGGACCACCATGTCCCGCTAATTTTTGTATTTTTAGTAGAGACGGGGTTTCTCCATGTTGGCCAGGCTGGTCTTGAACTCCTGACCTCAGGTGATCCGCCCACTTCAGCCTCCCAAAGTGCTGGGATTACAGGAATAAGCCACCATGCCTGGCCTGCCTGATGCTTTTTGATAGCCCTTGTTGGATCATCCCGCGTGCCAGGCAGGAGGCCACCTACCTGAAGCCCTGGAGAGGAAGCAGCAACGTGGATTTTGCCGAGGCTGCTTTTTCCAGAAGAGAGCCCCTCTGGCCTGGCTGAGACTTCAAGATTCTTCTGGGCCTCTCCTTGGTTCATGCTCTATGTTGGCGGCAGGGCAGCAGCCATGAGCCACACATGCACAGTGGCAAGGTTCCCTTTGCTCAGGAACAGTGGGCTCTCTGTGTAGGTGGTACTCAATAAAGATGCACGCAGCCTCTTCAGTGATGCTTGCCTACTCAGTGATGGTCAGTTTAAGAACAAAAGAGCCCCAGGACCTCTTTGATAACAAACAGGACTGCAGGCTTTGCGTCTCGGCACGTGATCGCACTGCCTGGCCACACCAGGGCATGCTGTGCTTGGTGTCGCTGAACTCAAGCGGGCCAGGGAGGAGTGAGTCCAGGATGGCTGGGCTCTCATGGAGAAGATGGGAAGGCTCAGGCAGAAGGTGGGCAGCTCCCTGGACCTGAATCCCAGCGCGTGGGCACCAGCCATTCAGTATTCACCGAAGAACAAGAGACAGAAGGGAGAAGCCGAGGGCGCCGTGCCCCCTGTCCAGGCTTTCTCATCCACAATTGTTTTGCTCACAGGGGAAATGTGAGGAATTCCTTGAGGTGGCTGAGAAATGAAAACTGAAGATTGCTGGATTCCTGGGCCCTGGACGGCCAGGGCTGGCTGCTCCACAAGGAACTCATTACGAACTCACGGCCCAGACTCCATCCTCAGAGAACCCGATTCAGTACTGGGGTGGGCCCAGGATCTGGATTTTAATAAGCTTCCAGGTGATTCCGATGGACAGCCAGGTTGACAGATGGGCAAACAGAGGCCCAGGGAGAGCACCGAGCTTAGGAAAACCCCAGTAGCTGCAGGTAGCAGAGCCTGGGACTTGAATCCCGGTGTCAGGACTCCCATCCCAGTGTTGTCTGTTCTGCCATTGGATGGAAGAGAAACTTGCCATCAGCACAGCAGGTAGAGCTAAGACCTCCGGCCCCCCTCCACACCCCCTCGCCAGAGTGCAGGTGACAGTGACAGACAGGCAAATTGAGGCCCCAGGTGTGGAAAGGTTCCAAAGAGAGCTGCTCTGCGGGCATGGTGGCTCACACCTGTAATCTCAGCACTTTGGGAGGCCAAGGCAGGAAGATCACTTGAGGCCATGAGTTTAAGACTAACCTGGGCAACAAAAGGAGACCCCATCTCTATTTTTTTAAAAAAAAAAAAAAAAAGGAGAGAGAGAGAGCTGCCTCATATCGGTTGCCTTGAAAGGCCACCCATCACTGGAGGGTTCAGATGTAGGCTGAGGAGGTGCTCAGCTGGGAGGCGTTGGGGGTTCCTGTGTGGGGCAGACAGACCCCGGAAGCCCCTCCACTCTGCAGTTCCTAGATCCCATGATTGAATGTAGGCATCAGAGGCCTTCGTGGGACAGAAGAGCAAGGGCAGGAGTCAAGCCGGAAGAATGTGGTCCTGCCTGCTTTCCACAGCGCAGCCAGAGGGCAAGGGTAGCTCAGCGCAGGGGATCCCACGGGATCTCACAGGAGGGCGGCCGGTGCTTCATGCAGCCAGCCCACACAGGGTGGGACTCCGCCACATCCTCTCTGGGCAGGGCAGGATTTTGGAAGCCTTGCTGTGGGATCCAAGCTGAGTGGGCTGGGAGCGGGTGTGGACTGGAGCAAGAGCCAGCGTGGCCTCCTTGGCCAGGAGGCAATGCCCAGCCCCCAGCAGCACCTGATAGCTACACGGAGCAAGGAGTGACAGCTGCAGAGATTCTGGTGCAGGTGAATTGGATATGCATTCGACAGACTCCAGAGGGATGTGAAAGTATCCAGACCCAGCTCCAGCGCCAGACAGGGCCAGCTGCAGAGGGGCACTGAGGCCTGGGGAGGAGGAGAGAAGGCCCAGCTTGCGGGACAGCCAAGAGCAGAAGGCAGGCCTTGTGCAGGAAGAAATGTGAATGGGACTAATTAAGACTGGCATTTATTGAGCACTTACCATGTGCAGAGCCCGTGCTAAGCACTTTATGTATGTTTACTCCATTCTGTGACCCAACATGAGGCCCAAAGACAGTAAGTGATTGGCCAGGGTCACACCACCAGTGAGGAGCGGAGCCAAGGCTGATCCCAGTATTGTCTGATGCCAGAGCCCACATCCTGACTTTGGGGGTAGAGAAGATCATACAGTAGAGTTCATTTAATTCACCCAGTGCTTGGATCTTGACTCTGCAGTAAAGTGTTATATATGGAATCTTGAATACCTCCTCTGACAGAGAGCTCACTACCTCACAAGGTGACCTATTGCACCTTGGCTCAAAACTAAGAATGGCTGGACTCCCACATTTCCTGACCCTGGCACTTGGGATGGTCAGTTTCATTCAGATAGTGAATTATGAATCTTTCCAAAAGCAGGAAACATGAGACAAATCTGAGTGGTACTGGAGGACACCCTGAAACACACAAGGTTTGCCTCCAGGCTGGGCCGCTCCTGGCCATGGAGATGCCTGCAAAACCTTCAAGGAAAGGATAGGAGATGTGGTTCCTAGGGCAGTGGGAGGCGATCAGGCCCCACCCCAGGAGTTCTTTGGTCCTCGCGTGTCCTCCCTGTGTCCTCTCAGTTCTCACTGCTCCTCAGTGTGTCCTCACAGCCACCCTCAAGATCCCTTGGACAGAGGTCACCCAAGAAGACTGGTGTGTGCACCAGGGCCACCCCAGCCATGCCCTCCACTTGCCCTTCTTAGGGCCTTTGCCCATCACCTCCATCTACCTAACAGCATCCCTCATCCTCCACCCACTGACATCTACTCAAATACCACCTCCTCCATAAAGCCTTCCTGGATTTCTCTTTCCAACCAAGCAGCTTCTCTCCCAGCTTGAACCTCTCCTGGTCTGTCTCTCTCCTTGCACTGTCTTGGGTGGGGTTCAGTGCCCTGCAAACCATAAGCTCCACACCCATGGGGCCTGAACTGAGTGTGGTGGTTCCCTGGTTCTGCTTCCGCTGGAGCACAGTCTGTGGGGAGAGTGTGGTACAATTTCTGCAGACTTGAGGTAACATAGGGCTGTCACCTCTCAAGAGAAATGTGGGAAAATTAGTTGTTGGCAGGACGCAGTGGCTCACACCTGTAATACCAGCGCTTTGGGAGGCCAAGGCGGGTGGATCACTTGAGGTCAGGAGGCCAGCCCAGCCAACGTGGTGAAAACCTATCTCTACCAAAAATATAAAAAAATTAGCCGGGTGTGGTGGCACATGCTTGTAATCCCAGCTACCTGGGAGGCTGAGGCAGGAGAATTGCTTGAACCCGGGAGGCAGAGGTTGCAGTGAGCCGAGATCACGCCATTGCATTCCAGCCTGGGCGACAGAGCAAGACTCCTTTTCAAAAAAAAGGAAGAAAAGAAAATTCGTTGTTAGGGTGGTGGGACCCTTGATTGTTTCCTACTGTTTTAAAAATGTGTGTTATTGTTCTATTTTTCTGTGCAGCTAATCCAAAAGCGCACACACAAATGCCCACAGCAGCCCTTCCTCTGCCAGCCTTCTCATTTGCCTCTTAGCCACTGTCTCTGCTTTCCTTCTTGTTAGTTCTTCGCACACTCATGGGACACAAAGCCAACATCTGCAGCCTGGATTTCCACCCGTACGGCGAGTTTGTAGCCTCTGGTTCCCAGGACACAAACATCAAGGTGAGAGGCCGGTCCGTGCCCCGTGTCTCCTGCTGGGCCTGTGGCAGGACCAGCCCGGCCCGGCCCTCAGTGCTGGATGCCTGCTGAGGGGACCTCTTCCCTTTCTGCAGCCACATCCACACCATCCTAGGGAAAGCGGGTGGCAGGCATCTATCTGCCAGATGCTTCTGCTCAGAATGCCAGCTTTAGTGAGCAGTTTCTGTCCTTGTCTCCGTGGGGAGTAACGACCTAGAGAAGGCTGGGCCCCACCGTCTGCTCACGACTGCACACCTTCCTCCAGTCGTGGCTCTGACCTCTCCTGACTCTGCCCCTCTGCTTCTCTCTCCCCCACAGCTCTGGGACATCAGGAGGAAAGGCTGTGTCTTCCGATACAGGGTAAGGATGCGCTCTGTCGGTGACTCCATGAGCACCTTGCGGGCATTGAGTGTGGTGTGGTGCCCAGACCCCAGCAGGGGGTGGAGGGGACGGCTGTCCCACATGGGTGATAACATAAAACATAGACCTGGAGCTGAGCAGGAGCGCCATGGGCGGCCCACCTGGATCCCCTGGCTCTGCATGAATCCCCTAGAGCCACGTTCATCAAACTGCTCCAAGCAGAACCAGGCGGGTAACCAGTGTTGTTAGATGGAAGGGGTCCCATAGGAGTGAGGAGGCAGGGAGAGGTCTGTTGGGCCCAGGATCCCAGGGTGAGCTCATGCCGTGTCCTCCCTCAGGGGCACAGCCAGGCCGTGCGGTGTCTCCGGTTCAGCCCCGATGGGAAGTGGTTGGCGTCGGCCGCAGATGACCACACCGTGAAGGTAGCTCCCGGCCTGACCTGGGCCCAGGGGCTGGGGGCTGGGGTCTGCTGATCACAGCAGGCTGAGTCCTCACCTCCCTCCTGATCGGGCTCACATGTCCCAAGCCTATCCCGAGTGGAAGGTAGCTTGTGGATAAAGAGCTTGGCCTGGATTAGAGGGAGGGTGGGCAGCCAAGATGCCTGGTCACCCTGACCTCCTCCCTGCCCTGCCTCCAGCTCTGGGATCTCACTGCCGGCAAGATGATGTCTGAGTTCCCTGGTCACACGGGGCCTGTCAACGTGGTCGAGTTTCACCCCAACGAGTACCTCCTGGCCTCCGGCAGCTCTGACAGGTGAGGAGGAGGAGCGAGGCGAGTTGCTTGTGACTGCTGTCCTTCACCGCCTTGTCCTCTGTGCGTGTCTCTACTGCCGGTCTGTCGCTGTCTGGGGTGTCATACGTCTGATGATCCTGTGTGGACTGAATTGGATTTCAGCCGAGCCAGGACTGGACCCTGGTCCATCTCCCCTGGCTCTGGTTCCCTGGCCCCAGTGTCCCAGGTCTGTGGCTTCATGGGCAGGTTGGGACCCAAGGCATCTAGTGGGACCCCATAGGGCAGGGAGGCTCGTGGCTGTTGGGGCCAACCCTGGGGCCAGGGCCATCGGGCCGAGCCTCCCCCTTGCAAAGTCAGGGCCAGCTCTGCCCCAGATGTTGCTCCTGGTGGCCCTGCCCTGGGGGAGAGGTTTCTAGAGAAAAGCTGGCTTCCCAGGGACATGTGGAGGCCAGGATGAGGGATAGGCTTCGCAGCACAGCTTGGCTGCCTTTGCAGGACAATCCGCTTCTGGGACCTGGAGAAGTTCCAGGTGGTGAGCTGCATCGAAGGGGAGCCTGGGCCCGTCAGGTACGCAGGCTGTGGGGTGGGCGGCCCAGCGCTCCTCCCGGCAGTGGGGCGTGGCTGTGGGTGGGCCTTTCCCATCTCCGCTGCTGCGCCCTCCCTGCCCTGGGCCCTCTGGATTCCTCGGGGTGGGGACCAGGCTGGGTGCCACAGGACCCACGGCCATCTCTCGCCTGGCCCAGGAGCGTCCTCTTCAACCCAGACGGCTGCTGCCTGTACAGCGGCTGCCAGGACTCACTGCGTGTCTACGGCTGGGAACCTGAGCGGTGCTTTGATGTGGTCCTCGTCAACTGGGGCAAGGTGGCCGACCTGGCCATCTGCAATGACCAGTTGGTGAGAGAGCCATGGCACCCACCGCCCCCCACTCCCACAGGGCCACCCGCCTCCCTCCAGCCCAGGCCCCTCCTCCTACCCCCACACTGGGGCTGGGATTTTGCCCCCTCGGCTTGCAGTCCCAGCCCCACCTCTCCGCTTTCTGCAGATAGGTGTGGCCTTCTCCCAGAGCAACGTCTCCTCCTACGTGGTGGATCTGACGCGTGTCACCAGGACTGGCACGGTGGCCCGGGACCCTGTGCAGGACCACCGGCCCCTGGCACAGCCACTGCCCAACCCCAGCGCCCCCCTCCGGCGCATCTATGAGCGGCCCAGCACAACCTGCAGCAAGCCTCAGAGGTGAGGGCCTGGGGGGCCTTCGGGGGCCCAGGAGAGGGACTGTCACAGGGGAAGCCTCGGAGTTCCAGCCCTGGGCCTCACAGGGCACCTGCTTCCGTTGGGCTTGGCCTCACGCTCCCAGGGTGAAGCAGAACTCAGAGAGCGAGCGCCGCAGCCCCAGCAGCGAGGATGACCGGGACGAGCGCGAGTCCCGCGCGGAGATCCAGAACGCCGAGGACTACAACGAGATCTTCCAGCCCAAGAACAGCATCAGTGAGGCCGGGCTCCCGCCCCCAGCCCAGCGTCCCCATCGGTGAAAGGGAGGCTGGGGGTCCTTCCAGGGTAGCCTGCTGTGGCTCCGCATCCCTTTAACTTCCTCCTAACCCACACCTGGGCTCCGTATCCTGTCCTCACGTTCCCTGGGCCTTGCCAGGCTGTGCTCTGATGGAACTGAGAGGGGGGCCTGGGCACTCCCCAGCAGCGGCCCAGCAGCTGCTCAGTGTCCCAGTCCCTGCCCTGCCAGGGACAAGTGGGCTGGGAGGGGCAGGACTGAGGGTTCCTGGGACCAGGAGCAGGGTCCACAGTCTGCAGCCGCATGCCTGGGAGCTACCCTCCGTCCCCCGCACTCTGGACAGGGCCCTGGGTCCCAGGTGGCCTGGCCAGGAGCGCTCACAGCCAGGGGCCTCTTTCCTCTGCAGGTCGGACGCCACCCCGGAGAAGTGAGCCCTTCCCTGCACCCCCAGAGGACGGTGAGTTGGGTGAGCCTGGTTTCCCAAGGTCTCTGATGCCCCCCCGTCCCTCATCTTCTCTTCCTGTGAACCCTCCCAACAAGCCCCTTCCCAGGACCCTCCCCTCTCAGGACACGACCCACACCCTCTCCCGCTGGGTCTCTGCCCTCTGCCTGTTATGTGCCAGGTCCCTGCAAGACCGATAGTGCCCCCGTAGGAGCCTGTGCCCTGGTGTGTGGGGGACAAACATGGACACCACCACACTGGGGGGCCTGCCAGGGGCACTCGGGCTGTGGAGGATGGAGAGGAGTCACTGGGGGCCCACCTTAGATGGGGTCTGCTGTAGACGGGATGATCGGGAGGCTCTCAGGAGGCCCAATGCCTGTCAAGGCCTGGGGGCCAGTGAGAAGAGAGAGAGAGAAGTGCTTCTGGCAGGAAGGGAGCTGAGAGGAGGTGAGCTGGGGCGAGTCCCAGCAAGAGGTCAGGCCCACAAGGCCTCAGCTGGGGGTTTGGATTAAGAAGGGAGAAAAATGATCTGCACTGTGGTTGGAGAACGGGCAGGCATGGGGCCACCTGTCCTGTAGAGTACCCCTGCCCTCCCCTCAGGGACCGTCCTTGCCGTCAGTCCTGGCTTTCCTAGGAGCCTCCACTTCCATCTTGCCAGTCATCCCAGCCCCCTCCACATACATGCCAGTGAAGGGACAGGATGGCCACATCCTAGAGCCCCCTGGGTCCCACCCACAGGCAGACCTAAGGTTGAGTTGGGGGAGAGGGAGGAGGCAGGTCCAGGCCTGCCCCAGGTCCTCTGGAACCCCCACGCCACTGGCCTGCAGCCTCCCCCATGCTCCTGCTCCATCCCCCCATTGCAGATGCTGCCCAGAGTCCCGCCCTGAGCCCTGCCCTTCTTGCCAGGCCCTTCTGGCCGGACCCAGTCATCTTTTCCTTTTGCCTCCAGACGCAGCCACAGCAAAGGAGGCAGCAAAGCCCAGCCCTGCCATGGATGTGCAGTTCCCGGTGCCAAATGTATGTCCATGGAGGGAGCATGGTGTGGGGCCTAGAGAAGGTCCTGACCCAGGGTTGGGGGTGCCTCGGGAGGCAGAGAGGGAGGCCCCAGGCCGGCAACCGCTGAGTTTCACACTTTCAGCTGGAGGTCCTGCCCCGGCCCCCAGTGGTTGCTTCCACACCTGCACCCAAGGCTGAGCCTGCCATCATCCCTGCCACCCGGAACGAGCCCATCGGGCTGAAGGCCTCCGACTTCCTGCCCGTGAGTAGGAGCCCAGCTCGAGGCATGGGTGGAGGTCTGTGGGTGGAGGGCAGAGCTTTGCTGCTGGCTCCTCCCATGCCAGCATCTGGGTGTCCATCCCACGCAGGCCGTGAAGATCCCCCAGCAGGCCGAGCTGGTGGACGAGGATGCCATGTCACAGATCCGCAAAGGCCACGACACCATGTGTGTGGTGCTCACCAGCCGCCACAAGAACCTGGACACTGTGCGGGCTGTGTGGACCATGGGCGACATCAAGGCAAGTGCCCACCCTTGCACAGGGCCTCATCTCGCCCCCCTGCCCCTGCCACCTGCCTGCCCGGGCTTGGGGCAGAACAAGAAGAGGCCACCCATGGGGGACAGTGTGGGATAGGCCATCCCTGACGTCACACCATCTGTTTCCGCCATCATCATCATCATCACAGACTGCCGTTTAGTGAGCATCTGTTTACATGCCTGGCCTTACACTCATTGCGTTAGGTGCAGTGCTGAATACCCACAGCCCCATCAGCACACCCACATTCACGTTCGTACCCCCACCCTCACCCTCACAGGGCCACACTGTCCCCCACTGCCCCACCCCTGACGGTGCTCTGTTTGCACAGACGTCGGTGGACTCCGCTGTGGCCATCAACGACCTGTCGGTGGTGGTGGACCTCCTGAACATCGTCAACCAGAAAGCGTAAGTGGCTGCAGAGGGGGAGTGGGCGGAGGGGCAGGGCTGGGCTGATGGCAGCATGTCCTGGCCTCTCCTAGCTCCCTGTGGAAGCTGGACCTGTGCACCACCGTCCTGCCACAGATTGAGAAGCTTCTGCAGAGCAAGTATGAGAGGTGCGTGTGGGGAAGCCATGCCTGCCTGAAGCAGGGGGAGGGGAGAGGTAAGAAGCCTCCTCCAGAACCATGGGAAGGACCCCCAAGAGCCTGGGTGTTCCTGTGAGCTGGCTGTGAAGCATTGCTGCCCCTCAACAGTCCGGAGGTGGGAGTGGAAACAGGCGTGTGTGGGTGTATGTGTGGGTGTGTCTGTGTCTGTTTCTGCCCCTCTCCTCCTTTGTTCCTTGCTGTTTCTCTTTCTGTCTGTGGCCCTTGGTCCATCTGTGACTTCATCCATCTCCCCCTAAAGCTACGTCCAGACGGGCTGCACCTCCCTGAAGCTGATCCTGCAGCGGTTTCTGCCCCTCATCACAGACATGCTGGCGGCCCCACCCTCTGTGGGTGTGGATATCAGCAGGGAGGAGAGGTGAGGGCAGCGCATGTGTTGGGGGCAGGGGTGCCACAACAGGTGAGGGGACAAAGGCCTGGAGGCCTGGGCCCCTCTTACTGACAGTCCTGCTGGGACAGAGTACAGAGGAGGCGTTGGTCTGGGGCCATGGCTCAGGGTGTGGGTGGGCTTAGCCAGAGCTGGGTTCCTCCATGGCCTGGCTGTGCCCACAATCCCTGGCAGGGCCTGGGTGGTTCCCCTCTGGGCCTCCGCCTTCCCTTGGGAGGAAGGGCTGGAGCAGTTAGGACAGCAAAGGCCCTGGGGTTGGGTGTGGGTGGTGGTGGTGCCAGCTAGCCCCTCAGGCACTGCCCTCTCTACAGGCTGCATAAGTGCCGGCTCTGCTACAAGCAGCTTAAGAGCATCAGCGGCCTGGTCAAGAGCAAGTCAGGCCTGAGCGGCCGCCATGGCAGTACCTTCCGCGAGCTGCACCTGCTCATGGCCAGTCTGGACTGAGGAAAGCAGTGGGCAGGGGCGCTCGGCAGCCCACAGGGCCTGGCCTCAGCCCCCACTCCTGTTCCTTGTGCACCCACTGGCCCATGAGCCTCTGCCTGGCCCCTGCTGCTGTCCTGTGGCCGTCCTGGAGGAGGTGATGCTGGTCCCTGGCCACCTCTACAGCCCTGAACTCTTGAGACAACTCTCTCCAGCAATAGCTGCCCAGCTTTGCCCAACTGTTGCTTCTTGGGGCAGCGAACTGAGCCCTGGGGCTGCTGCTGTAATTTATAAGGCAAATTTTATTAAATTTGTAACTATTCCCAGGTTTCCTTGTGGGGAATGTTTTCTGCTGGCCACAGGGCTCCCCGGGCCCAGGAGTGCCTGCCCCATGGTTTGAGATGAGGCCACACCCCCTCCAAGCCCGGGGGTGGGGCTCTGGGCCATGTGGCCAGCAGGGGGCAGCAGAGAATCAGGCCTCTGGGACAGCACCAGTTCAGCCAGTGCAGACTGGGAAGGAAGGGGAGGCGGCAACCACCCTTCCACCACTGGGTGTTGAGGTTAGGGGTGGCCCCCACCAGCCCGTTCCTCCCCACCTCAGCTACACTCAAGCTGTCTTATGGACACCCCCAGGATGCCTCCAGGGGCAGGACTAGAAGGGCACCTGCCCCTTCCTCTGAGCAGGGCTCCGATCAGCTGTCACTCCCTGCTGGAGTCCCCAGCACTGGCTGGCGGGAAAGGGCTCCCTGCTCCGTGGGCACTGCGACAGGTGGGCCCCCTCCTGCTCCCAAGGCAGGGACCAGGTACAGCCCCGCCCCGGGGTGGTCAGGGTCCTCGGCACTGGAGGAAGGTGGCGTGGACCTCTGGCCAGTTCACTGAAGAGGGAAAAGGCCAGGGCAAAGAGTGGGCAGTGGGTGGTGCCCAGCAGTAACCTGGAAGCCCAGCATGGTTTGGGCAAGGCTTTGATAGCCTTTGAAGCTCTCTCCAGCCTTAGTTTCCTTCCCATCAGTAACATGGAGGAATGCCCCTGTTGGGAGGTCAGTTATCGTGGGCACATGGTAGGTACCGCATGAGGCGACTGTGACCACAAACAACAGAGAAAGTGACCCAGGGTGGGACAGCGCAGGCTCCCCCCAGTTGTTTGTTAAGGACGCATGTCCCTAACTGACCTAGAGGACAGATCCCAGAGGGCTGTGGGGTGACCAGCCAGCGGGGGAGTCCACAAGACCTGCCAGTGCCCCGTCCCCCTAATCAGACCAAGAGGGGCTCACAGACCAACTTTTTCAGACCATACTTGTGTAAAAAGGCTTCTTTTATTTTAATAAGTAAAAATGGCTAAGCTTCCAAAAGTTCTTAAATAGGATTTCAGAGGGAAGAAAATTCGAGAGACCAGCGAGCCAGGCAGGTGAGCGAGCAGCAGAATCCCCCACCCGCTGGCTGCCTCTGCCAGCCATAAACACAGCACGGCCCCGTGGCGGGAGGCCATGCGCCTCCGCACACCCCCCAGCTGCGGGAACCCTCCTTGAAGGAGAGGGGCGGGGAGGGCTGCCATTGGTGCCACCAACCCACCCCAGTCCCCATGGTTCTTGGGTCTGCCCAGAGGCTCCTCGCCCACCCCCTAAGGAGGGGGCTGGCCAGCTCTGCAAGCTGAGGAGAGGGGCCGAGAAAGCCTGGGTGAGAGGCCCACCCTCCTCCACACTCCCGCCCTCCTCACGGGGCCCAGTTCGCTGATGGCCCAGGCCTGCCAGGAAGAGCAGCCACCCCCGCCTTTCCGCCCATGCAATTTGCACTCAGAGCCACAGCCGAGAGACACCGTTTCCTTCTGAACATGTTTCTCATCTTTGAGGGGAGACGGGGCAGAAGAAGAGCCTCCACTCTCGCCTCTACCTCCGGGGGTCCTGGCGCTGCAGCAGGGACAGGCCAGTGAGGGCCCAGCTTCAGGCCCAGCGGGGTCACATCCGTCACACAGGCAGTGGCCGCGACTTCCCTGCAGGGGCATGAGATCATCAGCCTCTTGTCCACTTGCCCACCGGCAGCCCACAGCAGTTGCCACCGAGAGCAGGAGGGAACCCAGCAAAAGCACATAGACAAGCGACAGCAGGGGCTAGACCCAGCTCTGAACAGCAGAACGTCCCAGCGCAGCCCTGCAACCCACTGCGGGCAGGCAGGCGGGCAGCCCTGGGCCACAGGCCCCACACTCACCTAGAGACTCTGCAGCCCCAGCCGTCAGGCTGAAATCAAAGTGACAGGCGTCTCACTGGTGGGCTTGCCTTGGGCCAGTACCCCACAAGACCCTGCTGCTGCTACCCCTTTGGACTCAAGGATGGGCCAGGCCCTCCCATGATCTGGGCTAAACAGGGGCTGGAGCCCTGGGTCCCGGTCCTGTGGCGGGGCTCACTCCTCACCTAGGAGGTAGGCAAGCCCGGCCCTTTCTACCCCCGGGGCAGCTGAGGCACAGGGAGGGGGCTGCAGGGGCTGCTCTGGAGGGGGCTTACTGCACAGGCTCAGCCAGCCCATGCTCAGAGAGCAGGGTCCCAGGGTAGAGTCAGCACCCCCGGCTGAGAGGCTGGGGTCTCCTTACACTGCCCCCTTCCCACAGACCTTCCATTTCCCACCTGCAGAACGGACACAGCACTGTCTGCCCTGACTACTGCCTGGGGGCAGGGGAGGTTGTAAAACAGGTTCTGGAGAAGGTGTAAGAACTTTTTAAAAAGGAAAGAAAAGAGAAAGCCCATCCAGGTAAGGGCAGCCTGGTGACTATTACCCTGGGGAGACTCCCCACCCACACTGCCACTCCAGGCTCACCCGAGGGCTGCAGCTTCCTCCGGATGGATCCAGGGCGGCTACTGGTCCCAGAGCTGGGGGCTGAGTGGGCCCGTGCCGAGGGCTGTGGCGTCTGACAAGCCGGCTCCCACTGTGAGCAGGGAAGGGCGGATGGGCGGGGGCCACGGCTGCCCTGGCTCCCCACCCTGCTGTGCTTCTCTCTACTCCCCTGCCCTGCCTCCTAACACCCAGTTTCCTCATCTGCAAAATGGGCATGATGTTTGTGCCCCAGCCTCAGTTATGGCAAGAATTAAATGAGATAATTCATGTAAAGAAGTCAACTAGTTACCACTGAGCATCTACTATGTGCCACCCCCACGGCCAGCTCGTCACCCCACAGGAACCTCCGAGGCCAAGAAGAAATACCTGTACTGAAGAGGCTGCTGGCTGTGGGTTCCAGCCGTAGCTCCACCCAACTCCGGCAGCTTCCCTGCCCCCACTGCTTCAGGACGTCCCCGCCCAGCTCCCTGCTCCTGCCATGACCCAAAGTCTCTGACCCAGGGCCACCTGAGCCAGGCCTGTGACAGTCCCCGTACCTCTAGATGCTCCTGGCTTGACCAGGACCCAAGCTCTGCCCTGCGTAGCCCAGGCCCCAGCTCCACAGAGCGCACCCTCTCAGCAAACTTGAGGGAATAGAGCGTCTCGCTAGTGTTCTTCTCCACGGGGGACACCTAGGGGACACGAGAGCTCACTGCCCACCCGGGCCAGCTGGAGGGGCAACAGGGTCACGAGAGGGAGCTCACAGCTGGGGCCGTCAGAAGGCTTCCTGGAGAGGCCTGAGGGATGGGGTGGGAGGGCAGGCAACATGGCAGAGGTGCTGTGGTCAAAGGTGGAGAGGAGGGACTGGGAGTTACACAGGGTGTGTGTGGCCAGGTCTAGGGGCGGGGAGGTCCATTTGCACAGCCTGGGGTGACTGGGTCTCACTGCTAGCGTAGCCCCTACATGCTAGGGACTGGCCCGCCCTAACCCAAGGTCCTCACCTGTACCACCATGAGGGTCTTGCTGTCACCACTAAGCGAATCCTGCAGCAGGTAGGTGAGCTTGGAGTTGCGGAAGGGCACGTGGCCCTGGCGGGAGCGCAGGGCAGCAATGACGTCCCCCAGAGCCGACAGCGACTTGTTGATGTGCTGCGCCTCCCGCAGGCGGCTGCCCTCGGCCCCCGACTTGCCCACGCGCTCCGAGCCAGCCAAGTCCACCAGGTTCAGCTTCCCTGCAGGGAAGGCACCCACCAGATCAGGCCTGCCCTGCCCCTTGGGGTTGTGGGGATCCTCAGGCCAGGCTGCCTGCCACTCTCACCCGTGGTGCGGAGGCCTGTGCTGCAGTCCACGCCTCGCACCGTCACGATGAGCAGCGCGTGCGAGCGGGAGCTGTGCTCGTTCAGGTTGGTGAACTCGGTCGTGCGATTAGTGTGGCCAAACTCAAACACCTGGGGGATTGGGAGGAGGGCAGAGGCACAGCGTTGAGAATGGGGTCCTCAGAGTCACCTGGCCCCAAGCACCCATGAGGAGTGGCACCACCCTCCGCAGTTTAGATGAGGAAACTGAGGCTCAGAGAGGCGTGCGGACTTGCCCAAGGGTGCGTGCTTAGGACACAGCAGAGCCTACATTCAAACCCAGTTGTGTCCTCTAGAGCAGTGTGGCTGTGGTCAGGGGCTCCCGCCTCCACACCTTGTTGATGTCGTCCACGCTCTGCACTTGGAACTCAGTCAGCCCTGGTACATACAGCTGCCCACTGCCGTCTGGGCACAGCCGGATCTCCAGTTTTTCCTGAGGCTCTTTCCCTAGCAGGTCCCTGGAGGGGCAGGTGAGACAGTCACCCCCTCCTCCCATTTCCAGCTGCTGTTTGCACTGCACCCAGCCCCCCAGCCAGGAATGTTCCCCCAACCCAGGAAGCCTTCTCCAGCCATCAGCTGAGTGCATCTCTCCTCCTCCAGCTCCTCCACCGCATTCAGCTGAAGACGTGGAGATCTCACTCCACAATACAATGAGCCCCTGTTGGCAGGGCCCCTAGCTGCCCACTCTCACCCATGGCCACCTGGTGTAGCCCACAGGTAGGGGCAAGGATTGCCTGGGTCTCAGAGAGAGCCCCTCCTCCCCCCAGAACCATCCAACCCACTGGGCTGAGTCAGGACTTGCAGCCAGGTCCCTTGACGGCCTCATCTGGTCCCTACACTCCCTTCACCTTGACGGCCTCATCTGGTCCCTACACTCCCTTCAGGAAGACCCCACTTCCTATCCCCCATTGCTCCAGCACCACCCCTGAGGATCCCAAAGCTGCCCCTGAGGCCTGCTCCCCACATACTGGGGGTCCCACCTGAGGACCTCGTTCCAGCACCACCCCGGAGGACCCCAAAGCTGCCCCTGAGGCCTGCTCCGCACACCCTGGGGCTCCCACCTGAGGACCTCATTGTAGATCTCCGCAGCGCTGACGGTGATGGTGTACTCCCAGTCAGACGCCTTCTCCTGCACCTCGGAGAAGAGCAGCTGCAGGGCCCGCTGGTTGATACCTGGGTTCTCAGCGGTCCCCTGGGGACAGAAGGAAAGGCCCCAGTAAGCCAGGCCTGTCCCCAAAGACGCTCGTGTGGTGTCTGTCCCCAAAGCCCCTTGACTACCCCTCACAAGCAAGCCTCCTTGCCCAAAGCTCTTACCTACCTGCCACTGTCCCCCAAAATGCCCTCCACCAGCTGCGGGCAACTGCACCTCTATTTCCCCACCATTAAAATGGCATCGCCCTGCCAGGACTACCCTGAGACTTATAGTGCAGCACTGGGATGAGGGGCCTGGCCCAGACCCCACACAGGGCAGCTGAGGGCCAGATGCATGCCTGGCCCTGTGGGGCCACCTGGGAGGGGCACTGGAAATGAATGACCCCGCCACTGCCCAGAAAGGCGCTCAGTCTCAGGGAGGCTGAGACCTGGGCTCTGTGGGTGGTAGAGAGGAGGCACAAGGAGGAGCGGGCCAGTGTCCTGGGGAAGGACGGGTGGGCCGGCCTTTCTAGAAGGAAACCTGGAGTCCCCACCCGGGACCTCGAGGCCCTGGGAGCCTGGCCCTCACCCCTCTTCTGATAGCACCTCTCACTCACTCTCTATTCCGGCCACAGGGGCCTCCTGGCTGGGCCTCAGGTGCCCCTGGCATGCTCTGGCCTCTTGGCCTCAGCCCTGCAGCTCCCTCTGCCCCGGGTACTCCTCTGACCGCCCCTTGGCCGGCTCCGTCATCTCCCTCAGGGAGGCTGCTCCCAAGATGCCCCCTCAGGGAGGCTGCTCCTTCGCCCAGCACCCCCAAATGCCCTGTCCCTCCCCCTAGTCAGTTCCGCATTCCTGGCTTTATTTTTCTCCCTGGCCTGACAGGACACTTGCTGATTTGTGTAGACCCTGCTGTCTCCCCACAGCCAGGTTGGCCCTGTGGGGAGGGCCCTCTGTGGGGGCAGGGACTGTTTGGGTCACAGCTGTGCCTGGCACGATGCCTGATACACCTTATGCATCAGCAGATACACTTGAGGATGAACGCTCTGATGTTCCTGGTGGTCACCTCAACACTAAGCAATCCCAAAGCAGAGCGGGGAGCCCAGAGGATGCCGCACACATCCCCTTCCTCCTCCTGCCTGGCCTGGCCTGCCCCCACTAACTAGTCTCACCAGTCCCAGAATCGAGGGAACAGCAGAGTCCAGATGGGAAATAAGAGGGCCGCCCAGCAGGCCTGGCTAGCCCCTTCCCCTGTCCAGACGCCACACCACCTGGCCTCCTCCTGACCTAGGGAATCAATCCCACAGCACCCCTCAGAGCCAGGGCTAGCTTTCCACTGCCCTCTGCCCACAGTCAAGATCCTTCCTAGTCTCAACGCCCCTCTCCCTGGCCTGCCACCTGCTCCACCACACCTGGGAGGGTGCCGGTGACGAGCAGGGAGAGGAAGCCTTGGCCTGGCCCCAGGGACCACCGGCAAGAGCTGGGCTCCCCACAACAGCCTTCATATGCCAGTCTTGCCCTGGGATCTCCTTGAGGACTGAGACCCGCCACTCATCCCAGATCCCCCAGGCCCGGCCCAAGGCAGCGGTAAAGCAGGAGTGTGCAGTGCACACTCAAGGTGAAATGCAGCCCTGGTCCTGAGAGAGGTCGGTGGCCTGCCCCAGACTCTGTCCCCAAGCCGAGATCCCTGTGATGATAGTCCCCCCTTGCCTCTCTCCCAGTCCTGCTGGGCCCATTGTGGGTGCCCTTGGGCAAGGGGGCCCCCTCTTAAGGCCTGGTGCCTCAGGGCTAACACAGATAACTACAGCCTCTGCTCCTGGGTTGTGAGGACCAAATGAGGCAAAACACACACTGCACAATACCCCAAGACCAATGAGGGAGCCCGCATTCCCTTCATGCTTCACTGTGAACCCCCACCCCATTGGGCAGCACCCACCTCCATCGTGTACGTCTTGCCGGCGCCCGTCTGGCCGTACGCAAAGATGCAGACATTGAAGCCATCAATGCAAGAGGTGACCAGGGCCTGCACCTCCTGGAACACCTGGGAGGGTGGTGGGAGGGAGGCTGGTGGGGGGGCTTCCAGGGCCGCTGGGACCACCAGCTACAAGTCCAGCCACCTCCCCAACCATGCTGTCCTTCAGCAACACCACATCACGTGTTACTGCAGTCACTCAGCTCACAATGATTCGTGACTCATGAGTCATACATTAGACAGTAGTGGGCAACCGGGCCGCCCAAAGACTGCAGGGAAGACAGGCCAGTGCCTGCTGCCCTTCCCCCAGCTCCTCCTGCTCTCTCTCAAAGAGTGCTCAGCACAAGGAAGGTGGAGGCCAGCACATGCCTGGGGCCTCTCTGGCCTGGGCCTGCCTGCCAGCCATCAGAGGATGGGGGCAAAGATAGAACCAGACATGAGAACAGGAGGGCACAGGCCTGGCAGGGCTGGCAGGTTGGTCTGGGCAGAGATAAGGGAAGAGTGGACACTGAGAACACATGGTTCTCATACAGCCTCAGGGGGTTGGGGGATTCCTAGGAAGGCCCAGGGGACTGATACAGGAGGGTATTCCCGGATGGGGAAGATGGGCAGGGTCATGAAGATGGATGGGGCCATGTGGGTGGCCATGGGGGTGGGAGGGGCTGTGATGGTGGGAGGGGCCTGAAAGTGGGTGAGGCCACATGGTGGGAAGATGGGAGGGGCCTGAGGGTGGGTGGGGCCATGCAGATGGGAGGAGCCACAGCATGAGGGTGGGATGGGCTGTGATGGTAGGAGGGGCCTTGGGAGTGGGCAGGGCCATGCAGTGGAAGGGGCCACCTGAATGGGAGGACCCAAAGCCATGGTGGTGGGAGGGGCTGTGGGTGAGGCCATGTGGTGGAAGGGGCTGTGGATATAGGAGGGGCCACATGGTGGGAGGAGCCACAGCTGAGAGAATGGAATGAGTTACGATAGTGGGAAGGGCCTCAAGGGTGGGCGGGGCCACACGGTAGAAGGGGCCTTGGGGACGGGAGGAACCACAGCCATGGGAGGGGATGGGCTGTGTCTGGATCTCTCCTTCCTAAGGAGGCTTTCAAGGGCTTCAGTCTTAACTTCCCACCCTCTTCTGTCCTCCAGAGGAAGGAGCAGGACCCTGGCTCCCCACTTCTGATTCCTGCACCCCCCACTCTTAACGCTTCTTCCTGCCCAGCGCCCCCGCTCCCTGTGAGTCCATCTTTCCCTCTCTCCCTTGCTTTCCCTTTCCCGCATGGGGCCACACTCACGTCCTGCTGCGAGGCCTGTGGGGAGAAGACCTTGTCCAGCTCGAAGGACACAGGCTTGCCCTTGTGCAGCAGGTGGATGATGGAGTCGTCGTCGGCATCGAAAGTCACAGCATTGGTGGCCTCAGGTCCTTCCCCATCCTCTTTGGTGACTGGCCGGACACGAGCAATCACTCGGATGTTCCCTGGATTGGTTGGGGATGGGGAAATGGGTCCAGGCCATGTCAAGACCAGTCTCCATTCTGGTCCACTGGTGTCCCAGGCAGACTAGTTGACCTAGGAGTCCCCTGACTTTTAAGCACAGCCCCCTAGGGGAAGGGGGCCCACAAAGCTGTTATCCGTCATTCACACTATAGTATGAATTCACTTAGTACATTTCTTCTTGAACAGACCAGTTGACTGGGGTGGAGCTCTGCCTTGGGGATGGGGAGGAAAGGTCAGTTGTGGGGCTCAAGCACTGCACCCCGTCAGGGTGAGACACCAGAACGGACACTCTTTTTCTCCCTGGACTTCAGTTTCTTCATCCAGACAATGAGGGGCTTGGGCCCCAATGAGCAAAGAGCCTTGTCCTGAATGGCAGGACAGGGCTTAGGAATCAGATGGGCATATAGGCCCAGGCAGCAGGTGATGACTGGTGGTGTATCTGAGGGCCCAGATAGTGGGGCAGCCACAGGGGTATCTGGCAGCATGAGCTGGTCATGCCGCCATCTACTTCCAGCCTTTGTTGGGATCCCTGTGCTCTTGGAATGAAGAGGAAACACCCCCCACTGCCAGCATGGCCCACCTGCCCTCCCTTTTCACCCATCCGTTCCAGCTCACTGTCCAGGTCTCAGCTCTAACTTTGCCTTCTCTGGGAAGCCCCTCAACACACTTGCCTGTCCCATACCCAGGAAAGCCTGTCTCAGCCCTGGAAGGGGGCAGGGTTGGGGTTCCCTGACAATCATCATTGTTGATTCTCACACTAAAGTGTGCACCGGGAGGCAGTCTGTGGGGCCACGACCATAGCCTCGGGCTGGAACGGCACCTGGCACAGAGCAGGCACTCTAGAGCTCCATGCAGTGAATGGTGGAGTCTCAAGCTTGACCAGGCCCCAGGTCAGAATAAGCGGCTTTCCAGCTGCCACCAACCCAATGCTGCAACACCACACCCCTCGGCTACCCAGGGCCTGGGGAGTCACCTGCCCAGGCACTGGGGCCAGGGCTTCTGAGCTGGACAGACTCAAGTTCAAATCCAAGGCAGACCATTTAATATCCATGTGGCTTTGAGCAAGTTCCCTGCCTTCTCTGTGCCTCTGTTTCCTTATCTACAGAGATAGGATTAGAATAGTGCCTCAATGGTGGGGTGAGCTCCAAGCATGACTGCCAAGCCAGGTCGAGGACCCCGAGGCCAGCGCCCACCCCCAGCCCTCCTGCAGTCACCTTTCAGCCGCACGAGCTCATTGTGGCACTTCTTACGCAGCTGCAGCTCGCGGCGGTACTTGCGCAGCAGCTCCTGGTTGTTGCTGTTGACCTCCTCGATGGCCTGGCCTATCTGGTGGGGGGTGCACACCACTGTCAGGGGGACGGCTCCATCAGCCTTACCGGCCTGACTGCCCACCCCTGAGGGGTGCTCACTGCCTCCTGCCCCTGGCTGAGTACCTGACACACGCTGTCACATGTCAGACTGTCCCAATCACCCCTCTGGGTAGGTACTGCTACCATCCCCATTTTACAGATGATGAAACTGAGCCGCAGACACTAAGCTGACAGCTTGAGGCTGCTCTGCTAATAAGCATAGAGCCAGGACTCAGCCCTCCACACCACAGCACTAGTGCTTGACTATGTGATTCAGCCAGACTCAAATTCCAACTCTGCCCCTGAGTAGCTGGGGACCTGAGACCACTGGCTCAATGTCTTTAAGCCTCAATTTTCTCATCTGGAAAGCAGGGATAATACCATCTAACTCATGAATCTGTAAAGATCTCCCAGTTACATTTCACAGGTAGAAAAAAGATGCAAAATCACACATACAGTATCACACTGTACACAAATCACACATCCCCTTTCTGGAGTAGAAGGGAAGTGTATACAGTGTATACAGTCTTCCCTTAGTAACCGTGGAGGATACAAAAATCCACAGATGCTCAAGCCCCTGATATAAAATGATATAGTGTTTGCCTATAACCTACACACATCCTCCCATATACTTTATTTTTTTTGAGACAGGGTCTTGCTCTGTTGCCCAGGCTGGAAGTGCAATCACAGCTCCATGGATGTGGTGGAAACTCATTGTGAGTGGTGTTATCTTGGCTCACTGCAGCCTTGACCTCCCAGACCCAAGCAATCCTCCCACCTCAGCCTCCCGAGTAGCTGGGACTACAGGTGCAGGCAACCACACTCAGCTAGTTTTTTTATATTTTTTTGTAGAGATGGGGTCCCACTATGTTGCCGAAGCTGGTCTTGAACTCCTGGGCTCAAGTGCTCCTCCTGCCTCAGCCTCCCAAAGTGTTGGGATTACAGGTGTGAGCCACTGTGCCCAGCCCCTCCCATGTACTTTAAATCATCTCCAGGTTACTTATAATATCTAATACAATGAAAATGCTGGGTAGGGGCTGGGTGCAGTGGCTCATGCCGGTAATGCCAGCACTTTGGGAGGCGGAGGTGGGCGGATCACCTGAGGTCAGGAGTTCAAAACCAGCCTGGCCAACATGGTGAAGCCCAGCCTCTATTAAAAATACAAAACAAACAAACAAACAAACAAAACTAGCCCGGCATGGTGGCACACGCCTGTAATCCCAGCTATCCAGGAGGCTGAGGCAGGAGGGTCGCTTGAACCCGGGAGGTGGGGGTTGCAGTAAGCTGAGATCCCGCCATTGCACTCCAGCCTGGGCAACAAGAGTGAAACACTGTCTCAAAAACAAAAAAATGCTGTGTAAATAGTTGTTATATGTTATTTTTTATTTCTATTATTTCTAATTGTTGTACTGTTAATTTTTTTCAACTATTTTTGATCTGTGGTTGTTTGAATCTGGGAATGCAGAACCTGTGGATGGGGGAAGGGCCTACCATATATTCTCACACACACACACACACACACACACACGCACAATTGGCTTAAGCATGCTCAGAACAGTCGGGGGAAATGCTGAGAGGCCACATTGGAAGAGTTGGGTGGGTGGCAGAGAGGCCTTTCCTATTCACCTGATGCCCTGCTATGGAGTTTGACTTTTCACCACGTCCATGTATTACTGATATAGTCTTTTAAAGGAGAAGAACTATATTCTGTTCCCAAAATATATTAGTCTTTGCAAAGCTATCATACAAATTCAAGGAGCTAACGGCTATAAACAGCTCGACATGTAGGAGGCACTTAAGAGGCACTGGTTATTCTCATATGTACAAGTACAGCTTGAAAGAATTAAGTTAAACCTAACAGAGGTAAGACTGTATCGGCCAGTCATGGTGGCTCACACCAATAATCTCAGCACTGCGGGAGGCCAAGGCAGGAGGACTGCTTGAAGCCAGGAGTTCAAGACCAGCCTCGGCAACATAATGAACCCTGTCTCTAATAAATAATTTTTTTAAAAAATACGTATGTAGCATGTTTTTTGTTTGTTTTTGAGATAAAGTCTCGCTGTCACACAGGCTGAAGTGCAGTGGCATGATCTTGGTTCACCGCAACCTCCGCCTTCTGGGTTCAAGTGATTCTCCTGCCTCAGCCTCCCGAGTAGCTGGAATTAACAGGCACCTGCCACCCATGCCCAGCTAATTTTTGTAATTTTAGTAGAGACGAAGTTTCGCCTTGTTGGCCAGGCTGGTCTCAAACTCCTGACCTCAAGTGATCCGCCTGCCTCGGCCTCCCAAAGTGTTGGAATTACAGGTGTGAGCCACCGCGCCTGGCCTGCATGTTTGAAATATGAAGTTATCTGTAACATGTTTGGTTTAAAGAATCATAGTAAGACAAATAGCCGAATGCCTGCCCTGAGCAGTCTAGTTTCAAACAGGGCCTATAAGGGCAGCAGTAAGTGTCATGGGGGGTGGGGCAGGGGCTGCTGTCTGAGCGGCTTTGTCTGAGCTTTGGAGGGACGCCCTGAGTGGATGTCGTGCCTCTCCCAGTGCACCCCCTTAGCCTGGACCCTCCCACCCACTGCCCTCGCTCACCTCGGCCTTGACACTCCTGAGGGCCTCCTGCAGCAGCAGTGGGAAGCCGCGCACCTGCCGCTTGAGCCCATTGTAGTCGTTGGTGAGGGTCCGCAGTGCCGGCTGCAAGGTCAGCAAGTTGGTCCGGACGCCTATGGGGACACTCGGGCTGTGAGGCGGGAGGGGATGAGGGGCCGCGGCGTGGGGCAGACAGGGCCCAGCTGGTCAGCTCACCTGCTAGATTCTCGTGCACAGCCTTCATCTCCACCTGGGCTCTGGCAAAGGCCTCCTCAATGGCCCGGTTCTTGTCCTCTTCCAGGGACTGCATCTCCTCCAGCATCTGCCCATGGGCCCGCTCCAGCTCTGACTCGTACATGGCAATCTGGCCAGACCAGGAAAAGGCTCAGTACCTCGAGGTGCGGGAGAGAGAGGGGCAGGTGCCACACCGAGAAAGAAACTGGTCACCTCCCATGCACATGAACACACATGCACACACACATGTGCACACCCAGAGGGGCAGAATGGCCTTGTCTCCCTCCCCCTACAGGGCTGTGAGCTCTGGGCATTGGCTCCAACACCAACCCAGTGCTGAGCACACATCAGGTGCCCAAGCCACGTGCCCTCAGGAAGGTAGGAGAGGGCCTCTGTGATGACAGTGACAAGTGCCATGTAGAGCTTACTGAGCACAGCCTGTGTGCTGGGCCGTGGGCACAAAGCTTCTTGGGATGACGTTCCTGAGTCCCCACTGTGAGGTGGGTTCTGGGACCAGATCGTGTTATAATAGATGAGGAAAAGGAAACCAGACAAAACTTGCCCTGGGTCCCGTGGCCATCGGGGAGAGGAGGGACTGGACCCCGTGTCTGTGGGGTACCCAAATGTTTAACCGATGCATTGGCCCAAGGGCCTGCCTCTGGCTTCCTGGCTGGGCATGTGCCCCCACACAGCCTGGGTACCTGCGCCCGGAGCCGCGCGGTCAGCTGGTGTGAGCTCTGCAGCTGCTGTTCCATCTCCTTCAGCACCTGCCTCTGCATAGCCACCTGCTCCTGCAGGTGCTGGTTCCGGGCCTGGGACTCGCTGAGGGCCTGCTTGGTCTTGGACGACTCCACCTCCACTGTCTTGATGACATACTGCAGGGTGAGGGAGGAATGGCACGTGGAGCCAGCGGGCACCGTACCTCACCCAAGAGCCTGAGACGCAGCAGGCCAGGGGAAGGAACTCTCGGGAACATCCCACTCAGAAACCAGAAAAAAACTAGAGGAGCCTTGAGGTCCTGGCTTTCCAGAAAGCTGGGGGGGTCTCCTGGAACCTTCTCAGCTTAACAAGAGGCTACTATGAGCCTGGCTGGGGCCCCATCCTGGGTACAGACAAGAAAGGCAAAAAGACGAGGGCAGAATCCAGGGGCTGCGCTGCATCTGTGCCTGGCACCTCAGCTGTTGGATACCTACTCGGTGCCTGGCCCTGGATACAGGAAGGGGAAGGGGCAGGACCAAGCACAGAACTGGAATGATTCTTCCACCCACACACACCTACCTATTCACCAGGACAAGCCCCCCTTATGGGCTAGCCCTGCCCCAGGTGCCAGGGGCCTTGGGCTGAGGCACAGATCAGGTGGGCCAGGGCTCACCTTGACAGGTGGGGACTGGGCCCGCAGGCTGGCAATGGTCTCGTGGCTGTCACGCAGGCGCCGACTAAGCCGCTCCTCCTCCTGTGCCTTCTCAGCCAGGCAGTCCTTGAGTCGCAGCTCCACCTCAGCCAGCCGGTCGGTCTTCTGCTGCACCTCTAGGTTCAGCTCTGACAGCATGCCTTTGCTTTCCGCCATCTCCAGCTGCAGCTGGGACAGCTTGTCACGGAGCTGGGCGCTCTCCTGCAGCCATTGGGAGGCACTGGATGAGTGCAAGGGACAGGCTCACTGTGAGGAGCTGGGGTGGCCCTCCAGGACCAGCATGGGGACCACGGCCATTCTGCTCACCTGGCTGTGCTCACAACCTGGGCAGGGACCTGCTGGCTTTGTGCGCAGCTCTTGCAGCTCGGCCTCACAGCGCCGCATCTCCTGCCTCAGTCGCTCATTCTCCACCATCAGCAGGTCCCGGTGCTTCTCCAAGTCGGTGCCCCCCTGCAGAGAGCCAGGGCCGAGGGGGCGCATGTGGCGAGGGCAGATGACGGGGGAAAGAAGAGAGGCCCGCGGAGATGGCACAAGGGCAGGGAAGAGAGGAGAGGTGTGGAGAAAGGCAGAGGGAAGGAGAAAAAGAAAAAGAAAAAGGCAAGGGCAAGAGAGGAGGGAACAAGCTCAAGAGAGAAACCAAGAGAAAGACAGTGGAGGGCAGAGTTGAGAAGGGTGGTGACCCAGAGCCTGCTCTCCCTGCTGCCCCCACCCTATTCTGAGTGTGAAAGTCACAAGGAGAGACATATTTATACCAGGGTTCACACTCCCGTTTAATGTCAGCAACAGAGAAGGAACCTCCCACCCCCTGGAGCCACAAGGCCTCTGAGGGTACTAGGAGGTGGGGATAAGGCTCTCGGTGTGTTTCTGAGACAGGGTGGGATATGCGGGCTCAGGAGAGAGAGGGTCGCACCCCTGCCCCTGGCAGGGCCCATCTGCACAAGGCAGGCCAGGCCCTGCGCTACCCCAGGACAGCCTTGTGGCCTCACCAGCTCAGATCGCAGTCGGCTCACTTCCTGGGCCTGGCTAATGAGCTTCTCCTTCAGGTGTTCTACCTGTGGGCACAGAGTCAGGAGCAAGGTGAGCCTCAGTCCTCAGCTCCAGCCTACACCCAGGCCTCCTGCCCAGCACCAGGGATGACTGATGTGGCTGTGGCTTCTTCTAAGGCTGTGGCCTTAGGTTCCCCTATGTTCAAGCATCCCATCACACCTGGGACTTCAGGTGAGAGAAACCTGGGCTGGTGCTGACAGCCTCCCGCACCCTCTCCCTCCACAGGACAGAGCCAACCCCAGCTCTTCAGGAAAGCCCAGAGGGCAAGTGCAACCAAGGCCACCCCGATGCCCCCTGGGCCCACCCAACGGCAGCCCACCCTCAGGACCCCTCACTACACGAGCCCCTCCCAAAGTCCTGTACCTGCCTGTGTCTATGTAATTTTATGTTCTCTCTCTTTAAAAGGGCCCCCAGATGGTACATACTCCAGGTCCTCCGAGCCCTAGATCCACCCTGGCCCAGCCCCCAGAATTTTCCACTTGGGGTGGTCTCTGGCAAGTCAGCCTGTGGAGATGGGTCTGCCAGTGGTCAGGGCACACTCAGAACCTGTGTCCACCCCTGCTCCCAATCTGCCTTGCAGGAAAGCTGTGGCAGCCAAGGCTCTTATAGGGGGAAGGGGGTGTGCACCCCATGAGGAAGCCACGGTTACCTAGCTTATCCGGACCCCAGAAGAGGGGACACCATCATGGTGCCAGTCCCATGAGGGCAGATCCCAGGGGAGCAACCCTTCCCCGGCGCTGTCCTCCAGCCACCCATCCCCTCCCAAGGCCCTAGACCCTGGTCTCACATCAGCCCACCCCCAGAAACCTCTCTCAGGAAACAATTCACAGACACAGACTTTGGCTCCAGCTTCCGTCAGGGCATGTTTAGTACTTTTCTTGCAGAACGTCCTGTGGTGAGCAACCCCCACCTCGGGAAAGGTGCGCTAAGAGCCAGATTCCTGTGTGGTGGTTTAGGAGGTTTACACAGCTGGGTTCTCATTACTAAATGATAGGCAACAACGTCCACTGATTACAGGGGACAGCCAGGTAAGGCAGGTGAGGGGCTGTGCAGGGCTTGGCTCCCAAGAACCCTTTAAGAAGGCGGCCACCACGTACTCTCCTCGGACGACAGGAGGTGAGAACGCACACCCAGCATCGCCAAAATTCTCATCTTTCAAGAGAGGCCTAGGCCAGCCTGAGCAACACAGCAAGACCCCATCTCTACAAAAAGTTTCAAAACTCAGCCGAGTGCACCAGTGCACGCTTATAATCCCAGCTGTAATCCGGGGGGTTAGGTGGGAGATCACCTGAGCCCAGGAGTTTGAAGCTGCAGTAAGCTATGATAGCATCACTGTACCCCAGGGTGACAGAGCGAGGCTGTCTAAAAAAAATAAAATAAAAATAGAGGCTTAGAGTCCGCCCCCTTAGCACTCAGCAGCATGCATCAGCCATAGTTAAGACAGGCCGGACATTTGGATTTTGGGGGTGTGTGTAAAATCTCCCTACTTTACATGGTTGAGATGTCATCAAACAAGTCTGTGTCATCAAACAAGGTAGTGTTCGGCCTCGGAGGTCCCTGTCTCCCAGGGTGGGAGAGAACGGCTGACTCACAGCAGCTAGGCCAGCTCTGAGTGGTCAGGGAGGAAGTGGACCAAGGGATCCACCCCCACCTCTGAGGAAAAGGCCAGGGAGCTGGCACTGCCTGCTCTTGGTGGGGCAGGGGGATTCCAAGATGCAAGACCCAGGTGAAAGGCTGGGGGCCCAGCCAGGCCTCCTGGGGGACAAGCAGGTGACCCAAGGGCCAGACCCCTGGAGGTCAGCTCTGCCGCCACCTGCACAAACACATTCCTTCCTAGCAACACGCTGGGCCACGGGCCAGGCAGGGAGGCAGAGCTTGTGCCACTTCTCTGCCCGCTCAGTGCCTGATGAGAGGACGGCTCAAGTCCTTTGGCCCCTGGGTGGGAGTAGGGACAGTTTGCATGAGGCAGCCTTTCTGCTTTCGTCCTAAAATTGAGAATACCCTGAATAAGCACCCTTAGAGGAGTGGGCAGGTGAATTACAATGTGTATATATAGTACATAGACTATTCTGTCATCATTACATTCATGTTTATCAGGAGTTTTAAATGTCATGGGGAAAGGCTCATCAACATATTAAGTCCAAGAAACATCTGAAAAACCATTAAGTGTACAGCACTAAAAAGTGGGGGTCTCTGGGCTGTGGAATTATAGTTGACAAAATCTTTATGCTTTTCAGTAATTTTTTTTTTTCTTTTTGAGACAGGGTCTCACTCTGTCACCCAGGCTGGAGTGCAGTGCCTCGATCTAGGCTCACTGCAGCCTAGACCTCCTGGACTCAAGCCATCCTCCCATCTCAGCCTCCCGAGTAGCTGGGACTACAAGCACATACCATCACGCCCGGCTAATTTTTTTTTTTTTTTTAATGTATAGAAGGGTCTTGCCATTTTGCCCAAGCTGGCCTTGAATTCCTGGCCTCAAGCAGTCTTCCCGCCTCAGCCTCCCAAAGTGCTGGGATTACCGTTGTGAGCCCCTGCGCCCGGCCAGTAATTTTTCAGTCTCAAAGAATACGTAATTCCTACTCTCCCTACCCTGACATAAGTGAACTGACTTCCTCTTCAAAAGGTTGAAGTCTCCTTCCACGCCCCCTCCCTCCCCAGAAAGGCTGCTGCCTCAGCATGGGGCTGGGCGCACTAACCTTGATCATCTCCACTGCCGCCCCTGCCAGGCACTCAGACCCTGATGCAGGGAGAGTGGGGTTTGCCAGTGTTTGCTGGGGGTGGGAGGCGGGATACCCACCAGCCACCTGCCTGCGGCCCAGGGTTCTGTTCTGTCCTTGCATCACAATGGGAACCTGGGGGCTCCTGGGCTCTGTCCAGAATCTCAGAGGGGCACCCAAAAGGAAGTGGCCGCAACCGCAACCAGGGCAGGCTGGGGAGCATGGGGGATGGTGAGGGAGTTGAGGAAGGGGCTCTAAAGGCCCCTTTGTTCAGAGGTGTCAGACACTAGGTCATCTCTGGCTTCTTGAGGGCAGCAAAGCAGGGGGAATGTGACTGAGACGCAGCAGACTGGCACCACGAGCACTCTGGCCAAGGCACCAGTGGCCTGCTCCGTGGCAGGTGGTTGGCCAGCTCTACTGGGGGCTAGGTCTCGGGCTTGTAGGGAAGATGTCTGCTTTCTCCTGCACTTGAAGGCAGGCAATCTCTCAGAGTTAGGGAAAACAGGCAAGAAGTCAGAGAGAAACGGAGGCACCTGGGGAAAGCGGATGGAAGATGGCCTGGGAGCAGTGAGAGCCAAGAGCAGGCAGGGCCTTCCTCAGGGAAGACTGAGGGCCCTTCACACACTCACCGCAGCTTCCAGCCAGCAAGGGCCGTCCATGTCTCTAAGCCCAACAGGGGAGGGTCCCGAGTGCCACCCTGGGCCCGATACATACTTGTGGCCACAAAGGGGCAGCAGGCACATGCCTGAGCCCAAGACACAGGACGGAGGAGAAAGCAGACTCCCCACTAGGCGGCTGAAACGGTCCCAGGACAGCATGGACGTCAATCCAGGGCTGAGGACGGACCAGGCTGGGGCTGTGCGACACTCCTCCCGGGCCCAGGCTCCTCATCAGCCAGAGCAACTGAATCACGGGCCTGCTGCAGGGGGCGTCACCCTGCCTGCTCAAGGGGAAGAGGGAGCTGGGCCTGTCTGCCGGCTTGACACCACCTGCATTTACACTTCACAGGCAGAAGCGGCTCGACCAAGGGTGGGGCCAGCCAGCCCAGGTCTTTGTGTTTTCTCAGCTGTCTGCTTCCAAGGCGGCCTCTTACCATCACAGAAAGAAAACCTGCTGGTTACCTCCTTACCTCCCACCAAGCCCAGTCAACGATCATCAGCTGTCTGCTGAGGAAAAGCGGGCTCTCCCAGGCTGAAGCTGCTGAGCTGGGAAGGCCAGAGGGTCTGGGATCCAGACAACCTCAAGGAAACTCAGCCCAGAGGCCAGCGGGGCGGCCCTGGGAGCACACCCTGTGGAGCCCACAGAAGGCCTGATCCTGGCTGTATGACCACCGGCCAGGCCTATCTGTCCCCTGTCCACGCCACCCTGCCTCTGTTGCCAAGTCTTCACCTCTGGGTCCTTCCGCCACTGATGGGCAGTAATAGCAGCTGACAATTCGAATTCTAAAGCCAGGCTGCCCAGGTTCTAATCCAGACATCCCCTTACCTGCTGGGTAACCTTGGACAAGTCTCTTAAGTTCTCTATGTCTCTTAGTTTCCTTATTTGTATAATGAGGCTACCTCATGGAAGCTGTCTCGAGGATTAAACGAGATGATATATGCGAAGGCAGGGATTTTTGTCTGTTGTGTTCAGCACTGTACTCCCAGTGCCTGGAACAGTGCCTGGTACACAGTAGGTGTTCAGTAAGTACCTGTAGGAAGAATGCTGAATGCATGAGGGGCCAGCCAGAGCAGAACTTGTGGATGAGGTTGGTAAGCAGAGACAGAAAGGGTGGTGGGGCTGGAGCGTGCTAAAGGATGGTCACCTCCACCAAAGGCAGGAGCTGCCACTAGACCTCAAGCGGTGGGTGCCATGTGGGAATGTCAGCTCAGAGGTGCCACATCTTCCAATATTTTATGACAAAAAGGAAGTCTAGAGTTTTATGTGAATTTAATTAAGATTTGAATGTTGGAATTAATTTGATTTTAAAAGCAGGGCAATTAGAACTAATAAATTCAGCAAAGTTGAAGGATACAAAATGAACACACAAAAATCGGTTACATTTCTACAACTAACAATAAACAATCCAAAAAGGAAATTAAGAAAATAATTCCATTTACAATAGCATCAAAAAGAATAAAGTACCGAGGAATAAACTTAACAAAGGTTAAATATTGTATGCTAAAAACTACAAGATATTGGTGAAAGAAATTAAAGATGACACCAATAAATGGAAAGACATTCCATGTTCATGGATTAGAAGATTTAATATTGATAAGGTGTCAGTACTACCCAAAGTGATCTACAGATTCAATGCAATGCCTAACAAAATCCCAATGACATTTTCTAAAGAAATAGAAAAATCCATATCAAGGGACACCACATAGCTAAAACAGTCTTGAAAGACTGAAGGTCTCACACTTCCTGATTTCAAAACTCACTAAAAAGCTACAGCAATTGGCCAGGCGCGGTGGCTCATGCCTGTAATCCCAGCACTTTGGGAGGCCGAGGCAGGCGGATCACCTGAGGTCAGAAGTTTGAGGCCACCCTGGCCAACGTGACGAAACCCCATCTCTACTAAAAATACAAAAATTAGCCGGGCCTCATGGCAGGCGCCTGTAATCCCAGCTACTCAGGAGGCTGAGGCAGGAGAATCGCTTGAACCCGAGAGGCAGAGGTCGCAGTGAGCTGAGATTGCACCACTGCACTCCCGCCTGGGCAGCAGAGCAAGACTCCATCTCAAATAAAAAAAAAATTAAAAAAAAAAAAGCTACAGCAATCAAAGCAGTGTGGTACTGACATTAAAACAGACATAAAGAGCAATGGAATGGAATACAGAGTCCAGAAATAAACCCTCGCATATATGGTTAAATGATTTTTGACAAGGTTGCCAAGATCATTTAATGTGGGAAAGGATAATCTTTTCAACAAATGGTGCTGAGAAAACTGGATATCCACAGGCAAAAGAATGGAGTTGGATCCTTACCTTATACCATATACAAAAATTAACTCAAAATAGATCAAAGAGGGCCAGGCGTGGTGTAATCCCAGCACTTTGGGAGGCCAAGGTAGGAGGAGTGCTCGAGCCCAGGAGTTCAAGACCAGCCTGGGCAACATAGGGAAACCCTGTCTCTACAACAAGTAACCAAAATTAGCTGGGCACAGTGGCACACGCCTGTGGTCCCAGCTACTAGGGAGGCTGAGGCGGGCAGATCACTTGAGCCCAGGAGGCCAAGGCCACAGTGAGCCATGACTATACCACCACACTGCAGCCTGGGCAATACAGCAAGATCTTGTGTCAAAACAAAAAACAAAAAACCCCAAAGACCTAAATGTGAGAGCTAAAACTATAAAACTCTCAGAAGAAAATAGAGGAGAAAATGTCATGACATTAAATTTGGCAATGACTTCTTGGATATAACACCAAAAGCACAGGCAATAAAAGAAAAAATAGGTAAGTCAGACTTTATCAAAATTAAAAACTTTTGTATAACAAAGGACACTATCAACAGAGTGAAAAGGCAACACGTGGAAAATACTCGCAAATCATTTATCTGATAAGGAGTTATTATCCTGGATATATAAAGAACTATAACTCAACAACAACAAACCCAATTTAAGAATGAGCAAAGAACTTGAATAGCAATTTCTCCAGAGAAGACATACAAATAACTAAAACACACATGAAAAGATATTTAATATCACTGGCATTAGGGAAATGCAAATCAAAACCACTATGAGATACCACTGCACACCTATTAGGATGGCTGTTACAAAAATGAAAATAAGCAGGAGCGAGTCCCAGCTACTCCAGGAGGCTGAGGCACAAAGATTGCCTGAGGCCAGGAGTTCAGAGGCTACAGTGAGCTATGACCATGAACGGCCACTGCACTCTAGTCTGGGCAACATAGCGAGACCTCATCTCTACAAATAAATAAAGAAAATGAAAAACAAGTGCTGATAAGGATATGGAGAAACTGGAACCCGTGTGCACTGTTAGTGGGAATGTAAAATGGTGCGGCCACTATGGAAAACAGTATGATGGTTCCTCAAAAAATTAAAAATTGAACTATCATATGATCCAGCAATTCCATTTCTGGGTATATACCCAAAATAATTTAAAGGAGGGGTTCAAAGAGATACTTGTACACTCATGTTTATAGCAGCATTATTCACAGTAACCAAAAGGTGGAAGCAGCCCATGGATGGATGAATGGAAAAACAAAACAAACAAAACGTGGTATATCCATACAATGCAATATTACTCAGCCTTAAAAAGGAAGAAAATTCTGATGCATGCTACATAGATGAACTTTGAGGACATTATACTAAGTGAAATAAGCCAGTCACAGAAGGACAAATATTGGATGATTCCACTTACATGAGCAGTCAAACCCACGGAGACAGATGGCGAATGAGGAGTTACTCTTTAATGAGGCCCAAATTTCAGTAGCAGAAGATGAAAAGAGTTCTGGAGATGGATGGTGTATTAGTCAGTTTTCACACTGCTATAAAGAAATACCTGAGACTGGGTAATTTATAAAGAAAAGAGGTTTCATCAGGCATGGTGACTCACACCGGTAATCCCAGCACTTTGGGAGGCCGAGGCAGGTGGATCACTTGAGGTCAGGAGTCTGAGACCAGCCTGGCCAACATGGTGAAACCCTGTCTCTACTAAAAATACAAAAGCCGGGTGTGGTGGTGTACACCTGTAGTCCCAGCTATGCGGGAGCCGGAGACAGGAGAATCACTTGAACCCAGGAGGCGAAAGTTGCAGTGAGCTGAGATTGTGCCACTGTACTCCAGCCTGGGAGACAGAGACTCCATCTCAAAAAATAAAAATAAATAAATAAATAAATAAATAGATAGATAAATAAAAGAGGTTTAATTGACTCACAGTTCCACATGGCTGGGGAGGCCTCAGGAAACTTACAATCCTGGCAGAAGGAGGAGGAGACACAAAGCATGTCTTCTATGGCGGCAGGAGAGAGATAGTGAGCACATGAAGGGCAAACTGCCACTTTTAAACCATCAGACCTCATGAGAACTCACTATCACAAGAACTGCATGGAGGAAACCACCCCATGATCCGTTCACCTCTCACCAGGTCCCTCCCTTGACATGTGGGGATTACAATTCGAGATGAAATTTGGGTGGGGACACAGAGCCAAACTGTATCAGATGGTGATGGTTGTTGCACAATGAGAATGTACTGCTGCTGAACGTTACTCTCAAAAATGCTTCAGATCAGCCGGGCGCGGTGGCTCACGCCAATAATCCCAGCACTTTGGGAGGCTTAAGCAGGTGGATCACCTGAGGTCAGGAATTTAAGACCAGCCTGGCCAACATGGTGAAACCCCATCTCTACTAAAAATACAAAAATTAGCCAGGTGTGGTGGTGTGCACCTGTAGTCCCAGCTACTCAGGAGGCTGAAGTGGGAGAATTCCTTGAACTCAGGAGGCAGAGGTTGCAGTGAGCCGAGATCATGCCACTTCACTCCAGCCTGGGTGACAGAGCAAGATTCTCTCTCAAGAAAAAAAATATATATATATGCTTAAGATGGTAAATTTTATGTTACGTCTATTTTTAAAATGATTTAAAAAAAAAAAAAAGAAGAAGGCAGCAGCCAAACAAGACACATTTGAGGGCAAGATCTAGTTTTCCAGCCTGTGGTCTCTGAAGACAAATTTTTTTTTTTTTTTTTTTTTTTTTGAGATAGAGTCTTGCTCTGTCACCCAGGCTGGAGTGCAGTGGCGCAATCTTGGCTCACTGCAACCTCCACCTCCCGGGTTCAAGCAATTCTCCTGCCTCAGCCTCCCTAGTAGCTGGACTTACAGGTGTGCACCACCATGCCCGGCTAATTTTTGTATTTTTAGTAGAGACGGGGTTTCACCATGTTGGCCAGGCTGGTCTCGAACTCCTGACCTCAGAAGATCTGCCCACCTCGGCCTCCCAAAGTGCTGGGATTACAGGTGTGAGCCACCACACCTGGCCTGAAAACAATTTTTTAAGGTTCACTCTTGAGGTGCAGGGGGCAGGTAGGGAGTGCCGTGAGTGCCGGTCACAGTGGCTCATGCCTGTAATCCCAGCACTTTGGGAGGCTGAGGCAGTCAGATCTCTTGAGCCCAGGAGTTTGAGACGTGCCTGGGCAATATAGCAAGACTCCGTCTGGACAGAAAATACAAAAGTGGGCCAGGTGTGGTGGACACCTGTGGTCCTAGTTATTCAGGAGGCTTAGGTGGGAGGATGGCTTGAGCCCGGGAGGCAGGGGCTACAGTGAGCTGTGATCACGCCCCTGCACTCCAGCCTGGGTGACAGAGTGAGACCCTGCCTCAAAATAAAAAAGGAGTGTAGTGAGGTCTGGGCAGCATGTCACATTATTGGGAACTTCAGGAACCTTGAGGCCATGGCTCTAGGGACATTCACAAGAGGACAGGGGAACTCAAGGCCAGCAGGACATGGCCTGGGACTGTTGTTAACAACACTGGGGAGGGTCATCCCAACAGCCACAGCCTCCTGTGGTCACCAGACCAAGATGAGCAGCCTCTGTGGCCTGGGTCAGCTGGGTGCTCAAGGACTATGGGCCATTGGCCCAACTGCTCTCAGTAAATACAAACACCTCCTCCACCTGGCACAGCAATGAGGAGGTCTGAGAAGACTCCTGAGCTCCCACAAGCCCAGGTCCCAACAGTGATAATGGAGCCCCGTTAACTGAGTTGGCTTTGCCAGTAGGGCAGGGGGATTTCATAAGACCATTTTTCATCCCCTATTCCCCTGAGGTAGGTACTATTATTATCCCCATTTTACAGGAAGAAAAACTGAGCTCCTAAGAGGTTAAGCCTTGGTTAGGCAACTTACTTGAGGTCACCTGACCAGTAAGTGGTGGACCTAGGACCGGAACTCGCATCTGGCTGACCCTTGCAGAACCCTCACCCTTAACCATGGGGCCACACAGCCTTGCAGGAACAGCAGTGTGAGAAAGCAGCCGATCAGAAGCCAGTGGTGGATAGGGCTGGAAACACGGCACCATGGAAAACAAGGCAGAGTGTACCCCCTGGCGGGCTTTGCTTAGAGAGGCAAAGTTCAGAATTCCAGGAAAGTCCAAGTCTGAGTCAAACCACAGTGAGGCCAGCAGGAGACCAGGGCACACGGGAGTGACAGCTCACGATGCACCACACATTACAGTTGACCATCTTTTTTCTGTCCATTCTTACAACAGATCCACCCCCAAACTGCAATGCGACATTTGTGAGCCCCAGTTTAGAGACTGGGAAGTGAAGGCTCAGAGAGGAAGTGACTTCCTACAGCTGCCCAGCTGGCACATGGCACAGCCAGAATAGAATCCTGCTCACGGGATTCCAAATCCAAAACTCTCCCAGTAACAACAATGGTGGTGGCCACAGCAACACCAATGACTCACTAGGGATCATCTCATCACACCCTATTATTACATCCATCTCACAGATGAGGAAACTGACCTGCAGAGTGGTAATTAACTGTCCCAAGGTCACACAGCTAATAAGTAGTGCCAAAGTCAGGGTTTGAACCCAGCTCCAGGCCCATGTGGTTGGCCACATCTCCACAAGGTCGGGCCCTCCAGAGTATCTCAGAGACCTGGAGCTTCAGATACATCCCCTGAGAAATTTCCAGAAAAGAGCTGCAGTCAGAAGGTTCAAGGACAGGCTGGGCGCGGTGGCTCACGCCTGTAATCCCAGCACCTTGGGAGGCTGAGGCGGGTGGATCACCTGAGGTCAGGAGGTCGAGACCAGCCTGAACAACATGGTGAAACCCCGTCTCTACTGAAAAATACAAACAATTAGCCAGGCATGGTAGTGAATGCCTGTAATCCTAGCTCCTCAGGAGGCTGAAGTAGGAGAATCGATTGAACCTGGGAGGTGGAGATTGCAGTGAGCCGAGATTGCGCCATTGCATTCCAGCCTGGGCAACAAGAGCGAAACTCCATCTCAAAAAAGAAAAAGAAAAACAACATTCAAGGACAAAATGAGAACAAAGACCAGGAACCATTCTGAATTCCTAAGTCACTTGTGGGAGTGGGGTAAGCTCGGGGGTTCTCCTAAGAGAGGCTAGAGAGCTGGGGCTCAAATAACTAAAAAGGCTGGGATGTTTCCTCCTCACTTTCCCTTCTTAAAAAGTAAGTTGATTTTGTTAATTAAAGGAAAAAGTGTTTTCAAAAACCTCTTTAAAGTCACAAAAGGTTAGATACTACGATTTCACTTCTATGAAATGTTCAGAAAAGACAAATCCATAAAAACAGAAAGCAGATTAAAGGTTGCCAGGGGCTGTGGGGCAAGGAGCATGGGGAGTGACCATCAATAGGCCTGTTGGAGTGATGAAGACGTTTGGCAATGAGACACTGGTGATGGGTGCATTGCCACCTTAATATACTTACCACCGACCACCGAATTGTACACCTTCAAGGGGAGAATTTTATGGCATGTGAATTATATCTCCACAAAGCCCATTTTCTTTTCTTTTTTTTTTTTTTTTTGAGACAGAGTTTCACTCTTGTTGCCCAGGCTGGAGTGCAGTGGCGTGATCTCAGCTCACTGCAACCTTTCCCTCCCGGGTTCAAGCAATTCTCCTGCCTCAGCCTCCCAAGTAGTTAAGATTACAGGCGCCCGCCACCACACCCAGCTAATTTTTGTATTTTTAGTAGAGACGGGGTTTCACTATGTTGGCCAGGCTGGTCTTGAACTCCTGACCTCAGGCGATCCACTCACCTCTGCTTCCCAAAATGCTGGGATTACAGGTGTGAGCTACCACGCCCAGCCCACAAAGCCCTTTAAAAAACACTTATTTGCAAAATGAAGTGTCTGAAAAGCCTAACTGGGGAAGGTCAGGGAAGGAAGAGGGGCTGCTCAGCCTTTGCCTGAGGCCAGACACGTGTCCTTCAGGGTGGGCCCTGGACCCCCTGCAACCCCCCAAGGCGCTTGAGCCACACCTCTCCTACCACAAGTCCTTTTGCACTGGCTAGGCCTCAGCTCAGAGTACACTTTCCTCTGCTCTGTCCCAGAGCTCAGCTCAAGACGCCCAGGGACAAGCCCTCGAGGCCATGTGTGTGCCCATCCCAGTGAGCCCTTCCCACTTTCTGTGGGTGTGTGAAGCAAATGTCCGTTTTCCCCCAGGCAGAGCCTCCACCAGGTGGGAGCCTGCTGTCCACTGGGGTATCCCCCGTGCCCAGCTCAGTGCCAGTACAAAAGGGGCGTGCACAAATACCCAAGGGAGCAGGCGGGCATGCAGCAGGCAAGAGGATACAGGGCTAGCCTAGAGGAGTCCCCAGTTAGTGGGGAAGGCAGGCCCAGATAGTCAAGCTGTGGGGTAAGTGTGTAAGAGGAAGACACAAAGCATGAGGGGTGCCCCAAGGAGCCCCACCCGACTCAGCAAGGGGCAGGTGGGCAGGCCAGGCCATTCTTGAGAAGAGGACACACCTGTAAGCTGGAAGAAATGCTGCATTTCAAAAACGCGCACAATATGCTGCCCCCAGAACTGAGAGAACAAGTCACAGCACACATGATGCGCAACAGGCAGACGTCGGCATGTCCAGGCCATCTCTTTGCTGGCTCATGGGACACAGAAAGAACTTAGCTCTACCTGAAGGCCAGTCTGTCAACAGAGTGCTGGGCCCAGAGCTCAGAGGCCCAACAGCCAGGCCAGGGCACTGGATCAGAAGTGGGGATGATGTGGCAGACAGGCTTGGAGACCTTGGGGAAGTGGGCGAGGCTCAGATACAGCCACAGAGACAGACACTGAGGATGAGAGTGGGGAAAGAGGCCTGGGAGCCCACATGGAGATGCAGAAGGAGAAGAAAGTGACGCAGTCACACACACAGAAGAGGGCCGGTGGTCAGCCCCATGGGACGTGCAGCTCATGAGCCAATGGTACCCAAATGTCCTGCCCAGCCAATGAAGGAGACAACGCTGACCTGCATGAACCCTGGCTCTCCCTGGCTTCCAGAGGTTGAGAGATCCCTTCCCCAACATGCACTCAAACTAGCATCCACCTTTAACGAGAAATCAAAAGAACAAGAAACGTCATGCCAATCTCCTGTGGGGTGACCATCTGATGAGTTTTGTCCGCTCAGGCTGCCCAGTGCAGGGCACCGTCGAAGATGGGGTGGACTCAGGGTGGGAAGCACCCCGCACCTTCCTGCTCCACTCACATCTACGTCACCTCCTAGTGGGGAAGGTCCTGGCCCCTGGTAACCGCAAGGAGATGGGGCACAAGGAGGACCAGGATGGGAGGCCTCTGCAAGCTGAAAGAAATGCTGCATCTCAAAAGCGCATCCTCCAGGATGGGAGGCCTCTGACTCTCACCACCCTACCCTCCAGCGTATTCCAGGAAACGAGACCCCAGCTATCTCCTCTTACACCAGTAGCCTGGTGGGGTCAGGTGCCCAGGTGATGTCCTCTGACCTGCTCCATAGTGGGCAGTGGCCTCTGCCCATCCCAGCCTCCCCAGGTACCTGGTTCTGCAGCTGGGTGGACGTGGCCTGCTGGTCACTGTCGCGGAGGGCCAGCCTCTCCTGTAGGACCACCAGCTCCTCCTGTAGCTGGGTCTTCTCGTCCTGGAGCTGGGACATGGCCTCCACCATCCTAAGCACCATGGGGGCCGCACCTGGTGGCCCCGACAAGCTCGAGCACCTCCTGCTGCCAAAGAGACGCCCACCTACGAGCAAAGTAGTGGCTGATGAGAGGGCAGCAGAGGTCCCACGCTGGCAGAGGAGGGGGTCCATCACAGCAAGACAGACCACCAGGGATGATAGAGGTGCAAGCAGAGGGGGTGGGCAACCAGGTGAGGGCTGGGGCGGCAGCGGCATAGGTTAGCTGGGGCCTCCAGGGCCTGTCCCAGAAGAAGACACTTCCCCAGGCAGCATCTGGGGGATGAAATTACCTGGATCCGGACTTAAGAAAGCAATTTTCACTGAATACGGCTCTCAAAGCACATGTTCTAGGTCTGATGGGCCAGCCTCTCTCCATGGCCAGGCTGCAAGGAATCGCAGCTGGGAAAGACAAGGGATTCTCACCCTAGAAAACTCTATTCTTGTAGGAACGTTATTTCTTTAAGTCTCAAACCCTCTCAAGAGTACAGAAGAGTGGGGCTCCCCAGCCTGCCCCTGTGGCAAGTGGTCAACTGTGCAGAAAGAGGGGAGCCAGGGGAGCCGTGTGTATGTGCGAGGGACAGACAGACCAGGACACAAAGCCAGCCCCACACATGGAGCAAGAACTCAGCCAGCCGGCACCTAGCAAGGATGAAGCGCAGGAACCTCCCAGGCAAGAGAGAGGGAAACACCCGGCTGGGCAGAAGCTCTGCCTGAGTCCTCCTCCTCCAAAGGCCTCCCACTGTCCTGTCACCAGGAACGAGAGAGATGGACAGATGGATGAAGGACAAGAACACAGAATCAGGGCCCGTGACCTGTGCACGGGGCCTGGGATGCTTGTTACAGCTTGCTTCCAGGGCGCCAAGAATGGCCATGGTCTTTGCAGGTAGGGAGCAAAGAGTTTGGGGGAGAGAGAGAAGAATGGGGGGCTAGGGAGGAGGGATGGGGGGTTTGCCTCCTCCCCTCAGGGAGCACCAAATGGGATGTGACAGAGTGTGGCAGAGTGAAGGGTGAAGAGGGCATCTGCTGGCCAGAGAGCGCTGCCCTCCACCTCGGAGCCTGGGGCTCTAGGTGTTCCCACATTAGTCCCCAGGAAACCCAGCCCTCGGCAGGCTGGGGTTGGGGGGATCTTAGACTCTGGGAAGGAAGCCACTTGCACCTGAAGTCACACACCCCTCTGACAGCCTGGCCTGAGGGAAGCCAAACGGACTCAGCTGGACAGGGAAGTGGGGAGGGTGCAGCTTGCAGCTGGGCGGGGACATCTCAGCACAGCCCCAGGAGGAGGGGCAGATAGCTACAGGCCCCCCCAACCCGCTCTAGGAGAGCAGGAGGGGCACGCACAGGTCGGCTCTTCCCTCCTCCACCCGAGCACTCCAGAGAGCTGGAGCTGGGCATCCCCGGTTGGGTGGTGACCCTGGCTGTGTGGCCTGCACGTGATGCAGCATGTATGTCACACAGAGCTGGCCAAGCTCCTGCGATCTGTTCTAGAGTGAGTGAGATCAGACGGATGCTTCCAGGCCTGCACACGGGGCAGCATGAGCAGCACGTGACCAGCGTGGCCCTCAGCCCTTTGCAGGCTGCTGCAGTGAGGCAGGGAACACACTGGACTCCTGGCCCAAGAGCTGGTTCTGCCACTCGAGAGACGTGTGGGAGGGGCCCAGCAGGAGCTTCCTAGGAGAAATGGGGACAAGGAGCCTTGCCCGAAAGGAGCCCAGCACCATGGACATGCACAGGTGTGGGTGGCTGTTACACAACAGGCCATGGGGCAGAAATGAGGTCTCGGAGAGCCCAGCTCATCCAGAACACTGCTCACGCCACGGGATGTCACCCCTGCAGGGGCTCGCCGGGTCTCAGCACCGCGGCAGGGCAGTGGGAAGGGGGCCAGGAGAGTGCTTGTGGAGAAAAGATCTCCAAGAAGCTCATGGAGGCCCCAGAAAGGGGAGGACGGGAGGACAAGGTGAGATCAAAGGGGCCCTTGTGCTGGGGAGGCTGCACTCGGGGCTCAAAGATGCGATGCAGGCGTGGCCTGGACCCACTGACCAGGTAACCCTTGCTGTTCCCTGGGATCGGCCTTCCTCTTCTCAGCGCACAATCAGCAAGATGATGTCCCCTGCCCGAGGCTGGCCTGCCCACACTCAGCCAGACCCCAACCCCTGCCACTCGCTGCAGAGGAGTGCCTGGGCCCAGACAGGCCAGAACCCCAGAACAGGGCTCTGGGACAGCCTCAGAGAAGGGAGTGGCTCCTTCCACCACATGGCAAGTTCAGACACACAAGTTAACCTTTTGGCAATGGAGGAGGAAGATGACAGAAAGGCCAGCTCCTTTTTCCGTCACACGCTCTCTTCCTTCCGGGCTCCTAGAGGATGCTGCTTCCCCATTATCACCAGGCTCTCGCTTACTGCGAGGGACCCCCGGCATGGACCCGTAAGACTACAAGGGGGGCCTGTAGAATCTTCCAGAACCAGCCAGCCCTGGGCACCATGGCAGGCCCTGCCAGGGAAGAGCTGAGCCACTGGCTCCTTTGTCTCAGCCTCTGGCCAGGAGAATCAAAGTCCTGTCCTAGGAGCCTCCAGACCCTGGGGGCCCACGGATAGGAGGGAGAAGGCCGAGTCTCTCTCTGCAGGTGGTGGCGTCTGTGAGGCTGCCACCCTCGCCCTGCTTTAGACAGGCACTGGGAAAAAACAAAAAGCAGGGAAATTCAACCCCAGCCCACGCTGGCCAAGGACTCTTATCACTGGGTGGGGCCTGGATGCTGTGGGAGGCATGGGTGAGATGAAGGTTCTATACACACCACTGTCCCTGAATCCGGGAGAGGCAGGCTGGGGGATTGCAGCTGCGGATCAGGCAGCTGGAGTCTGTCTAGGCCACCTCCAGCCGGGGAGGACAGGGCATGGGGATATCACCAACTGCACAAGAGCCTCCCTCCTGCGCTGGCTTCACTGGGGAGTGCCGGTTTGGCGGGCAGGCCTGCTTTACCTGTATTCTCTACATTCATGGTGCCACCAGCTTCCCGGGCCTCCCGGGCCCGCCTGGGGGCCGGCGCCTGTCTCTTCCAAAGCTTCTCTTCTTTCGTCCCCTGACTCTGGCTCTTGCACCCCTTGTCCTGCAGGGCCTGCTGCCAAGACACAACCAGAATCCTCACGTGAAGGAGACTGTGCCAGGGAAGGACCCTCGAGCCAGAGGATGGTGTGCTCCCGGAGCTGGCAAGGATCCCAGGGCCCAGCGGGTCCAGTCCCTCCCTTTGTGGGTGGGTGGGGACGTTGAGGTCCAGGATCTGGAAGAGGATGTGCCAGGTCCCACAGCAAGACAGTGGCAGTGCCTTCTCCTGGCCTCCCTCAGCAGCTGGTCTTCTGCACCAGCAAAGAAGGTTCTTAGGTACTTCAAGTTCTCAGGTGAAGCTCATGCCATCCCTGCAGGGTCTGAGAGTCACCAGCACAGAGGCTGGCTTGCTTCCGGTGCGCACACCCCACAGGCAACCGTCCAGTCCCACCACACACGTATCAACCTCAGGGCAACTGCTCCCATGCCAGCTGCTGCCACCCCAGGCACACAGCCCCGCATCTCCAGATGGGACCCCCAGGACTGCCAAGGAGGCTGCGCAGGAGTCCGTCCGAGCAGGGGAAGGGCCACAGCCCTGCCTCCTTCACTCTCTCCGCCCCACAGGGCTATCGAGAGGCCATGGGAAGCCGTCTCCTCTTCCAGGGGGAACACAGGCAAAGGACTCGAGACAAAGAGAGCCAGTGCACAGGCACAGGGAGAGAGAGGGGAGGCACGAAGAGGTGTTTCATCCAGAGAACGTCACCTGCCGCTCACACAGAAAGATGCCCAAGGCAGGTGGCAGGGCCACATGCAAAGAGTGATCCCATTTGAGGATCATGAAAATAAAACAGGCATAGAGACAAATCTAGAGAACTATATAGACAGCGATCCTCTCTGGAAGATTCGGGGGGGATGGTGTAGTGGCTGAGAGTAGAAAGAAGCATCATTTCAATTTTGGGGGAATAAAAAGAAAGTTCACAACAGAGAGAACGTGAGAAGAGGGGAAAGGAGGTGGCCTTACATTTCATGTTGAACCTCTTTGGCATTTGAATTGTTAACCTTATAAACACTGACTGTGTTTCTTTGTTTTGTTTTGTTTTCTTTTCTTTTCTTTTTTTAAATAGAGTCTCACTCTGTTGCCCAGGCTGGAGTGCAGTGGTGTGATCTCGGCTCACTGCAATCTCTGCCTCCCAGGTTCAAGCGATTCTCCTGCCTCAGCCTCCCAAGTAGGTGGGGTTACAGATGTGCGCCATCACACCTGGCTAATTTTTGTATTTTTAATAGAGACAGGGTTTCACCACGTTGGCCAGGCTGGTCTCGAACTCCTGACTTCAAGTGATCCACCTGCCTCGACCTCTCAAAGTGCTGGGATTACAGGCATGAGCCACTGCGCCTGGCCATTTTTTTTTGCTTTCTTTTTCTTTCTTTCTTTCTTTCTTTCTTTTTTTTTTTTTTTTTTAAAGACAGAGTTTCACTCTGTGGCCCAGGCTGGAGGGCAATAGCACAATAGCAGCTCACTGCAACCTTGACTTCCTGGGCTCAAGCAATCCCCCTGCCTCAGCCTCCCAAGTAGCAGAGACTACAGGTACACACCACCATGACTGGCTGATTTTTGTATTTTTTGTGTAGAGATGGGGTTTTGCCATGTTTCCCAGGCTGGTCTCAAACTCCTGGGCTCAAGCGATCCTCCTGCCTCAGCCTCCCAAAGTGTCAGGACTACAAGCATGAGCCACCATGCCCAGCTTTTTTTTTTTTTTTTTTCATATCAACAGAGGTTATCTTGGAAGAGAGATAGCAAACAATTTCTGTGTGTCTTTGTGACCTTTAAATTCAAAACAAAAAAAATAAGCCACTCTTTTAAAAGTGCTCAGTCTAAAAAATAAACACGTAGTCTAGAGGCGGCAAGGCCCGTGTGTGAAGCCTGGCTCTTCCTCGGCTAAGCTGTGTGACGGTCGGCAAGTTGCTTACCTTCTTGAAGCTGCATTCTCCTCATTCTTAAAATAAAAATGGTAATAACAGGACCGCCTCATTGAGCTTGTGTGAAGAGTAACAGACAACTGCAGCCAAGTCCCCAGAAGGTGCCTGGCACATAGTGAGGGCTTGATATGAGGTAGCTATTATCAGGACATGATTCCTGTAATCTTCACATTTTTTTACTTTGACAATCAAAAAGCCAATACAGATAATTGAAAAGACAAGAAAAGTGACATCAGCAGGCTCCTTAGCCCAAAATTCACCCCCTCCCTCTCTCGACCCAGAGCTCCACTTGAGAAGGGCGGGTGGCAGACACACCTCTTATATTTAGGAATATTCCTGCTGGGCGCAGTGGCTCACACCTGTAATCCCAGCACTTTGAGAGGCTGAGGCGGGTGGATCACCTGAGGTTAGGACTTCGAGAGCAGCATGGCCAGCATGGTGAAACCCTGTCTCTACAAAAAATGGAAAAAAAATTAGCCGGGCGTGGTGCCTGTAATTGCAGATACTTGGGAAGCTGAGGCAGAAGAATCGCTTGAACCCAGGAGGTGGAGGTTGCAGTGCGCTGAGATTGCACCACTGTAATCCAGCCTGGGTGACAACTCAAGACTCTGTCTCAAAAAGAAAATAGAAAATTCCCTCCAACTTAATTTTGACCCCACCCTGTGACCAACTGCCACACCATCGCGAGCAGGCTTGTGAGCCATGGCGGCAAGGACAGCAGCTGGAAGTTTCCATTTGCCAGCCAAGGCAAAGGTTACGCTATTTCTGGCCTGTTGGCCAAGCCACAGGAAGGACAGACGGGGCCCTGGGGGGTTGGGAATTTCTGCAGCGCCTCTGTAGGGTGCATCTCAGGTTTTAACTGCTGGACAGAGGCTAGGGAGGGGGTGTCACTAACCCTACCAGGTTGCTACACTGTGCTTGGGACCCACTCTGGCCCCACATCTTCGACCCTGAAGCACCTACCGCATAATGGAGCTTTGTGGGGGCCCGCCAGGATGTGAACGTGGAAGCTAGTTGCTGGTGCCAGCGTCCCAGAGATCTTCAGTAGATCTGCTGACCCCAGGACTCAGCTGTAACCACAACTCAGCACCCCATAATCAAAGCTCAAGAACAGAGCCACCACCCAACTCGAGGCTGTGGGTTTCTGACTGCTGCCTTCCAATTTAACTACAGATGGCTCAAGACAGAGTAAAGAGCGGGTCCTCAGGTTTCTTTAACTGTTCTCTCACCAGACCTGCTTTTCTAACAGATTTGAACAGATAAAAGAAGAAACTTTTGGTTCAGTTTTCAGATGAATCACATAAGAAGGAACAAGAAACACCTCGAAACACAAGACTGTCCCTGAAGCAACATCAACCCCTGCACCCGTGTTCAGATCAGGGGCTGGGACAACAAGCTACCCGGGCCAGGACATCCATTTGTACCAGGAAGGACACGTCCCCTTGAAGGGTATGTGTTTCCCACACTCCATCCTGTCCACAATTTGTACACATTCCTTCAAGGCTCTGTGGAAATGTGGCTTCCAGAAAGGGCAGAATCAGTGTGTGTGGATGGTCAGGAGAACATGGGGGAGTGGTGGGCCCTCTCGTGCACCGGCTTTCTTGGGGGGTGGGCCTTGGCAGCATCCCCAGATAGCCCTGGTGTCAGTCCTCTGCCACTGCCTTCTTGGCCCCTGCCTGGTTTGCCTTCATCCCTTCGTGATTATTTGGTCACTCTCTGGCGCCTCTGCTAGACTCTCTTGTCTCTTTCTGCACTGTACCTCTGACCCTAGCACAGACTGGCACATTCTAAATAATCTGTTGAACAAATGCATTAATTAAAAATGGGCAGAGCTTGTACTGCCCTGAAAATACTCAAAGCTATCACTGCATGAACACAGCACAGATATTTGTTTAAGGAGCTCACTGCAATCAGAAACAATACAGAGGATCTGTTATAAATAATTTATGGTAAGCCCTGAAGTAGACTATTACGCAGCCGTGTAAAAGAAAGAGGTAGGGCCGGGCGTAATGGCTCACATCTGTAATCCCAGCACTTTGGGAAGCCAAGGCAGAGCCCACAAGTTCGGGACCAGCCTGGGCAACATGATGAAACCTCCGTCTCTACAAAAATTACAAAAATTAGCCAGGTGTGGTGGCACATGCCAGTAGTCCCAGCTACTCAGGAGGCTGAGGTGAGATGACTTGGCTGGAGGTTGCAGTGAGATTCTACCACTGCATTCCAGCCTGGGCAACAGAGCCAGACCTTGCTCAAAAAAAAAAAAAAAAAAAAAAAAAAAGGGTAGTTCTCTATGTGTTGATGAGCATGAAGAGATTACCAGGACTTACTTGAGGGAAAGAGCTAGTGACAGAATAACATGTAAAATAAATAATAAAAATCATATAAATATGCACTGGGAACTGTGGCTCATGCCTGTAATCCCAGCACTTTGGGAGGTTGAGGCGGGTAGATCACTTGAGGTAAGGAGTTCAAGACCAGCCTGGCCAACATGGTGAAACCCCATCTCTACTAAAAATACAAAAATTAGCCAGGTGTGGTGGCACATGCCTGTAGTCCAGCTATTCGGGAGGCTGAGGCATGAGAATCGCTTGAACCTGGGAGGTGAAGGTTGCAGTGGGCTGCAATCATGCCACTGCACTCCAACCTGGGCAACAGAGTGAGACTCTGTCTCAAAAAAAAAAAAATCATATAAATATGGCTGGGTGCACTGGCTCACACCTGTAATCCCAGCACTTTGGGAGGCTGGGGCGGGCAGATCACTCGAGGTTAGGAGTTCAAGACCAGCCTGGCCAACATGATGAAACCCTGTCTCTACTAAAAATACAAACATTAGCTGGGCACGGTGGCACACGCCTGTAATCCCAGCTACTTGGGAGGCTGAGACAGGAGAATCACTGGAATCCGGGAGGCGGAGGCTGCAGTGAGCTGAGATCATGCCATTGCACTCCAGCCTGGGCGACAGAGCGAGACTCTGTCTCAAAAAAAAAAAACAAAAAAAGAGTTCAAGACCAGCCTGGCCAACATGGTGAAATGGTGAAACCTTATCTCTACTAAAAATATAAAAATTAGCCAGGTGTGATGATGCACACCTGTAATCCCAGCTACTCAGGAGGCTGAGGTAGGAGAATCACTTGAACCCGGGAGGCGGATATTACAGCCAAGATCACGCCACTGCACTCCAGCCTGGGCAACAGAGTGAACGAGACTCCATCTCAAAAATAAAAATCATATAAATTTAATTAAGTGGTTCTATATAGGAAAGATAAACAAATAAACACCAAATACTTAATAGTGGATTTCTCAAAGATAGAGGACTAAGAGAGGCAGTTTCTGGATAACTGTATCTCTGCCCTGTTACAAGGCTAGTTGTGTTGAATGGTCGAATATGTGACCAGCAGCGAGTAACTTAACCTCTCTGAGCCTCCACATCCTCATCTATAAAGCTCAGATCAAATACTGTATCCTGAGATTGTTATGAGTATGATGAGGACTAACATGAGATCTTTTAATGCCTGGCACAGAGTCCATGTTTGATAAACAGTAGCTCTTATTACTATTATCGTTATGTATTATTTCTATAGCCAAATATACATACATATGTAAAGTTTATCTTTTTTCTTTTCTTTTTTTTTTTTTGAGACAGGGTCTCACTCTGTCACGCAGGCTGGAGTGCAGTGGTGCAATCACTGCAGCCTCAACCTCCTGGGCTCAAGCGATCCTCCCACCCCAGCCTCCTGAGTAGCTGGGACTATAGGAACCACCATGCCCAGCTAATTTTTTATTTTTCTTTTTGTAGAGATAGGGTCTCACTATATTGTCCAGGCTGGTCGTGAACTCCTGGGCTCAAGCGATCCTCCTATCTCAGCCTCCCAAAGTGGTGAGATTACAGGCCTGAGCCACCGCGCCTAGCCTTACTTTGTCATTTTAAAGTCACTTGGTGATAACTGCAAGGGAGAAGACCCCAAGTTTTAGTGAATCCTCCATCTAGCTTTGAATTCTCACTTCAAACAAGGAAATATTCCCAAGGAAATACAAGGAAATACTCACATAACCATGTTTCAGAATAATCAACCACCCCAAACCTGCCTGTTTTCCCAATACCTTCTCCAAGCTCTGCCCATCTCAGCTAAGGCCCCATGCTTCCCATTTTAACACCTCAGCCAGGGCATGGCTGAAAAGCTCCTGTCAGCTCCTATGAGATTTCCCGTCTGACTTAATAAAGCAGGCTCCCAGGCAGAGGGGTCATGAGGGGCCCAACAGAGAGGTGCGAGGTGGGTCCCCGGCTCTCCCCAGGTGCTTCCTACCCCCAGAAGCCTGGCAGGAACCCAGCCACTGGAGCTCAGAGAGCCAAGGCACATGCAGCCTGGAAGGCCCCAGTGCTTACCTGCAGGGTCAGGTAGAGCCCGTGGGGGCTTCCGGGGCCAGCCCAGTCCACGCTAAGGGCTCGGCACTGAGCTAGGGCTGGGCGAGCTGCACTTCGGGCACTGGAGTCCTCGTCACCGCAGACTGGGGTATCTTTTCCACGCCCTGTCCCAGGACAGAGAGATAGGTGAGACACTCCGACCACTGGCCAAAGACTGCTAGCCATGGACCACTGGCCAGGGCCGCAGCTGAGCTCAGCTTTCACACATCCCTGGCTGGTCCAGATGTGGCCAGGAGGGGCTCACACACCCAAAAAACGCCTGCCCTGCAGAGGGGAAGGCCTGGCTCGGGGCAGTGGCTACGCTCCTTCCTTACCAAAAGCCGCCCAAAGATTCTCTTCTGGAAGGGGCCCAATACCCCACCGGAGGCTCCCCTATCCCCACAGTGGCTTTTGGGGCAGGCATCTGCTCAGCAGGGAAGTGGAAGGAAGCCATTGCCAGCCAGCCTGCATGAAGCTTTGAGGACTTGCACAGGGGCTATGGCTTTATTACCCCGGCTGCCTCTAGGTGGCAATTTCTTCCCTGACTTCATTAAGACAAAATCCAAACCAGGTGGCCCAGCCTCCGTTGCCTCCCCAAGCGTATTCAGAACCAGCTAACGTGCATCCCCTTGTGCCTCTGACACACCGCCTCCCTCACCCATGGGAGAGAGGGCGGGCTGTGGCAGCAATGCCCCAGCCACCCACCTCCACCTGCAGGGCTGAACAGGGTGGGATGGGGGCCAGCCTCACGAGTCATGAGGCACACTGCAGAGCCACTACCCTGGGGCGTAACAATATCCCGAGTGCCAGCCACTGGGCCAAGTGCTTTTCAGGCCTTACACACATTCTGTTTTTTTGGGCTTTTTTGTTTTTTTTTTTTTTTTTTTTTTTTTTTGAGACAGGGCCTCTCTCTGTTGCCCAGGCTGGAGTGCAGTGGTGCGATCTTGGCTCACTGCAACCTCCACCTCCCGGGTTCAAGCAATTCTTATACCTCAGCCTCCCGAGTAGCTGGGATTACAGGTGCGCACCACCAGCCCAACTAATTTTTGTATTTTTAGCAGACACAGAGTTTCACCATGTTGGCCAGGCTGGTCTTGAACTCCTAACCTCAAGTGATCTGCCCGCCTTGGCCTCCCAAAGTGCTAGGATTACAGGCGTGAGCCACAGCACCCAGCCTTTACACACCTTCTTGGTCCTCAGTTTGCTTGTCAATAAAATGGGGACAACTTCACAGCCCTGTGATAAGGATCAAATGGGATGAAATACACGTGGTGCCCATGTAGTGCCAGGCACACAGAAAGGGCCCACAGTACAGGCCAATAGGACTACAGTAGCCATCAGCTCCTCAAAACTCCCCAGGGAGGTGGGGGGCATTCTCCCCACCTGACAGGCAAAGAACCGGAAGCCTGGAAGGGTTAACAATGTGCCCAGGGTCACAGGGAGCCAGGATTCAAATCCCATGTGCTAATCAACCCTCTGCCAGCCAATTCTCAGGGTGGCAATATGGGGGTTGGTCGGGGGACTCAGAGGGGCCTGGGGCAGCTGAGCTGGCTGAGGCCCAGTGGCAGGCACGGCGCTTGCATTTCACACACAGGATTTCATCTGACCTTTGTCTTAAATTTTTTAAGTGGATAAAAGTCTGTATGGTCATATAATCTTCATAATACCCAATTTTTTCCTTCAGGTTAGAAAGCTGAGATAACACAATATTTCAAAGACCTATATGCATGCACACACACACACAGACACACACGACTAGAAGGCACTACATAAAATGTTCAGTGACTAACTTGTGATTTTTATTTCCTTTTTGATATTTTTCTATGTGTTTTAAGTTTTCTAAGGGAAAATGCTTTTGTTTTACCGGAAAAGCAATACTCATTCATATTACATTTGTAATACTTAGGACAACCTTATGGGGTAGAGGCCATCCTCTGCCCCTTTCAGACAACTGGGCTACCTGGCCCAAAAGCCCAGGCTTTTCCCCAGGCCCCTGGGTCATCCCCAGCCTGGCTGTGCTGCTTGGGAGCAGCCAGCCCCAGACAACCATAGAAGCAGAGAGACCTCGGAAGGCATCAGTCCAGCTGCCACTGACAGCACAAATGTGGTGGGAGAGAGGGGTGAACAGGAGTTTGCTGTGTGCCCTCTCTGGGCCTCAGTTTCCCCTTCTGTGCACCAAGGGGCTTGGACCTGATGGCCCAGAGGGACTCTGCTAGCTCTCACAGGCTGGCAGTCTAGACCCTGTTCCTGTAGGTCACGAGGGACAGGGAGCAGACCCCTGAAGGCACCTTGCCTGGAGAGCCCTCTCTCCCCCACACTACCAGGGCGACCTGCCCACGCCTCGGGAGAGGGTCATGGACAGCTCCGCGGCCCCGCCAATCCAGTCCCGGCCCTGAATCAGAGAAGCCGCTCACTTCTTGACTTTCGCAGCACCGGGGGACATGACCCAGAAAGGCGAGCTGGCACTGACAGCTCCCCGGGGGGTACAGTGGGGGCCAAGACTCTGGGACCTCTGCCCACCTGCTGTCAGGGTCTCTACAGAAGCACCTGAAATGAGCACATGGACCCCAAGCCCCGCCAGGCCACGTTCCCGAGCAGCCTCGGTCCACTCCCAACGCCGTCCAGGGGCCAGCCCAGGCAGGATCAAGTGTCAGCGGCGCTTGGTGCCCAGGCAGCCACTTCACCTACCTTGTTTACCAGCCTGGGCAGAGACCGGAGCTAGCCCACACGCTCTTGGCCAAGGACGGCAGCCCGCAGAGCTCTGACCAGCTTGGCCAGAGGGAATGCAGCTGATTCCCCCTGCTCTGTGCCCGACCCGTGTTAAAGTTTAACCCGGCTTCCAGGTCTCCTCTTTTCCAGACAGGGGCGCAGGGAAGGAGCGCCCGGCGAGACTGACGCTCCGGCTCCACGCCCGCCTGGCTCTGGGCTGTCGGTTACCCTGTAATTACCTGACAGCTCTGACTGGGCTTAGGAACCGGTGAGAAACCTCAGTCTCATCTCTGGTATCTGGAGGAAGGAAGGGAAATAAAGAGGCATTTTAAAAATGCGGACTCACCAGTTCTCAACCTCCCCGGGCCGGTGTGTGGGAAAGGGCGGGCGGCCGGGCTGGCTGGGGCTGGGGCGGGGCGAGCCATCCCCGGCTCGGGCTCCGGGGCCCGGCCCACTCTCCACAGGCCCCGCAGCGAGGGCGTGGCTCCCAGGTTCCACGTCCTGCGAGAGGGGACCATGGCCTGGGGCTCAGCAGCCTCCTCGGGGCACCAGGCAGCCTGCGGAGAGAACAAGGGGAGATAAGCTTGAAGACCGTGGACCAGCACAACTGCACCTCGGGCAGAGCCAGCCATCTGGAAGGGTCTACGCCCCACCGGTCGCTGGTTACCCAGCGCAGCAGCTCCAACTGCACTGTCCCCCAAAGACCCTAGGGCTCGCAGGATGAAATGGGGCCTGCTGCCTTTTGGGGGTATTTGTTTCCGAATACGGAGGCTCCGAAGTGCGAAAGTTGCATATCAGCTGTGCCTGAGACCCCACACCTGAGCCCTTCCCAGCTGAGCCTGGAGCCTGAGGACAAGCCAGGTCCTAGCCCCACACAGAGGAGGCACCGCGAGTCAGCAGCATCTCCGTAAGTCTAATCCTTTTCCTCCAAGACATCTAATTTTCTAATTGCACTTAACCACATGCTTAACCCTTAGGCTTCAGGCTGCTCTGCCTAAGGCCTGTCAGCAGAGCAGTGAATGCTCTGAATATTAACATTTCACTGAGGAGGGACTCAAAAGGGCCCTGACTGTGGCCAATGACAAGTGAAGTCTATATACAGTAAGTTCTCATTCATGTATTCGACTAGCCTGCGCTCTGTGCCTAGCATGTGGCAGGCACCGTATGGGTGTTGAGATACAAAGATTCATTCAGTCTTCATTTAATAATGCCTACTGGGTGCCAGGCATCTGCCAGGGGTCCTTTTGGATCAGAAGAGATGAGGCCTGAAAACTCCCAGTCAGAAGGGAGATAAACACTTCAAAAAAACCCTCACAGTCTGAGCAGGCTACTGGAGGCGGCAGGTGCGAGCCAGGCACCAGGTGGTGTGGGGAATGGAGGGGGGCAGAGAGCATTGGTCAGGGATAGAAAGCTTCAGTCAGGGATAGGTCCCTCATGAACTGAACAAATGAACAGAGCTCAGGTATTCCCTGCAGAAGTCTTTATTGAGCACCTACTGTGTGCAAAGCAACCTTGAGGACATTTAAGGTGATCATGCTACAGTCCCAGACTCAGACAGTAATGTCATTTACAGAAGAAGCGAAGTCAGCTTGGAGAGGCAACATGGGGTTTTAAGATTGAGGTGGGGGTAACTGAAGGACTTCCTAGTGGAGCTTCCTGGGCTGTCGACTACTCTCCCCATCCGTCACTGCAGTGGCCACTTCCTGCCAGGAAGTGAAGATAGCTATTTGAAGGGTGTCCACCTCCCCTGACCCACTATGGGCCCACACACATTCATGTTTGCAGCCCCACTGCACCCAGTCTGCAGCTGCACCCACACTAAGAACTCTGGGATGGCTTGTGGGGTGAACGTTCTGAAATGAACACACACAAAAGCTTGAACTGAAGCCTGGAAGAGAGGTCAGGGCTGGACACAGACTCAGAGCTAAACAGGGCCACCAACGCCACAGGTGAGGAGGCAATCATCAAAGCTTGAGCAAGAGGAGACAGCCATGTGATAACAGGGCTCACTGCGGGGTGGAAAGCTGCAGAAGGAAGCTGAGAGAGGGACAGGAGCTCCAGGCAAGTATAGAGTTTTCAGAAGTGACTGAAGTGTAAGTGGGAAGGAGAGGTTGGTCAGTGCCCAGTGCATCATGCCAAAGAGACGTGGAGGACTGAAAGCCCAGACAGGCAGAAAGCCTGAGCCTGTGGAGGGAGAAGGGCAGATGGCAAACTTCGGAGGGCTCAAAGAGTGGGGCGGGAGCTGGGGGAGGAAGCAGCCACTTCCTTCTCCTTGGGGGTGTTTGGCTAGGATGGGAAGGAGAGGATGTGGTGTCTAGAATAGGGGGAGAGTTGAGCATATTGGGGAGACAGAGAGACAGGAGTGACTAAAGCATTGAGAGGCAAAAATAAATAAATAAATAAATAATAAAGTAAAGGGTCCAGGGGTTAGGGGCCTGAAGATCTGGTGTCTGATGTTTGCAGAGCCCAACCCTGGAAGAATGCCAGGCACCTGGCGAGGAAGCCATGGTCTCTTCCTTCCTTGACTTAGAACAACTAGGAGGCTCCTAGGTTCAGTCTTACTGGGAAGGGGATGGGAATGTGGGCCAAAGGACAGGGCAGAGGCTGATCTAAATACGTGGGCCAGCTCCACTGAGGAAACTGAGATGGACCAGTGTGGCGTGGAAGAAACCAAGGGGAGCAGCCAAATGTCCTCTTCTCCAGGCTGCCTGGCACAGAGCTGGGCACACAACCAACCCTGCAGACCAGCTGTCCAATGGGCAAGGGAAGGAGCAAGGCAGGTCCATCTGCAGTCTCGGCTGCTGGGAAGGTGAGACAGTGCAGGGCATTGGAGGCTGACTCCACAGTGGACAGAGAAGACTTTCAGGGAGATCAGCTCAGCTCAGTCTGAGGGGCAGGGACAGGAGGAGATAGCGTTTCTGCGGTTATCAGGAAGGGAAGTGGAGGAGGCAGCCAGGAAGATATCGGGAAGAAAGAGGAAGGGCGTGTGCTAGATCCCGAAGAGGAAAAAGCAGCTGAATTTAGCAGCCTCAGGGGTGTGAAGGTCAAAAGTATCAAGGAATCTTAAGCCCAGGGTTCTGGGCCAAGAAAGCAGGACTCTCTCTCATTTACATGGGCATCTGAGATGAAACCTGGTGTCCGGGGACTTCTACCAACCTAGGATTCGTGGGGGAGGGCAGTGGGACTGGTTCAGAACCTGGCTCCCCTGTTTACTAGATGTCTGACCTTGGGAGAATTACTTTGCCTCTCCGTACTTCATTATCTCCATCTATAAAATGGGGAGAACACCACCTTATAGGGTTGCTCTAAAGATTAGACAAGGCCAAGTGTTCAGAACAATACTGGCATATACAAAGAGCTCCAAAATTTTATTTTTCAGTTACTTTGCTCCAGTGGTGGGTGAATGCAGAGGGCCTGGCTGGGGAAGAGGGTCTCTGCCTCTCTGGGTTTAGACCAGGACAGCAGAGCTGCAATACTCCCCCTGCCCTAGATCAGGGACATTGCAAAGACTGGGGGGACAGGCTGGACAGCTGCTCAGAGACTGCAGCAAGCAGGGCTTGGTCGCCCTGGGAGAGCAGGCAGAAGGTCAAGGAAGTTGTACAGGGAATGCCACCTCCCTGCACACCATCATCTATCCTGGGCTTTCCAGGGCAACCTAGATTTCAAACCCTCTGCTCCCTGGTGCCCCTGTGAACAGCAGAACTCACCACCCTGTGCCCCTAAAGTCCACTCACTGCAAATGCAGGGCCCCATTCTGAGACTGCATTCCTAGCAAATGACTCTCCCTGGTCAAGGAGACGGCTACTCTAACAAGGGCATGGGGAATACACGTCTGGGAAAGAATGGGTGCTCACCCTGTTCAGGCAGAGGAAAAGCCGGGGAAGGTGAAAGACCAGGGGTGGCCACAACCCGCAATCTTGAGACAGTGTTGGGGTATGGAGGTGGGGGCTGGGTGGCAGTAAATGGTACTCCAGAATTTAATTAAACACAGCTTCCTCTTTAATATCTCCCAGGACCAGGCCCTTCACTGCACCAGCCAGAGTTCTGCTCTAACTAGCAATGCTGGGCTTAAAGGGGTGGTCCTGGGATCGCCCTCCCTGCTGAGACCCTCACAACTGCTGCGGCTGTCAATGGCCCGATTCCTCACTGCCCGGAGGGCACCGGCCAAGGCCCTTCTTCCTAACCTCTGGGCGGGCGCACCCCGCCCCAGGCCCTGCCAGGGAAAAAGCGAACTCCCCAAGGGACGTGGTGGGAGGGACCCAAAGGCAGCCTTCCAGGGAGCCCTGGGGGTGGGGAAGACGCCAGGAAGGGGAGAGGGCGGCGCCGATTGACAAGCCCATCCCGGGTAGGGTCTGCGCTCTTCTCGTTCAATAAAATCCAAACGGGGTCCCGAGGCTGCTCGGATCCCGTGGGACACGCCGCCCCTGTGCCCAGCTCCCAGCAAGGTCCTCGACTCGGGCTGAACGGCGCTGGAGGGGACCTCGCAGGGCTGGGTCTCCCGGGCCTTTCCCTCCCCGCGCCCATAGCGGGTCCGGGCAGAGGGGTCCCGAGGGCAGGGCCGGCCCGGACGCGGCGCCCCAAACGGCGGGCCGGGCAGAGCCCAGCGCCCCGCTCGCACCCAGCCCGCCCGGGCCCCCCACTCACCGGCCTGGCGGAGGCAGGATCCAGGCGTCGCCGCAGCGCCCGGGGCTCGGCCCGGCCCGGCCCGCCGGCAGGAGGCAGCTCCACGCCGCCGCCTCCTCCTCGGCCAGCCCGCTCGCGCCCCTCCCGCACACTTTCCACAGGAAATGATTAACTCGGGCCGCGGCGCGTTCCCATGGCAACCGGCTCCGACCCCGGCGGGGGGCGGCGGCGCGCGCCCGCACTCACGCGCACTGGCGCGCACGCGTCAGCCCGGGCGCGCCCCCGCAGGTCTCCCGCCGGCACTCCCACTCCCACTCCCACTCCTTCGCGGGGCCTCCCACTCGGTCTCTCCCGCCTCCCCGCGTCCCGCACTCGCACTGGCACACGTGCTCATGCGTTCCCTGAAGGCTCTCACAAAACAGGCCTGCACACGGGCTGGCACACACGAGGCAGCCCACACAGCCCCACACCTGGTGAGCCATGCGTACTTTTGCACAGCCTCAAACCCGAGTGCAAAACTTCCACGCGAGTACTCACACATACACTTCTCACGCGGGCTCTCATACCAGTACGTGTCTTCCCATCCCAACACACACACAAGCTCTTACTCACGAGACAATACATGTACATCCCTTACCGTGTCCTTGCACGCGCTGGCGCACATGCACTCACACTGTTTACAGCGCACACGCTCTCACTCGCTCCACCACCTACTCGCTGGCCAGGCCGCCTTCTAGCCACAGCACTTCCTACCTCTGCACCCCCAGCCCCACCCCAGCAAATGAATATCTTCCCAGCAAGGAAGCTGCCTGGAGTCCCTTAAGGTAAAACACACCAATGGTGCAGCAGTTCCCGGCCTTGCTGCAGAAGGCCCTGCTACTGGGGCACCTAGAGCCTCAGAAGAGGCCTGGGGGAGGCCAGGGGCCTGCCAGCCGGGAGAGACAGCTGACCTGGAGGAGCCACTCTGTTCTTTGTCTCCCAAACAGAGGCAGCATTTTATTCCAGAGCCAGCAGCAATATTCTCCCTCACTCTCCACACCCCCGGGTGCGGAAGAGGAGAAAGCAAGTCACTCTGAAGCCAGCCCATGCAGGCTGACGGTTCTGCAGATAATCCCAGGAGGGCGGGTACTCTGTCCCTTCCTGCTTGTCAGGGGATGGCCCAAGAAGATCAAGGAGAGGACTGGAGGGGGTCGGGCAACTCCAGGTGGGTTCTATCTCCTGCTGCCGCCCAGGCGCTGGGCTGCCAGTCAAGAATCTCGACCAGCGACGGAGCCAAGGGCCTGGGCCTCAGATTGTTCTGGACGCCAGAGCAGGACAGTCACAGTCCCCCAGCTGGAAGCAGCCTAGTGCATGCTTTATTTGACAACTGAGATTCCTCAGTGAAGGCCTGATAGAGGGTGAATGTAACGCTCCTGGAATCATTCCCTAGAGAGTTAGATTTCCAGCTGAACACCACACTGGAGAACCCTTCCAATGGGAGAGAAAGCCTTATTTGGGGAGTTATGATCTCTGAATTCCTCTGCCTGCCCTCCAAACAGCAGTGATCCAGGGGACCGCAAGGGTGGATGAAGGCAAAATGTCTCTAGAATTCTGATTTAGTATCTATCTCCCTTGATTATAGTCCCTATGAGTTGATGGGGCGGGGGATGGGGAGGACAGAATGTCTTTAAAGTCCTGGTTCAAAACTGGAGACTTTTTCTTACTCAGGGATTGAGTACATTGACATTAACTGTAGGTCCTTCCCACCAAAGCCAAAGCCAGATTTTTAAATTAATAATAACATTTATTGTTCTTTTGCTTTGATTACAAAAGTAATAGATGTTCATTGTAACCATATCCCACACACTGGAGATAAATGCTGCCAACACTTTAGAAGTCTTTTTTTTTCCTGTGTACATAATAGATGCCATTATTGAAGCTAACACTGTGTCAGGCACAGCACTAAGCTCTTTATAAACAAAATCCCATTTAACCCTGAACACCCTATGAACACCAGTACTGTTTCAGGACACCCGTGTTTCAGGAAAGGAAACTGAGCCTCAGAAAGTTTGTTCACAAATGCAGTGTGTGATAGAGCTATGACTCCAATAGGTACTCACACAGTACTATCAGATGCATATGGGTATAACAACTTATTAAGATCAAAGCACCAGCGAAGGAAAAAGGAAATTGAAGTGTAAGGAGGTTGTATTTTTGGAATTCTAGCAAAACTCCGATTTGAAACGTAAAAACTACTTGTTTCATGGTTGTTGCATTTTTGAGACAAGATCTTGATCTGTTGCCCAGGCTGGAGTGCAGTGATGCAATCATAGCTCACTATAGCCCCGAACTCCTGGGATCAAGTGATCCTCCCACCTGAGCCTCCTGAGTAGCTGGGACTACAGGCACACACCAGTGTGCCTAGCTAATTTTTTTTTTTTTTAAGTAGAGATGGGGGTGTCTCACTATGTTGCCCAGGCTGGTCTCAAACTCCTGGGCTCAAGGGATCCTTCTACCTTGGCTTTCCAAAGTCCTGGGATTACAGATGTGAAGATGTGAATCACTGTGCCTGACTCAATTTTTTTTTTTTTTTTTGAGACGGGGGCTCGCTCTGTCACCCAAGCTGGAGTGCAGTGGGATTACAGGCGCACACCACCACACCCAGCTAATTTTTTATATTTTTGGTAGAGACAGGGTTTCACCATGTTGGACAGGCTGGTTTCGAACTCCTGACCTCAAGTGATCCCCCTGCCTCGGCCTCCCAAAATGTTGGGATTGCAGGCATGAGCCACCGTGCCCAGCATGACTCAGTTTTTTAAAAAGAATATTGTGTGGAGTCGGGGTCTAGCTCTGTCGCCCTGGTTGGTCTCAGAATCTTAGCCTCAAGCGATCATCCTGCTTCAGCCTCCCAAAGTGCTGGGATTATTTGCATGAGCCACCATACCATGCCCATCCCAGTTGTTGGAATTTAAGAATGTACAATGTCATCAGGAACTACGTACCAACTCCAAGGTCATTTCTAACCCAGAAACTTCGCTGATGATTTGCATAGGAGGCTGCCAACTCTCCTGGCCCCGGGAAAGGTGCAAGTTTTGCTGAAACCTGGCCATTCCAACACTGAAGTCCTAAACCCTTGAGGGAGGACTCTTGGGTTCAGCCTTAGCCTTGACCCTTCCTGCCGAACTCTGGCAGAGGCACAGCTGTCTCAGGGAGGGCCAGACAGAAGACAGTGTCCAGAACACTGCAATTCCACGCCCACATCCACCCCATCCCCAGGCAGGGACTAGCAGCGCCATCTTTGTGTTCAGACAAGATCAGGTGTGTTCACGGTGGTATGCCCATAGACTTTTTTTTTTTTTTTTTTTTGAGACAGAGTCTCACTCTGTTGCCCAGGCTGGAGTGCAGTGGCGCAATCTCGGCTCACTGAAATCTCTGCCTCCTGGGTTCAAGCAATTCTCCTGCCTCAGCCTCCCAAGTGGCTGGGATTACAGGCATGCGCCACCACGCCCAGCTAATTTTTGTATTTTTAGTAGAGACGGTGTTTTGCCATGTTGGCCAGGCTGCTTTCAAACTCCTAATTTTTGTATTTTTAGTAGAGACGGGGTTTTGCCACGTTGGCCAGGCTGCTTGCGAACTCCTGACCTGAGGTGATCTGCCCGCCTCAACCTCCCAAAGTGCTGGGATTACAAGCATGAGCCACCACACCTGACCCATCTTTGTGTTCAGAGGGCCTGAAACCCTTTACTGCTCAGGCATTCGTCAGAGAAGTGGCCAAGAGCCTGAGAGTTCTGCTCCCCAAAGGGAAGGAAAGAAGGGGAATGAAAAGTCAGATTGTGTTTAATCTGATTCTCATAGCAACCCAGAGTAAAGCACAGATAAGATTTACATGATTTTCCCATTTTAAATGATTTAACCTCAGATCAAGTCTTCTCCGAGCCTTTGCAAATGTTGTCCTCCCTGCCTGGAAAGCCCCTCTCCTTCACCCCATTCTCATCTGCCTCCACTAACCCTTACCTGGCCAATTCCATACCTGCTTGTCCCTCCTTCAAGTTTAGAGGTCACCTTCTTTGACCCTCCCAGGCACCAGCAGGCGGGCTCAACTCACCCCCTGCAGCATCCCCGACCCTGGATCATGATGGCGTTCCTGTGTATACCATCTGCTCCTTCAGGACAGGACCCTTTCGTTACTTGATCACAGGGAAATCCTCAGCTGACCCCAGCTCAGGGCCTGGTATCACAGACATGTTCATTGAATAAATCCATAGATCCCATAGAATTCAGAAGGGAAGAACAGGTGCGTGAAATGTACCCAAACAGACTTTCTTCCCATGTAAAGTAATGATAATTTCTACCAAAAGGAAGTAAGAGAAGGCTCCTTAGCAATTATTTCCATGTGGTCAGGAAGGAGTGCCCTGCAGCTGTGAAAAGTGTGTCCTCTCATGCTTCTGGGTAACAGAACATTTATTGAAGTTGGAGAAACTCATTCTGGAGTGAGCCGCATATTAAGTAATCCTGACCCAATTAGCTGCTTTTTTGAATCCACATCTTCCAATCTTCCAATCCCTCTGAAATCATTCATCATGAGCACCGCAGAAAGAACTACGGAGGAGGCTGGACGTGGTGGCTCACGCCTGTAATCCCAGCACTTTGGGAGGCTGAGGCGGGCAATCACCTGAGGTCAGCAGTTCGAGACCAGCCTGGCCAACATGGCTAAACCCCATCTCTATTAAAAATACAAAAATTACCCGATGTGCTGGTGGGCGCCTGTAATCCCAGCTACTTAGGAGGCTGAGGCAGGAGAATTGCTTGAACCCAGGAGGTGGAGGTTGCAGTGAGCAAAGATCATGCCACTGCACTCCAGCCTGGGCAACAGAGCAAGACTTTGTCTAAAAAAAGAAAAAAAAAAACCCCGTGGAAGAGCTCTTGGAGGTGAAGAGCCTGGCACTGCACCCAGCCCCATAAGCATGAATTTGGTTTCCAGCTTTGCATGTCACCAACTGCAGGTCTTGGGCACATGACTCACCCTGAGCACCTCAGGGGGTCTGGCACAAGGCTCACAGCTGCAAGCTCTCAGGAAGCCAGGCTCCTCAGTGGGCATGGAGAGGTGGTGGTCTTGGATGTCCCTTGACTGGACTGTAAATTCCTGTCATCCTTGTCTGCTCTAGACCCAGCTCAGCAAGCATTAGGTGTTCAAGTGATATTTAAACTAATGGTACTTTTCTCACTCTTTTCTCTCCCTCTCACCTTCCTGCTCCCTGTGTCCCTTCCTTTCTAGAAGCTGTATTAACAGGGGAAAACAGTTCTCCCATTTTCAGAGAACCAAGGCAATCTTTCCCCCAAGAAAATCACCTTGCCGGCCAGGCACAGTGGCTCATGAGACAGGAGGATCGCTTGAGGCCAGGAGTTCTAGACCAGCCTGAACAACATATTGAGACCCTGTCTCTACAAAACAACAAGCCAGGCGCGGTGGCACAGGCCTGTGGTCCCAGCTACTCAGGAGGCTGAGGCGGGAGGATGGCGTGGGCCCAGGAGTTTGAGGCTGCAGTAAGCTATGATCGTGTCACTGTACTCCAGCCTGGGCAACAGAGCAAGATCCTGTCTTAAAAAAAAAAAAAAAAAAAAAAAAAAAAAACCTTCTAAGAGGACTAGAAAATAAAAAGGAAACCACCTTGCTTTAAAATCCAAATGGTGGCTGCCTTTCTGCATTGGCCAAAAAGACTGAACTCGACAGTTCTCCCCTAACTCTCAGTTTAGGGGAACCTAAAGCCTTATGACTCAAGGAGGAATTTGGCGGAGATTCCCTCCCTCCTAGCACTCCAAGGCTAAAAGCAAACGGAGGCTTTGTGAGGTTTTTTTTCCCCTTTTATCATTTCCTGTAGTCTTAAAAAAATGAGAGGAATGCAAACATTGAGGAGATAATGGACGTAAGCACCAGGTAATAAAAAGATTTAGCAATAACCGCCCTGAGAGTAGCACGGGCCAAATAAGCCCCGCCCCCGGCCCGCCTCTCAGCCCGAGGATCCTCCCACCATCCTCCAGAAGCCGCCGGGCTCCTCCTTGCTAAGTGTTCTGCCGCTTCTCTCCTTGCTCCTAAATTGTTATAGCTCCGGGTTCTAAACCAGCACATGCGTTATTAACATCCTTCGCATTTTTCCCCACTTCCTCATTCACTTCTCCCCACCTGCTGCAAATTCTAGGTGGCAGTTTTTGTTTTTGAACTTAAAATTTTTTTTTTTCTGCACAAATCTAATAGAAACCAAGAGAGAGAGGAAAAACACAAAAACTAAAACACCAAATCCCACCACCCTTCACTTATTGTCATTGGCCCAGATTTTTCTTTCCAGTATCTGACCTTGAGCTGATGTCATTTCTGTGTTAAGGAGAGACAGTATAGAGAGATGGCTAAAGGTGGTTCTGAGGCCAGGCAGACCTGGGTTTGAGCTCATTCACTGGCTCAGTCACTTCTGCTGTGCCTCAGTTTCCTCCTGTGAAAATGAGAGTAGGGCTAGTGTCTAACCCATTGAGTTATGGTGAGATGTAAATTGGAGCAAGCACATAGCACCCTCAGCCCAGCATCTGGCACACAATTGGCATTTCTGCAAACACAAGCTGCAGTTATAGTGGGAGGCAAAGACCGGATAGAATTTTTTACTCTGCCTTTTCTTACTTTGAATCATGTAAGTGCTGGGTGTGGTGGCTCATGCCTGTAGTCCCAGCTTCTTGGAAGGCAGAGGTGGGAGGATCGCTTAAGCCCAGGAGTTGGTCAGCCTGGCCAACATAGCAAGACTCCCATCTCTAAATTTTTTTTAATTATTATAATAAGCATTTTCCATGTCACTTTTTCCTGCTAATGCCTACATTTTTCTGAAGTGCAGACATCATAGGATAAAGCCAAGGTCACATTCAGAATGGAGGTTCCAGTGTCTGGGGCGCACCTAGCACTCAATAAAAATGGCTGAAAAGTATTTCATTTATTCACTTATTTAGAGTTGGGGTCTCGCTCTCTCACCCAGGCTGGAGTGAGGTGGCATGATCAGAGCTCACTGCAGCCTTAAACTCCTGAGTTGAAGCAGTCCTCCCACCTCAGCCTCCCGTGTACTGGAACTACAGCTGTGAGCCACTGCACCCAGCAAAAAACTATTTTAAATGGCTGCATAATATTCCACTGAGAGCCTGTGCCCTGACTGAGCTGGCCATTCCGTAGGGTCTGATATTTGAGTAGCTCCCATTTTTGTCACTTTTATAAACAGCATTGCTGTCACCATTGCCACCCACACAGCCCGTTCATTCCCTGGTGTGGGGAGGGAAGGGAGAAGAGAGGTTGTCAATTTCATAAAAAATCTTTCTGAATAAAGAGTCTGAGCATTTTTTTTTCACTTTCTAAACATGTTGCCAGATTGCCCCTCAGAAGGCCTGTACCAAATTTACACTGTCGTTGGCAGCATTTTTTGACGAGAACTACTTTTCACGCTAATTTACAGTTTTTCTCTTGGATCTGGAATTCTCGCCCTGGCTGGTTCTCCTGGGAGGCATGAGGCATATATAAAGATATCTGAGCGATGGCTGTCACCAGAGGGGCGTATCTGGTTCTTCTGCCAGGTGCTCAGGCCGGGAGTGTTTCTGTCTGCTGGGCCAGGCCAGGTGGGGCTGAGAGCACTGACTCAGTGCTCCCAATCCCTGCCTGCTGTTAAGCCCTCAGAGATCTTCTGAGGTCAGTCCTGGAACGCCTCAGTACCCCGCGGTCCAACACTCTGGCCCATCCTAGACGGATGAGTCTCATCTGGTGCCACCACCATGATTCCTGCTCTCACACCCTGGCACTTCACTGGGGCTCCTTGCAGTAAGTCAATCAGCTACTACTGGGGGAAAAAAAAATTCCTCCTGGGTGGGGAGATGGGGACAGGGGCCATAAGGGAAGCCACGTGCTCCTGGAAAGCCATAGCCACAGCCCCTGACCACCTGCTGAACTCTTAGCACCACTGCTGCTGCTGCCTTTAAACTGTAGCTTCGCTTTGCTGAGGTTCTGTGGTGCGCAGCCTCTCCCCTAGCTCTGGTCCTCCTCCTCTGGGGGTGGCCCTTGTTTGCAAACAGCAACAGGAAGTTTTGACGCTGCTGATTAACTAGACTCCCACAGCTCTCAGTGCTGAGTCATCGCCACCAGTGTCAACCTCCCGCCCGCCCCGCTGACACCACCAGCTTCCAGGTGACCGAGAGGAAGCAGCAAGGATCCTGCGGTTCCAGTGGCTTCCATCTGCCACCTTCCAAGGGAGGGGAGGGACAAACTTCCATCCACCCCAGACAACCAGAATGTGCAGGGCCCTGAATGCCAGGACGGGAATTTAATCTAATTCAACTTCAGCAATGGGCTGAGGGACAGCTTCATGCCAGGCAAAGGGAAAAACTCTTTACACACAGGATTGCCTTTGCTTTCATTCAATCCCCGCAACAACATGTGTGGTAGGTGTTATTATTCCCATTGTACAGATGGAGAGACTGAGGCCAGTGGAAGGCCTATGGATGTGTAGGGGCTGCTGTGGGAAGATAGCTTGGAGTGCCAGAGATGGTGGGTACCGCCAGCAGGAGCTGTGTCCCCAACCCACGATGTGACCTTGGTCAGACTTCCTCCCTGTTCTGGGTCTCATGCCCCTCCCTGGGTAAAGGAGGAGGGTGGACTGGTGACCTTCTCAGGGCTACAGCCACAAGGAAGTGAGTGGGCCAGCTGGAAGGGATGGTCCTCATTCTGGGACTCTGCTTGCTGAAAGCCTGATCCAAGGGCAGGAGCATCCCACCTCAGTACCTGGGGTTGGCTTCACTGTTCACAGTTGCTTCTCCAAGGAACTCCACTGAAAGAAAGTAGTTGAGTGGTTGCCAGGGCCTGGGAGGGAGAATGATGAGTGACTATGAATGGGGCTTCTTTGGGGCGTGATAAAATGTCCTAAAGTTAGTTTATGGTGACAGTGTACAACTCTGTAAATATACTAAAAACTATTGGATTGTACACTTTAAACAGGGAATGTTATGGTATGATAATTATATCTCAGTAAAGCCGTTTAAGAGAGAAAGGAAGAAGGAAGGAGGGAGGACAGGAGAGAGAGAGACCTACACAGAGGTCAGGCCAAGCGCGATGGCTCACGCCTATAATCTCAGCAGTTTGGGAGGCAGAGCAGGGAGGATCACTTGAGGCCAGGAGTTTGAGACCAGCCTGGGCAACGTGGCAAGACCCCATTTCTACAAAAACATTTAAAAATTAGCTGGGTATGGAGTGCATACCTATGGTCCCAGCTACTTAGAAGGCCTGAGGCGTGGGGCCAAGCGGAGTGGCTCACACCTGTAATCCTAGCACTTTGGGAGGCTGAGGCAGGTGGATCATTTGAGGTCAGGAGTTCGAGACCAGCCTGGCCCACATGGTGAAACCCTGTCTCTACTAAAAATACAAAAATTAGCCGGGCATGGTGGCATAAGCTTGTAAACCCAGCTACTTGGGAGGCTGAGGCGGAGAATCACTTGAACCTGGGAGGCAGAGGTTGCAGTGAGCCGAGATTGTGATTGTGCCACTGCACTCTAGCCTAGGTGACAGCAAGACTCCGTCTCAAAAAAAAAAAAAAAAAAGAAGATTGAGGCCAGAGAATCACTTGAGCCCAGGAGTTCAAGGCTGCAGTGAGCTATGATCAGACCACTGCACTACAGCCTAGGTGACAGAGCGAGACCCCGTCTCTCTCTTTTTTTTTTTTTTTGAGACGGAGTCTCGCTGTCACCCAGGCTGGAGTGCAGTGGCGCGATCTCGGCTCACTGGAGGCTCCATCCCCTAGGGTTCACGCCATTCTCCTGCCTCAGCCTACCGAGTAGCTGGGACTACAGGCGCCCGCCACCTCGCCCGGCTAATTTTTTGTATTTTTAGTAGAGATGGGGTTTCGCCGTGTTAGCCAGGATGGTCTCGATCTCCTGACCTCATGATCTGCCCGCCTCAGCCTCCCAAAGTGCTGGGATTACAGGCATGAGCCACTGCGCCCAGCCCCCCATCTCTTAAAAAAAAAAAAAAAGAGGTCAGGCCAGAGCTGCCTTTGGGATTTGCCTTCTGGGAATAGGGCCCTCAGCACCCAGCCCCTCTGCAATCATCCCCCTCTAAGCAGCCTCACTCCAGAGTCCAGGAAAGGTGTGTGTGAAGACACCCAGTGGCAGGCGGTGGCCCCAGCTGCTGACCGAGTGTGATGGGGCCCTGGCCTTTGGTGCTTGCCTTCCTCAGAGCGGAAAGAGCCATGAATCAAAGGGCAGGTGTGTGTGGACCTGAAGGAATGTGGGGAGGGTGGCAAGAAAACGGCTGGAGGTGGAGCGGGAGAGACCCCATGAGTCAGGGTGAGATGAGGTGTTGCTCAGACAGGGAGGGCCTGGAAACAAAGCCTGGACTGGAAACACCGAAACACCGGGCTGGCCAGGGCGCTCTCAGTTGCCTGGAAACATCTTAACACTCCAGAAAGTGTGAGTAAGGAATACCTGCTGCCCCTGAGGGGCTCCCCCGAACTGGTCCAGCCATGTCTGCTTGGCAGTTGTGGGGCACAGGCAGATGCAGCTGCCCAAGAGGCAACCCCAGACTAGACCTAACGCTGAGCCAGGTGCACAGGTGCAAGGGATCCATCACGAGGGCTAAACTGGCCAATAAGAGGCAGGAGCTCATTCCACTTGTACTGTTTAGGCAACTTGCTGTTGAAAAAGGAGAACCTGGCCAGGCACAGTGGCTCATACCTTTAATCCCAACACTTTGGGAGACTGAAGCTAGTGGATCACCTGAGGTCAAGAGTTCGAGACCAGCCTGCTCAACATGGCGAAACTCCATCTCTACTGAAAATACAAAAATTAGTTGGGCGTAGTGGTGCACGCCTGTGATCCCAGCTACTTGGGAGGCTGAGGCAGGCGAATCACTTGAACTCGGGATGCGGAGGTTGCAGTGAGCCGAGATTGCGCCACTGCACTCCAGCCTGGGCAACAAAGCAAGGCCTTGTCTCAAAATAAAATAAAATAAAATACAAAAATAAATAAATAAATAAATAAATAAAAGGAAAAGGAGAAGCCAGAGGATCTTGGAGGCACAGTGTCCCTGTCTAAATCTCCAGATAACCCAGAAAGCACGCACTGCCCCCACGCTACTCCACCCCCTCCACGCCTCCCTGTCCTATGCTCTTCATGCCCACCTCCTGGGGCAAATGGCACCGGATGCCCCTGTCTTAAGTGAACAAATGGAGACTCTAACCACCTTCTGAGAATCCCAGCCCTGGGGTCAAACCTGCATGCCTGCCGAGTGCCTGCATGACAATAATTAGGATTTCCTATGCTCTGAAGCAAACCTCCCACCTGGCATCCTGCGTGTGTCCAGCACCTCCCTGCACCCGGGCACCACTCATGCAGGTGGGCTTGGCATCCTCACAGCCTCTGCAGCACGTGCCTTCAGAGGGAAGAGAACCGGGGACTCGGGAGACTCAAGGCATCTCCAGAGTCACAGCCTGAAGACAGAACCCCATGCTCTCCTGGACATAAAAGCCATGCGGTCCCTGGTAGACAGGTAGGCAGAGGTGAAGGGATCTACCCTGGCACCGGGTAGGGGCTGTGCAGTCACTCCTGCTTATTCTTCCTGTACATCCCGCTACTGTCCTCATGCTATAGATTTGACTGGGGCAGGCTGGCTGCAGAGTCCAAGTCTTGAACCACTGCACCACACTGCCTCTCAAGGGCACAGTCAATGGGGTACCTTGTCATTGTGGGTCATTCCTCAGCATGCATTCAGAGCTCTTCACCATCTGCCTGCAGCCGCCCTGCCCAGCCTTCTCTCCCACTGACCCCACAAGGCACCCTCTTTCTGGTCTTTGAATTTTTCATATGCTCCACCCACACCCCCATATCCCCACCTGCAGCCGTTTACCTGTGAGGCCCAATGGAAGCATCACCTCCTCCATGGGGACTCCTGATACCACCTAGTCAGAAGTTCCCCAGGACCACCTCCCCTTCCCTTAGCTCACCTAGCACTGGATTCACAACTGTGGGGGACTGTTAGTCTCCTACATTAGATTGGAGGTCCCTGATTCAGGCTCCCATGCTGTGTGACTTAGGGTAAGTCTCTGAGCCTCAGTTTCCTCATTAACAGGTAATATTTATTGAGCACGTACTATGTGCCAGGTACTATGTGCTAAGTACTCTACATGAACTCTCCCATTTAATCCTTACAGCACCTATGAGGCAGGCACTATAATTATCCCATGTTACAGATGAAGAAACTGTCACTGTCATTAGGACCACCATCATTATCATTACTATCATTCTTTTTTTTTTTGGAGACAAATGCTCTGTCACCCAGGCTGGAGTGCAGTGGTGCGATCTCAGCTCACTGCAACCTCTGCCTCCCAGGTTCAAGCAATTCTCGTGTCTCAGCGTCCCAAGTAGCTGGGACTACAGGCATGCACCAACACACCCAGTTGTTTGTATTTTAGTAGAGATGGTGTTTCACCATGTTGCCCAGGCTGATCTTGAACTCCTGAGCTCAAGCAATCCACGAACCTCGGCCTCCCAAAGTGCTAGGATTACAGGTGTGAGCCACCATGCCTGGCCTATTATTGCCATTCTTTTGTCCGCTATAAAACCTAGTGCACAGCAGACACTCAAACTCAGCAAAATTCAAATATGGCTGGAACTGAAACCAGCCTTAGGTAGGAAGGAATTTCAGAAACAGAGTTCTGCACATGCTCTAGGACACGCAGGCCTGGCCCTGTCCAGGCTGGGGTGATACCATCTTTGGAGGCTGATGCTGGCAGTCTGTTGTGGCTGGGAACTTGGGGTGACCTCCTTTTGCTTCTCACATCAGCCCTGTCTCTACCCACAGAAACAGACTCTGCCCAAACAAGTCCTGCAATGCACAGAGCCCGGTGGCAAACAAGCCACCTGGATAAATGGTGCCCAAGGCTGTGGGGGTCCTGGGAGGCTGACTGGAGGCAGAATTGTGCTCATTTGTAACCAGAGTAGCTCCGGGTTGCTTCTGTTAGCTCAAGGCCACAGGTACATCTCTGTGCTTAGAGATCCACACCGCACCCCACCACCGCCACGTGTTTTCTAGGATCCCCTCCAAGCATTTTCCAAAGCCCGAGGGGCTGCTTACAAGACTCTGCCCATCACCCCCAACCTGGCTGATCTGGGACCACATCAGCACCTGGCCTGACTCTTCTACCAGGATGCCCTCCAAGACCAACACTGATGCCTTAGTCACCCTCACCAGGGAGGCTGGGGGTGCCCCCACATGGCTGCTGCACCTGATGTTGGAAACGGAGGCTCCAAAAACGTAAGTGAAGTGGGTATTCCTGCTAAACACTCCACTCGGGGCCTGGGAGAAGGGGAGCAAATATCTGTCTACTCCCTCAACTCCACCCAGCCATGGCTTGTCCCACGGCCAAGTTGCCTGGGTCCTTGGGATCACCAACTTCTTCTGACTCTCTACACACACACCCCCAAACACCCCCAGACTCCTTTCCTGCCACTCCCCCACCTCAGGCACACATGCAGTGCTTGGTGCCTGGGTTAAGTCTGTGCCCTGTGGCGAGTGCTGCCCGGATACCCCGGGGTCCATTTGAGGATGAACTCGGCTGGGTCACCCCTGCTACAAACAGGCTTTTACATTCTTGAACTTCACCTGGGGTGAGGGTCTTCAGGAGTGCTGTCCCTTTTCCTCCTGAGGCCTCCTTGGTCCTGATGTTAGTGAGTGGCCATCCACGTACCCACAGGAAGGATGTGGTCAAATCCTCTTACCAGTGGCTCTGAACCATTTGACCTGCTACCTGAGCTGCTGGGGAGAGGAAAGGGGAGGGTGCTCCCACTTCTAATAGTTCATCAAGTTCTCACAACATCCCCATTCACAGGTGAGAAAACCGAGGCCCGGAAAGTGTCAACCCAAATCACGACACTCCTTGCCCCAAACCCAGAAGCCTGAGGAAGTAAGGAAGTGCGGTGGGATCTGTCTTCCCGTGTGTCTTCAGGATCCTGGGGCCTGCCCCTCCTGGCTTCCTCTTGAGGAAGGCCTCAGAAGACCCGCCTTTGGTCACAGGACAGAAGCTGGGCCAAGAGGCAAAGGTTTTGGCCGCCACAGGGGAAACTCTGGGCTCAGAGCTGCCGAAGTGACTCACGGGCCCTGCTGGGAAGCAGCTGACGTTCCTTGTCTGCGCCTTACAAAACCACACGGGCTGCGAGTGACAGCTGGCTGCTCTGAGTGGCGGAGGAATGTTGTTGCCAGACAGGTTCCTGAGGCATCTGCTGAGCTGTGCTCCAGAAACCAGCCCTGGGCAGCTGCCACACCAGGCAGCCTCCACCCCTCCCCACAACCAGGAGTCTTGGAGGGCACCCCCACCAACCTCAACAGAACTCTCCCCTCAGGGATCCGTGGAAGTCAGCCACTGCCACAGGGACAGCCACCCCTTCCAGGCAGGAGCTCATGGGAAACCAAGACCAGGGAACCCATCCCACCCCCAGTAAGACTTGAGGCCAGGGAGGTTGGAGGGGTCTCCCTGTGACCAAATCTGTGGCCATCACAACCGACCTTGAACCATAATACTAAGAATGATAACAATAATAATCACAGCTAACCCTTCACACTCACTACATGCCGGGCACCATGGCATGGAGCACTTTTTCTGAATTATCACATGCATTCATTTCCTGGGGCTGCCGTCGCAAACTGCCACAAACTGCATGGCTTAAAACAACAAAAACGTATTCTCTCGGCCAGGCGTGGTGGCTCACGCCTGTAATCCCAGCACTTTGGGAGGCTGAGGCGGGCAGATAACCTGAGGTCAGGAGTTTGAGAGCAGCCTGGCCAACATGGCGAAACCCTGTCTCTACTAAAAATACAGAAATTAGCCGGGCATGGTGGTAGGAGCCTGTAGTCCCAGCTACTCAGGAGGCTGAGGCAGGAGAATCGTTTGAACCCAGGAGGTAGAGGTTGCAATAAGCTGAGATCGCACCATTGCACTCCAGCCTGGGTGACAGAGAGAGACTCTGTCTCAACAGAAAAAAAAAAAGAGAAGAAAGAAAAGAAAAAGAAAAAGGACTGTATTCTCTTACAGCTCTAGAGGCCAGAAATCCAAACCCATGGTGTCAGTGGGGCCACACTCCTCCTGAAGGCCTAGGAGAGAATCCTTCTTTTCCTCTTCCAGCTTCTGCTGGAGGCGGGCGATCTTCAGTGCACCTCGGCTTATGGGCATGTCACACCAGTCTCTTTCCACCTGCACATGGTGTTCTCTCTGTTTATCTGTCTCTGTGTCCAAATCTCCCTCTTCTTAGGAGGACACCAGTCATATTGGACTTAAGGCCTACGCTAATCCAGTATGACCTCTGCATACCTCTGCAAAGGCCCAAAAAGGTTCCAAATAAGGTCATATTCCCAGGGTTCCAGGTGGATATAAATTTGGGGGAACATTATTCAACTCAATACACCATGTGTAATCTTCTTAATAAGACTGATATTGCTTTTATCCTCATCTTACAGATAAGAGGCTCAGAGAGGTTAAGCAACTTGCCAGAAATCACCCAGCCTCTGATTCTAGAATCCACACTACATTGTCTCACCCATCACCATCATCATCACCATCTCCTCACAGAAGCTTAGCATTTCATCACTTACAAAGCTTCTCCTGGCCATTGTCACATTTTCTTTCTTTCTTTTTTTTTTTTTTTGTTCTTTTCTATGTTTTGAGACAGAGTCTCACTTTTTTGCCCAGGCTGGAGTGCAGTGGCGTGATCTCTGCTCACTGCACCCTCCACCTCTATCTTTAGTAGAGATGGAATTTCACCATGTTGGCCAGGCTGGTCTCGAACTCCTGACCCCAAGTGGTCTGCCTGCCTTAGCTTCCCAAAGTGCTGGGATTACAGGCATGAGCCACCATGCCTGGTCTATTGTTACATTTTCTTCTTGCCAACAAAACCTTGAGGGGCTTGGGAAACAGTTGGTAAGGAAACAGTGGGTTCCATTAATTAACGTATCCATGGTCATATAGCTAACAAGAGGAAGGTCTTTTTGGTTTTCTTTTGAGAATGGATATCCCTCTGTCACCCAGGCTGGAGTACAGTGGCACAATCACAGCTCACTGCAGTGTTGACCTCCCAGGCTCAAGTGATCCTCCCACCTCAGCCTCTCCAATAGCGGGGATTATAGGCATGTGCTACGAAGCCCAGCTAATTTACTTTTTTGTGGAGACTGGATCTCACTATGTTGCCCAGTCTGGTCTCAAACTCCTGGGCTCAAGGGATCCTCCTGCCTCGGCCTCCCAAAGTGCTGGGATTATAGGTGTGAACCACCAGCCTGGCTGAGTGGCAGGTCTTTTGACCCCCAGATCCAGTATACTGCACTATGTAGGCTCCAAATGGAGACCTCGTGGGAACGTTCCAAGGCTTTGTAAGCTCCTCGAGGCTATTTGCCCAGCGTGGTCAATGCCATTGCTGTGTTTACTGATAACACCCACTTCAGCTACACCTGCCAAGCTCATAAAACATATTGTAAACCTGCTGCTTAAATTTACCTCCTCAAATATCAGCTCCTCATCCCCTGTCTGTTCTCTGCCAGCAGCAAGGCCAGCTATTTGAGCAGTGACAATGTGGAGAAAATCCAAGAATCCAGGGGGCCCTCACAGCTCACAGCTGAGCCACGGAGTCTGGGGAGACAGTAGCAGGTGTGGCAGGTGCTGTTCCTCCAGTTGCTGCCAGCCAAGAAGGGACGAGATACAGGCACAGCCCCACTGTCAGCCCCACTGTCAGCCCCACCCCAGACGTAGCTCCAGAACGGTCCAGTGTCTTCACGTTGAATGCTCACAAGGGTCCCACAAAATCCGTACTATTGGCTGGGCATGGTGGCTCACGCATGTACTCCCAGTACTTTGGGAGGCCGAGACAGGAGGATCACTTGAGCCTAGGAGCTCAAGACCAGCCTGGGCAACACAGGGAGACCCTGTCTCTACAAAAAATTAAAATATTGGCCAGGCACAGTATCATGTGCCTGTAGTGCTAGCTACCTGGGAGGCTGAGGAGAGAGGATGGCTTGAGCCTAAGAGTGGGGTACATGACTTGGCGCAAGCAGGAGGATTGGACTCCGAGATATCTCCTGTTTGGACACCAGCACACAGCAGCCAGAGAAGTCTTAACATATAAAGGAGAGACTGTCACCTTCAAACTTTATTTTATTTGTATTTATTTTTTATTTTTTTAAATTTTATTTATTTATTTATTTATTGAGATGGAGTCTCGCTCTGTCACCCAGGCTGGAGTGCAATGGTGTGATCTCCGCTCACTGCAGCCTCCGCCTCCCAGGTTCAAGCGATTCTCCTGCCTCAGCCTCCTGAGTAGCTAGGATTGCAGGCACCTGCCACTGCACCCGGCAAATTTTTGTATTTTTAGTAGAGACAGGGCTTCACCATGTTGGTCAGGCTGGTCTCGAACTCCTGAGCTCGTGATCTGCCTGCCTCAGCCTCCCAAAGTGCTGGGATTACAGGCGTGAGCCACCGTGCCTGGCCCTTTTATTTTTATTTTATTTATTTATTGAGATGGAGTTTCATTCTTGTTGCCCAGGCTAGAGTGCAATGGCACGATCTCGGCTCACTCCAACCTCCGCCTCCTGGGTTCTAACAATATTCCTGCCTCAGTCTCCTGAGTAGCTGGGATTACAGGCGCCAGCACCATGCCCGGCTAATTTTTTGTATTTTTAGTAGAGATGGGGTTTCACTATGTTGGCCAGGCTGGTCTTGAACTCCTGACCTCAAGTGATTTGCCTGCCAAAGTGCTGGGATTACAGGCATGAGCCATTGCACCCGGCTACCTTCTGACTTTAAAATGTGGCACCAGGCCTTTGCACTCGCTGTTTCCTCTGCCTGGGATGCCATTCCTTGAACTCCATGCAGCTCAGCTGTCCACTTTTCAGAGTGACTTTATTTTTTATTTTTTGAGAGACAAGATCTCACTTTGTCACCCAGGCTGGAGTGCAGTGCAGTGGTGTGATCATAGCTCACTGCAGCCTCGAATCCCTCGGCTCAAGCAATTCCCCCACCTCAGCCTTCTGAGTAGCTGGGGCTATAGGTGCACGCCATAACACTCGGCTAATTTTTTTATTCTTCGTAGAGATGAGGCCTCACTGTGTTTTGTTGCCCAGGCTTGTCTTGAACTCCTGAACTGAAGTGATCCTCCCACCTCAGCCTCCCAAGTGCTGGCATTATGGGTGTGAACCACTGTGCCCAGCCCAGAGTGATCTTAGAGTTGATGGCTCCCAGTTATTCTCTACCTTAACCTCCTGGTTTATTTCCTTCATTGCACTTAGCAAAACCTATGATTACCCTGTTTATTTATCATTTGCTTCTTAATCGTCTTTCTCTCATGAAGACAAGAGGCAAGGACTTTGTCTTGTTCCCTGCTGACTCCAGCGCTTAGCACAGTGCTTCCACATAGGTCTTCAGTAGATATTTGTTGAATGAATAAATGAATGAATTCAATAGAGAATACAGGTAAGGTGCAGTGGCTCATGCCTATTATCCCAGCACTATGGGAGGCTGAGGCAGCAGTATCACTTGAGCCCAGGAGTTTGAGACCAGCCTGGACAACACAGCAAGACTCTGCATCTACAAAAAAAAAATGTCTATTTAAAAAATTAGCCAGGTGAGGTAGCACACACCTATAGTCCCAGCTACTCAGGAGACTGAGGCAGGAGGATCCCTTGAAGCAGAAGTTCGAGGCCGCAGTGAGCGAAGATTACACCATTGCACTCCAGCCTGAGTGACACAGCAAGCCTGTGTATTAAAAAAAAAAAAAGGGAGGACTATGGAGTCACAGATAAATAACCCAAAGCCTGGCAAAAGACTGGGCTGACCATTGGGTATGACAAGGAGAGTGGTCTGGGAGATGCAGACCCAGGTAGAAGCTGGGGAAATATTGGGAGAGCGAAGAGGGGTGGCTGGGCATCAAGCCAAGAGGACTTCCTGGAGGAGAATGACCAGACCTTGCGAAAGGATGTTCTGTCTCTGGCTGTAGCTTTGCGCAGGGACAGGAAGCAAGAAGGAAAACCAGGTAACTCTCTGCTGCTTTAGCTACAGCTACCACCACAGAGACCAGAACAGGGAAGAGTTTATTAGTCCATCTTCTGCCCCAACCTATAACGAGGACTTGAATTAGGAGGCAGTGATTTCTAGACTCAAAGGTGAACTTTCATCCTACAATCCTCTGTGCCCATTTGCTGGCAATCTTTCCTAAGTGCTGAAGACTAATTGCCCCCCGCTGTTTCTTGTAGGCCTGGGGAAAGTATAAAGGTCAACCTTCTTATCTCTACTGGTACATATTCGGGGAGGGGTGCTATTATAGGTAGGAGATAGCTGAGCACCATGACAACACTTCGCTGACCTCAGAATTCCTGAAGTTAAAAAAAGAAAAAAAATTTGTGTGGGCATTGTGGCTCATGCCTATAGTCCCAGCACTTTGGGAGGCTGAGGTGGGAGGATGACTTGAGCCCAGGAGTACGAGGTGGCAGTGAGGCTTGTTCCCACCACTGCACTCCAGTCTACATGACAGAGTGAGACCCGTCTCTACCAAAAATAAAGATTAGCCTGGCATGGTGGCGTATGCCTGTGGTCCCAACTCTTCAGGAGGCTGAGGTGAAAGGATCACTTGAGCCTGGGAGATCAAGGCTGCAGTGAGCTGTGATGGAGCCACTGCACTCAGCCTGGGTGACAGAGTGAGACCCTGTCTCAAAAATAAAAACAAAAACAAAAACTAAAACAAAAAACTGCAAGTAAAACAAGAAAATTCCCCAAGATACAATGGCCATGTGGTTAAGAAAATGGGATCTGGAGTTAAGCTTGGAGCACCTTTCGGGGCTGAGCACCCTCAGGCAAGCCTCTTAACCTCTCTGAGCCTGTTTCCTTCTGTGCAAAAGTAATCACTTGTCCCTCAAAGGGTTGTTGAAGAGATGAATGAGATCATGTACAGGAAGATCCTGGAACACAGTAGCTGCTCAATACATGGGAGCACTCCCTGCTGGAGGGCCTTTCATTCTACAAAATAACTGGCCTGTCCTCTTTTAAAATGCCAATGTGGCTGGGCGCGGTGGCTCACACCTGTAATCCTAACACTTTGGGAGGCTGAGGCAGGCGGCTCACTTGAGGAGTTTGAGACCAGCCTGCCCAACATGGTGAAACCCCGTCCCTACTGAAAATACAAAAAGTAGCTGGGTGTGGCAGCGGGCACCTGTAATCCCAGCTACTCAGGAGGCTGAGGCAGGAGAATGGCTTGAACCCAGGAGGTGGAGGTTGCAGTGAGCCGAGATCACACCATTGCACTCCAGCCTGGGCGACAGAGCAAGACTCCATCTCAAAAAATAAATAAAATAAAATAAAATAATAAAATAAATAAAATGCCAGTGTCATGAAATACAAAGAAAAACTCAGAGACTGTTCCAGATTGAAGGCAACACAGAGCTTGGATTTCCTTTTGCCATGAAAGACATTCTTGGAGCAATTGACAAAATCCCAATACAGTCTGTAGATTATTAGGTAGCAGTGTTGTTTCAATGTTAATTTCCTGATTGTGATCATTGTATATTGGTTATGTAAACCAAAAATTAAATTCTAAGGTCCCCCCCAACCATCTGAATAAACCCCTCCTCTTGGCCAAGGGCATTCTAACGTTAACTTGAAAAACTGGTTTAGACTATGATGGAAGAGGGTTTGGACAAGCCTCATTATACTTTCCTCCCTTTTGGAATTCAAAAGTCGACCAGCATTAACATCAACACAGACCTTAAGTCTGATAAGAAACATTTACAATCTATTCTTCATCTGCATGATAAAACCATGGTCTCTACAACCCCTTATCATAACTCAGACATTTCTTCCTATTGATAATAACTCTTTCAACCAATTACCAAGCAGAAAAATTTTAAATCAACCTATGACCTGGAAGCCCCTGCTTTGAGTTGCACCACTCTTCCAGATGGAACCAACGTAAATCTTATATGTATGGATTGATATATTATGTCTCCCTAAAATGTATACAAGCAAGCTGTGCCCTGACTACCTTGGGCACTTCTCCTCAGGACCTCCTGAGGCTGTGTCATGGGCATGTCCTTAACCTTGGCAAAATAAACTTTCTAAATCGATTGAGACCTGTCTCAGATACTTTGGGTTCACAGTTATAAAAGAGAATTTCTTGTTTTTAGGAAACATACAGTGAAGTATTCAAGGGTTAAGAGGCATTATGTATGTACTGTACTCTTAAACAATTTCAGAGGCAAGAGTCTCACTCTGTTGCCCAGGCTGGAGTGCAGTGGTGCGGTCTTGGCTCACTGCAACCTCCACCCCCCAGGTTCCAGCGATTCTCCTGTCTCAGCCTCCTGAGTAGCTGGGGTTACAGGTGTGCACCACCACACCCGGCTACTTTGTGTGTGTGTGTGTGTGTGTGTGTGTGTGTGTGTGTGTGTGTTTTTAGTAGAGATGGTGTTTCACCACGTTGGCCAGGCTGGCCTCAAACTCCTGACCTCATGATCTGCCCGCCTGGGCCTTGCAAAGTGCTGGGATTACAGGTGTGAGCCACCACGCCCAGCCTAAACTACTAATACTTGAGGAATCTATAGAAAAATTGCGAGAATAAAGTCTGCAATTATGAAAGAAAAAAGAAAGAAAGAAATGCATGGTTCCTGCCCTTGCAGAGTCCTGTCAGGGAGAGCACGTCTTGCTGGTGGCAGGCTTCCAGGGAGGGTGATCAACCGTCCAGGTTTGCCTGGGGTTGTCCTGGTTTTGGCACTGAAAGTCCTGCATGCTGGAAAACTCCCAGGATGGTCAGTCAGCCTAATTGCAGGCAAGCTTTGTAGATGGAGATCTGGGTGCATAAGAACCTCTGTTGGTCCAGTGAGGCTCCCTGCCTTGGGGGAGCCACTGAGTCTGCACCACCAGCCAGAGGCAGGCTTGTAGTGGGTAGGCTGAGGGCAGACTGGACATCTCAGCCCACCCAGCAAGAGCTGGGCCAGTGGCTTTCTGGCAAAATGAGATGTTCACTGCAGAGAACAAGATTCCAAGTAGGGCTGGGTGCAGTGGCTCACACCTGTAATCCCAGCACTTTGGGAGGCCAAGGCAGGTGGATCACTTCAGGTCAGGAGTTCATAACCAGCCTGGGAAACATAATGAAACCCTGTCCCTACAAAAAATACAAAAATTAGCCAGGCGTGGTGGTGCATGCCTGTAGTTCAAGCTACTTGGGAGACTGAGATGGGAAGATTGCCTGAGCACAGGAGGCGGAGGTTGCAGTGAACCAAGATGGTGCCCCTGCACTCCACCCTGGATGACAGAGCAAGACGCTGTCTCAAAGAAAAACAAAAACAAAAACAGAAAAACAAAAGATTCCATGTAGCCCTTTGCCTGAAATCACTACTGAGGCCCTGTAGGTGCAATGAACAAGGTGGGGAGGCCAGCCCTGCACCCCCGGTACCTTTTTCTAAGGAATTTTTGTAAAGATGGGGTCTCGCTCTATTCCTAGGTTGGTCTCGATCTCCTGGCCTCAAGCGATCCTCCCATCTTGGCCTCCCAAAGTGCTGGGATGACCAATGTGAGCCAGCACCATTGGCACCTCTCAACCAGGCCCTCTCTCATCAAATAGTTAACCTGCCTCCCAAGCCTACTCAGATATCACTGCGGCCAGAACCAATGAGATGGATGGATGGATGTCAACAGGGCACTTCACAACAAAGGAATGTGGCCTACAGCACAACTCACCCCAGCCCAGCCCTCCTAGCAGGTAGATTGCCCAGCCCTTGGGCAATCCCAGGCTGCTCTGCAACACAGATGACCTCTTGAGGGACTTGCCTCCTGTTACCTGCTGAGCAGCGAGTCCCACACCTAAGTGAGGTGGAGGAGAGGCACCACCATCAGTCCTCATGAATCACTGGCCAGGCTCCTTCTCTTTGTCCCTCCCCAACAAATGCCAAGCATCTGCACTAAAGCAAGACTCTGGCTTGACCCCAGCCTCAAAGGGAAAATGGGGTTTGCACATGGACTTTCGGCTCCATTCATGAAAGCATAGATACGTGTGATTATAACAAGGATATGAGCTTGGATGCAGCAGGCTGTTAAACACCATGCCAGGAGGACGCCACTCCATTTAACCCCTGAGGCCACTGTGGGGCCAGCTGTGAGTCAGGCTTTGACCTTGGCCACCTTCCTAATTTAGAGTGGCAGCTGCCCACCCAAATTAGCTGCCCCACGTTCAGCCTCAGCTCTGCTGTTCAAATGCCTCTATCTACTTAGGTTCTTTGGAAAACAATTCTGAGGTTGTTTTCTTTTCTTTTTTGTTTTTTGTTTGTTTGTTTTTGTTTTGTTTTGAGGCAAGGTCTCACTCTGTCGCCCAGGCTGGAGTGCAGTGACATGATCTCAGCTCACTGCAGCCTTGACCTCCCAGTCTCAAACAATCTTTCCACCTCTCAGCCTCCTGAGTAGCTGGGGGAGTACAGGTGTGCACCACCATGACTGGCTAATTTTTTCCATTTTTGTAGAGAAAAGTTTTGCCATGTTGCTCAGGCTGGTCTCGAACTCCTGGACTCAAGCTATCAATCCACCCACCTTGGTCTCCCAAAGTGCTGGGATTACAGGCATGAGCCATTGCACCTGGCTTGTTTTCTTGTTTAACTGTTTTTAAGCCATATATGTTCAAACAGTGCAAACTATGGTGAAAAGTAAGTCTCCCTCTCACCCTTAACCTCCGTCCTCTGCCTCCCTCCTCTGAGGGAATCATTGCCACCAGTGGCTGGAGGGTCCTTCCCCAGAATAGTCCCCACATACAAGCCCACACCCCAAAATGCCCGCTTCCCCCACCATGGGAGTCCAGAGCACAGTTCACATGCTATCCTGTGCTTTGCTTTTCACACTTCACCCTGTTGGAAAGCTCTCCACGTCATGCATACACACTTGTCCTTCTATGGTTGTACTTTTTTCAAAGAGTGGACCCAACTGATTGAACCAGTTCCCTATTAACAGGTAATCGAGTTATTTCTAGTCTTTTGTGACCACCATACTTCCAAGAATGCCCTTATACCTAGATCTTTTATCTCATTAAAGGTGGTAGTGACTATTCCTAAAAGTGGAACTGCCAGTGTTTTTAAATGTTTAAATTTAAATTTAAACATTAAAAAATATTGGGTTAGGAACCACCACTCTTTTGAAAATTTCACGTAAAATACCAGTTCTTTCTCGAGAAACAAACAAAACAAAACAAAATAAACTATGTGATGATTTTGCATTCAGTTACTAGAGGGAGGCTCATAGATGGCACATTAAGAAGTCTTGGTAGAGAGGAAGAGAACAGGTGCAGGAAAATTGTATCCGACCCTCACTTCCCTGTGTGCATAAGTGTTTTGATTTGGTCATCACAGAGGAAGCTGACAGTTTGTTCTGCTGAGACACACAGTGGAGTTCAGTTCTGATTCCAAAAGTCAGATTCCTGATCATATTCTGCCACTAGAGTACATACCTCTCACCGTGGTCATACTCTGGACCTCGGACTCCCAGAATGTGGCTGCTGAGCAGAAGTGCGTCTGGGGCTGCTCCACACGGTGCTGCGCTGGGACACTGGGGCCTGCTGCAGACCCTCCCTGCAGCTGCTGCCTTGGGACTGTGAAACCAGAGTCTGCTAGGAAGGCTCTGCAACTCACACGCTCAGTTAGGCTTTAATATTTTATGCCAGCTGCCAATAAGGACTCAGGTGACAAGAGTCACTTCAGGAAAGGAGCGTGCAGAAAGCATGGACCCCGTCATCTCTCATTCAGGGTCCGCATCAGACTAAAGCGATCCCACAAGAGAAAAGCTAAAAGGAAGCAGAGCCGTGAACAGCCTGTGGCTGGTGGGAGCCTGGCGTCAGCGAGCTCAGGGTCTCACTTCAGTGACTTGGCAGCCAGTAGCTTCCCTTGGGCCATGGCCACAGGCCACATCTCAGTGTCTGGTTGGCTCTACGTCCAAGGCCACTGCCGGCTGCAGAGACGTGGTGAGGGCTGAGGCCAGACAGCTGAGGGCCCTGGCTGACCTGCTGGCCCATTCACCTGAACAAGGTTCACCCAGGGCAGTTTCCACAAATCCGGAGCAGAGCCAGAGAGCCAGCCCATGCCTGGCACAGAGGAGACGCTCAACACCTGTCATCCCTTCCCTTCTCCTGCCTGTCCCTCAGAGTTCCTGGAGCTTCCGTTCTGCTGAGCCTCATGCTGCCCATGCGACACATCACGACCATTTTCAGGACCACAACCTCCCTGTCCCATGGCCGTTTTCTGAGGTCTAGAAGTCACCCCCTTGGGCTTAAGCAACCACGAGGCCATGGATGGTCACAAATTTCCCTGGGCTGCACTCCACAAACCCTCCAGTGGGCACAGCACGTGTCTCTCACATTTTGGAGAGAAAGGAACTGAGAACTCCCATTTCTGGAACCCCATGCCAGTTCTAGAAGGTTCCATCCTGAAGATGAAAGCTGATTTGTCATCTGTGGTGTGTCCCAAGAAAAGAAAAATACCTCATTTTGTACTGAGCACTAACTACACACCAGGTGCCTATTGAAGCCTCTGAGGTATGTTCACTTACTTATTTCTCCCAACAACCCCTTGAGGGAAGTTCTATTGTTGTACCCTCTTTTCAGGTGAAGAAACTGAGGCACAGAAAGGTGAAGTGCTTCCCCAAAGTCATGCCACCAGTAAGGAGCAGGCTGGGATTTGTAACCCAGGCAGCCTGCCACGTGGCCCCTGGCCCTCTTGGAGGCTCTTCCCTGAGCAGCCTCCAGAGGAGAGAATGGAAGAAGCCACTCTGCGCTCCTCCTCCTCCTCTCCTTCCTCATCATGAGGGAGCCCCTGCCTGTACAAGTGCTTTACCTGCATCATCTAATGTCACCTTTGCAAATGCCCTGTGAGGTAGGAAGCGTGCTTAGGTCCCTTTCTCAGGTGAGGATGCCAACGTGAGGCCACCTGCCCGGTAAGGCAATGGTAGACCGGGACTCGGCCCAAGGCTGTGCCGCCATTGAAACCCAGGCCCTCTCTGGGTGCTGCACATGGAGGCCTGTGTGCAGATGTGGCCATGAGGAAATGGTGTGAGTGGCAAAAAGGCCAAGAAGCCAACGTGGGTGGCGGGAGGGAGAGCTTGCCAAGGAGAGCTGCTTGTCATCATCTACCTGAGGGTGGCACCTCAGAAGACAGCCTGGGTGGGGCCCCGCGGCATTGGACCAGGGTCCCAGCCTGGGTTCTTGTCCCAGCTCTACCCTGATGGATCCCGTCTCTGGCAGACCTGGGCAGAGGAAAGGCCCTGAGGACCCTTCAGGCCCTAATGCTTTATGATGCTGGAGCAGGAAGCAGGGCTGACAGCAGAAACCTTGGCCCCTAGTGGCCTTTTAGTTAAGTGCCTGAGTAACAGCCCACTCCCTACAGGAGGCACTCAGCCCCTCTCCACTACAAGCCCAGCCCCCTCCACGCACAAGCCCCTCACCCCCCAGCAGAAGGTAGTGTAGATAGCTTTACTGATTGAGCCCTAACTAGATACTAACAGCCACAAAGCTGCCTCTCTGCTAGTCACTTGCTACGGATTAAAACAGATGCTGTTGCTATACCCATTTTACAGATGAGAAAACTGAGGCCCAAAAAGTCAGTCAGCTCACTCAAGGTCACCACAGACCCAAACACTAGGCCAACTTCCCCAGTAGGTACAATAGGCACAGTGATTACAGACCATAATACTTTTAAGGACCCATAAAAACGTTTTAATTTCACTTAAAATCAGAAGGGGAAAAAATGAACTTTTAGGGCAAAGATAATGATTTCATATATAAAATTAACATATTCACCTTTATACCAATATAGCAGGAAAATCTATTTTTATTTTTTATTTTAGTTTTTAAAATTAAGAATAACCTTTGTTTGTTTGTTTGTTTTTTGGAGACAGGGTCTCACTCTGTTGCCCAGGCTGGAGTGCAGTGGCACAATCAGAGCTCACTGCAGCCTCGACCTCCTGGGCTCAAGCAATCCTCCCACCTCAGTTCCCTGAGTAGCTGAAACCACAGGCGTGTGCCACCATATCTAGCTAATTTTTAAAAGATGTAGTAGAGATGAGGTCTTGCTATGTTGCCCAGGCTGGTCTTGAACTCCTGGGCTCCAGTGATCCTTCTGCCTCAGCCTCCCAAAGTGCTGGGATTACAGGCGTGAGCCACCATGCCTGGCCAAAAATCTATTTTTTAAATGTTCTTTTTAGCGGCAAAACAAACTCACCAAGGCAAAAGTACCTAGGGCTCAGGAAAGTCACCATGCAGCCCTGAATAGGTAGACCTTGAACTCAGATCTGTTTCCCTCCCAGGGTCATGTCCATCAAAGAATCCTCCAGCCTCTTCCCCAGTATCAAAGCAACCACTCAGGGTAATCTCACGGAGCTGCAGAGTTGACGTCTGTCCTTGGAAGGGTCATGGCCAGACGGCCACTCAGCCACAGGCATTTGCCCAGCTGGCCACAATCCCTGTGGGCAAGTGTCCCAGGCTCAATTTTTGGCCTTCCAAGAAGCCATTGGAGCAGAGGAGCTACATTTCTGGGGCCAAGTCATTCATAAGAGAAGAGGAACAAGGCAAGCCGGGAAACATGCTTGCCCCTCAACTGGGAGAGGCAAGAGAAGATGACCAAGATCATCCAAAAGAACATTCCAGCTTTTCTTCTTTGCCTGAAAGAAAACAATTGACAGCCTCTACCAGGGAATTATGTCCTCGAAAGGCCAGGTATAGCCCAGGAGGACAGAGAGCACTGGCTTTGGTGACAGGCAGATCTGGGTTTGGGTCCCCACTCAGCCATTTAATTTGCTGTGTGACCTTGAAAAAGTGACCTTACCTCTCTGACTGTTTTCCTTTCTTTTTTCTTTCTTTTTTTTTTTTTTTTTTTGAGATGGAGTCTTACACTGTTGCCCAAGCTGGAGTGCAATGGTGTAATCTCGGCTCTCTGCAGCCTCCCCCTCCCGGGTTCCAGCAATTCTCCTGCCTCAGCCTCTAGAGTAGCTGAGATTACAGGCACCCGCCACCACGCCCGGCTAATTTTTTGTATTTTTAGTAGATACAGGGTTTCACTATGTTGGCCAGGCTGGTCTCGAACTCCGGACCTCATGATCCACCCACCTCAGCCTCCCAAAGTGCTGAGATTACAGGCATGAGCCACCACACCCGGCAAAAATATGGAACGCTTCACGAATTTGCATGTCATCCTTGTGCAGGGGCCATGCTAATCTTCTCTGTATCGTTCCAATTTTAGTATATGTACTGCCAAAGCGAGCACTGTTTTCCTTTCTGTAAACTGGGAATAATAGCAATGCCCTTCCCCCAAAGGATGGTAGTGAGAATTGGCTGAAATAAAATGCTTTCTTCTATAGTAAAGCAGTTGCAAGGAGTAAAAGCCAGAAGAATATTTATTCATTGGTTTGAGAAACAAAATCATTGATGCCAACATTCCCGGGGCCTTGAGTAATTATGCCATGGGCTTGCCTGAAACACTGATAAATTTAGAGAAGCCACCAAAGCCACAGTAACTGAGGCCACACTATGAGGTCAGCCTCTTTTTCCCCCCAGGTCTTTGAGGTGACAGTTTAGACAGGAGGTAGGAATCTTGCTAATGAAAGGAGAGCCTCACCTTCAATTAAGGCGTCACCAGAGTGGGAAATTCATCAGCCCTGGTGATGGTGACTTACGCCACACTTGAGCCTTGCAAGTCCAGGATGACACAACCCAAGGCAGAAACCATGAAATTAGAACAAAGGTCTAAGTAATAAGCAGACCTGGGAGTTCCATTCAGGTGAGCAGGGCTGTTGCTCAGCAGGTGAGCCTGCCCCGCCATGGAGACTCAGCGCTAGAGTGAGAACCACATCTGCTCACACCAGGGGCCTGAACCCTGCTAACCCCACGGGGGGTTCTCACAGCCAAAAGCTCTTGTGACTCTTCCAATAATAGCAACTCCCACCCAGCGCCTTCTCTCCAAGAGCAGTGCTTCTCAAACCGCACTGTGCACATGAATCAGCTGGGATGTTATTAGAACGCATCTTAAGGCAGCGGCTCATGCCTGTAATACCAACATTTTAGGAGGCCAAGGCGGGAGGATCACTTGAGGCTAGGAGTTTGAGACCAACCTGGGTGATGTGGGCACAAGACCCCGGTCTCTATACAAAAATACTGTTTTTTAATTAGCCAGGCATGGTGGTGTGTGCCTGTAGTCCCAGCTACTCAGGAGGCTGAAGCAGGAGGATCACTTGAACCCAGGAGGTCCAGGCTACTGTGAGCTATGATCATACCACTGCACTCCAACCTCGGCAACAGGAAAAAAAGAAAAGAAAAGAAAGAAATACAGCTTAAGCTTTAGTGGGTCTTGAGATTCCACATGTCTGACAAGCTCTCCGTGGATACAGCTGGTGAACAATGAGGGCCTAGACTTTCCTTGGGCCCCACAGACACCTTGGGTTGCCCTTCACCAGGTAGACCTGGGAACCCTGATCAGTTTGTACTCCAAGATTTAGGATTCAAGCAACTAACAGCACAACTATAAACTGGATCCCTCATGATTTCTTTGGGGGTTGAGGGGAAAGGGATAGGATACAAAATGAATTAAACATAAACATTTGTGGCAGGATAATTTATTGCAAGGTGAATTTTTTGTTTTGTTTTGTTTTGTTTTTGTTTTTTTTAAGACAGAGTCTCGTTCTGTCACCCAGCCTGGAGTACAGTGGCGCAATCTTGGCTCACTGCAACATCCACCTCCTGGGTTCAAGCCATTCTCTTGCCTCAGCCTCCCAAGTAGCTGGGACTACAGGAATGCACCACCATGCCCGTCTAATTTTTGTATTTTTGGTAGAGACGGGGTTTCACCATGTTGTCCAGGCTGGACTCGAACTCCTGAACTCAGGTGATCCTCCTGCCTTGGCCTCCCAGAGTGCTGGGATTACAGCCATGAGCCACGGCGCCAGGCCCTTTTTTTTTTTTTTTTTTTTTTTTTTTTTAGACAAAGTCTCGCCCAAGCTAGAACGCATCAGCGCAATCTTGGCTCACTGCAATCTCTACCTCCCAGGTTCAAGTGATTCTCCTGCCTGAGCCTCCCAAGTAGCTGGGATGTGCCATCATACCCGGCTAATTTTTGTATTTTTAGTAAGGACAAGGTTTCACCATGTTGGCTAGGCTGGTCTAGAACTCCTAACCTCAGGTGATCCACCCACCTTGGCTTCCCAAAGTGCTAAGATTATAGACGTGAGCCACCGCGCCTGGCCGCAAGGTGAATTTTTTTTCTCCCAGCATACTGCCCTTTCCCCAACACACACACACCCTTTTCAGGTAGCAAGACCCTTTGATGCCTTCTTGCCACAGAGATTTTTAAATTTCAACTAATTTCAGAAGTCAGGCACTTTCCTTTAAAAACGGAGGGCTCCGGGTAAAGTCCATCCTCTCCCATCACCCCTACTCCTCACTCACAGCTTCAGACATCCCTACGGATATTTAGGCAAAGGTATTTTAAAAGAGAGATGTTTGCAGGATCATGTTGGACTGGCTCTTCCTTTCTTTTATTAAAAATATATAAGCCGGCCAGGCTCGGTGGCTCATACCTGTAATCCCAGCACTTTGGGAGGCTGAAGCAGGTGGATCACCTGAGGTCAGGAGTTCAAGACCATCCTGGCCAACATGGAAACCCCATCTCTACTAAAAATACACAAATTAGCCAGGTGTGGTGGCAGGTGCCTGTAATCCCAGCTACTCCGGAGTCTAAGGCAGAAGAATCGCTTGAACCTGGGAGGTAGAGGTTGCAGTGAGCCGAGATCACACGACTGCATTGCAGCCTGGGTGGCAAAGCAACACTCTGTCTCAAATATATATATATATATATGCCCAGGATGCCAGGAGGGCAGAGGGGACAGTGGCTACCGTTTCCTATCTTGTATAAGATGTAGTTGCAGGGTGGAGGTAAATAGTGATGGCACCAAAGGGAAGCTTGGGGGCCTTCAGTCTCCCCATTAACTTCACCAGGACCCCTTCCCCTAATCCCTGAACACAGCTAACCACAACACTCTTCAGATGTGGATCTCAGCACCCAAGGGGAGATTCCCTCCCACAGGAATGAGCCCTGCACTGGGGAGCAGAGGTGTGCTCTCCATTGAGGCATCTGGGCAGGGCTGAGCTCAGAAGGTCTTCCGGCTGCACCCAGGCTCCTGTCCCAAGCACACTCTTCCTGGAAGCAGCCCCCACAGACTCCCAGGACCCAGAGATCGGGACTCCCATGGTGTCAGTATCAGAGACTATGGCATGGAAATGCAGGGCCCCTACTCCCGACTTTGGGTGAGTTTCCCATCGTGGTGATGTGACACCTGGGAGGGGGAGGGACCCTAAAATTACTGAAGAGGAATTTATGGCCACCTGTCTCTAAGGGAGCTTGGGGTCAGACCTAGGGAGTATCAGTAGCATTTTAAAAAGTGGTATCATACCTCCTGCATACACTTAATGATATTCAATATTTAGGAATGCAGTTGCTTTTTTTTTTTTTTTTTTTTGAGTCTGAGTCTTGCTCTGTCACCAGGCTGGAGTGCAATGGCATGATCTAGGCTCAAGTTCTGCCTCCCGGGTTCAAGCAATTCTCCTGCCTCAGCCTCCTGAGTAGCTGGGATTACAGGCGCGTGCCACCACGCCCGGCTACTTTTTTGTATTTTTAGTAGAGACAGGGTTTCACCGTGTTAGCCAGGATGGTCTCTACCTCCTGACCTCATGATCTGCCCGCTCGGCCTCCCAAAGTGCTGGGATTACAGGCGTGAGCCACCGCGCCCCGGGAATGCATTTATTTTTAAAGTAATATACATACTATAGCTTAGCAACACATTATCAAATAAATTATTTGATGAAAAATTGCAAAAGTTACCATCTGTGAAAATAATCTCCCAGTATTGTTTCTTAGTGGACCTCTCCTGGTCTTAACTATTCTAGGCTGGGAAACATTGGTTTGTCCCTGAGCAAACTGCACTCCCTGACATTTTTTGAACATTAAAAAAATTATCACAAAAGTTTTACACATTATACAATTCATTAATTATTCAGTAAACTCTTCACCTTGATCCTTTTTTCAAAGTGTTAAAATTCTGAAGTCTCTGTAAAATAAAAATACCTTTAAATTTTTATTTATTTATTATTTTATTATTTTTAGAGACAGGTTCTCGCTCTGTTGCCCAGGCTGCAGTGCAGTGGTACCATTATGGCTCACTGTAGCCTCAACCCCCTGGACTCAAGCAATCCTCCCACCTCAGCCTCCTGAATAGCTAGGATTATAGGCACACGTCACAAGTCCAGCTAATTTTTTTATTTTTTATTTTTGTAGAGACCGGGTCTCACTATATTGGCCAGGTTGGTCTTAAACTCCTGACCTCAAGCAATCCCCTTGCCTCAGCCTCCCAAAGTGTTGGGATTACAGGCATGAGCCACTGTGCCCTGCAAAAATACCTTTAGGTGCCATTTGATTGAGTGTTACCTATTGGTGTCTCTACTGCATGCAACTCTGCAGAGGAAGCAATTCATGAGCTATGCTCAAACCTTTGTCATCACTGCTGCCAATAGCTTTTCCCAAGGAGGTAGATCTGAGAAACAGAGGGAGATCCTTGGACATGGTGGTAAAATTCAGGAGGAAAAAAAATGCAACAGAAAAGCTGCTTTCTTGTGCTTTCCTCTTTGCTAAGACTGGCTCCCTGCAGGCCCCTCCTTCTGTGAGTAAGAACGGAGGCGGGTTCTCTCTTTTGTTCTAGGTACAGTCATGGGAGAGATGCTGCCTCTTCCCCAAAGGCACAATAGCACCGATATTTGAAGAGTCAGTGATAGACGATTTCATCAGAAGGTTCTGGCAACAGAAACTACCAAACGACTTATTTTAAAAACAAAACAAAATGGAAAATATTAAAATCCAATCAGCTCATTGATCACCAGGGAGAAAGAAAATGAACATGTGTCTCTTGTACTCAGCCTGCTCTAAAATATGAAACTGGAATGTGTTTCAGAAAGCAACAAAGATGTGAGTATGGAATATTAAAGCACTATGATAATTTGATAGTACAATTTTCCTTTGTGGATTTCCTGTAGTGACCAATATTAATATAATAGGAGTGAACATCTACTGGGTACTTATTACATATTAGCATTTTCTATGGTATTTTATTAGGTTACAGAACAACCCAATGAGGAAAGTACTACTCTTGTCAGCCCTGTTTCATAGACTAGGAACAGAGGAACCGTGATTCACCCAAAGTTTTGAGTGATTCACCCAAAGTTTTGTGGCTAATAAAACTCCATTCCAGCCCAGGCGCAGTGGCTCATGCCTGTAATCCCAACACTTCGGGAGGCCGAGGCAGGCAGATCACTTGAGGTCAGGAGTTCAAGACCAGCCTGGCCAACATGGAGAAACCCTGTCTCTACTAAAAACATAAAAATTAGCCAGATATGGTGGCATGTGCCTGTAACCCTAGCTACTCAGGAGGCTAAGGCGTGAAAATGGCTTGAACCCAGGAGGCAGAGGTTGCAGTAAGCTGAGATTGTGCCACTGCACTCTAGCCTAGATGACAGAGTGAGACTACATCTCAGAAACAAAAAACAAACAAAAACTCCATTCCAGCCTGGGCGCCTCTCTCCAGGCCCTCACTTCCAACCCAGAACACACTAGATTCCAGAGGGAAACCCAGTCGCCAGCCTGAAGCTGGCATTCAGGTTGCCCTTCTCAGGGAACTCAAAGGGTGACGCAGGAATTTTCTCTGTTTTGCTTGTTTTGAGTCAGGGCCTCTGTCGCCCAGGCCAGAATGCAGTAGCAAGATCATGGGCTCACTGCAGCCTTGACCTTCCTGGGGTCTAGCGATCCTTCCACCTCAGGCTCCCAAATAGGTGGGACTACAGGCATTCCACTACACCCGGCTAATTTTTGTATTTTTGGTAGAAACAGGATTTCACCATGTTGCCCAGTCTGGTCTTGAACTCCTGGGCTCAAGAGATCCTCCCACCTCAGCCTCCCACAGTGCTGGCATTACAGGTTTGAGCCACTGTGCCTGGCCAGTGCAGGCATTTTCTCCTTGGCCCTTATCAGCTTGGTGGAGCTAAGAGCATTATTTTCTCCTGATGAAGAGCTAAGCCTCTGGGCAGAAGTTGAGCAGCCCAGGCAAGGTCAAGAAGGGAATGAATGGTAGACTTTCTGGTCTCAGGCTGCAAATTCCTTCTGTCTAATCGAACTACCCCAAAAGGCACAAAAAGAAAACAAAAATGTACCCTCTTGCTCCAAAACCATTCTCCTGGCTTTCTCAGCCCTTTATGGGACATCTCAGCCCTTTATGTATTTTTGTTCTTATTTTTTTGAGACAGGGTCTTGCTCTGTTGCGCAGGCTGGTGTATAGTGGTGCCATCATAGCTCACTGCAGCCTCGAAGTCCTGGGCTCATACAATCCTCCCACCTCAGCCTCCTGAGTAGCTGAGACTACAGGCACACACCATCATAAGCTGCTAATTTTTAAAATTTTTTTGTAGAGATAGGGTCTTGTGGTATAGCCCAGGCTGGTCTCAAACTCCTGGTATAAAGTGATACTTCTGCTTTGGTCTCCCAAAGTGTTGAGATTACAGGTGTAAGCCACTGTACCTTGCCTCATCTCAGTCCTTTAAAGATGCACCGGAGGCTCTGCTAGTCATTAGAAACCAGTGCATATAGTGTGTGTGTGTTTGTTTATGTGTGTGTATGTGTTTTGTAAGGGTGACAGAGTTGGCGAGTGAGGGCAACAACCAAGGAATTCAATCAACTCAATAGAGAAAAACATTACATCACTGACAATGTAGCAGCAGGGCCAGGTGGTGGCTCTTGCCTATAATCCCAGCACATTGGGAGGCCGAGACGGGTGGATTGCTTGAGCCTAGGAGTTTGAGACCAGTCTGGGCAACATGGCGAAACCCCGTCTCTACTAAAAACACAGAAATTAGCCAGGCATGGTGGTGCAAGCCTATAATCCCAGCTATTCAGGAGGCTGAGGCAGGAGAATTGCTTGAACCTGGAAGGCAGAGGTTGCAGTGAGCCAAGATCATGCCACTACACTCCAACATAGGTGACAGAGTGAGACTCAGTCAAAAAAGAAAGAAAGAAAGAGAGAGAAAGACGGAAGGAAGGAGAAAGAAAGAAAGAAAAGAGAAAGAAAGAAAGAGAAAGGAAGGAAGGAAGAAAGAAAGAAAGAAAGAAAGAAAGAGTAGCAGTAAACATGAGACTAGTTGCCATAGCAACCATTTAATTGACATTTTCATTTTCCCAGCATTTGTTCTGGGCAGGTGTGGGCAGACATGTGTCCTCAGGGATGTGCAAGGATGAGGGTGTGTCTGTTTCCCCCATTAGTCTTCATAATTGAAGGGGTTGGTACTGCTCCTAGACAAGGCCTTGGGAATCGGGACTTTAACAGTGCACAGAAAACCCCGTCTGAGAACATCCACAGCAGGCAGAGCCAACCTCACCGTGTAAAGGCAGTGGAGGTGATGGTGAACTTGCTTGCTGCGTGGATGGGATGCTGAGGCTCAAGTGGAGGGCCATACAGATTGGCCTTGGCAGAGCGCAGCCCAGACCCAGGTCCGCTAACTCCTGGTGGGCCACACTGGCTTGAAGCCACACTGGCTTGCTGAACCAGGGTCAAGTAGCCGGGGTTAGGGGAAAAAATATAAGACGAGGAAGAAGCATAGCACAGCTTAAATCCATCGAGAGTGCAGAATCACCTTTCATCTTCTGAAGGAGCAATTGTTTTCTGTACCAAACCACACAATGCAAGCAAATCTGCTGCCAAAGAACAAAGAGAAAAATGCAGGGAACAAGCAGCTTCCCAAGCCTCGCAGCCGGGGATGGAATTAAATTCAAATTCACCTGCAAGAGCAGCTGATGGTTCAGCTACAAACCGCCTCCAAGCAGCCTCTGAGATTCAAAATTCATGCGCCCTGCGAACTACACAGCATATACTAGTGGCAGCCCTGGCTGGGTCCTCGCAGCCACGCAATTTTTGAGGATGACACACATGGAATACTAAACATATCCCGGGAGTTCCAGACACAGCCACCTAGTTACAGCCCAGCCTGCTCTTGTCTGCAGCAATTTTTCTCAAAGGTGCGGCTTCATGCATATCTATTACCAAGCACACGTAGACAAGACGGTGTTCGGAAAGCACAGCCCCGAGTGGGAAACAGGAGCTGTCAGCAAATCATTTTCACAGGAACAGGAAAATCTTTACGTGGAAAATATTGCTTTGGGACTTCCCCGGGAGGAAAGAACGAGCTGAAATTGATGGTGTTGCAGCTTCCATTTTCCAAAAAGCAAAATGCTTTTAAGACCATCAGGGTTACGCTTGATCATAGCTTTGCTTAATCCATTTCTTCACGGGTTTTGCCCTTGTCATCTTTGCTTCCTGAACCACTCCTGCACCTTACAGTCACCGCAAATCCCATCCCATAAAAATCTGTGGCGTCTCTGTGTGTGGAAATCAAACAACAAAAAGGCACCGCCATGTGTAGCTGCGTTACGCTTTCGGTGGAAAGATGACATGGATGAAATGGCCCCTGGGAAACACTGGGGAGGCCTGACTAGCAAGGTGCAGAGTGGGGGATTAATGGGGAGATACACAGGGCCTCTTACTAAAACTGAGAATAGCATTCTGTTGAAGAACCCTTATTTTGAGGCTGGGCACAGTGGCTCACGCCTGTAACATCAGCACTTGGGGAGGCCGAAGTGGGAGGATTACTTGAGGCCAGGAGGTCAAGGCTGCAGTGAGTTATGATCAAGCCACTGCACTTCAGCCTGAGTGACAGAGGGAGACCCTGTCTCTAAAAAAATTAAAAAGAAACCATATTTGGGGTGATGATATCCATCCCCTAAAATAATAAAGATTAGCTGGGCACAGTGACTCAAGCTTGTAATCCCAGCACTTTGGGGAGGCCAAGGCGGGAGGATCCCTTGAGCTCAGGAGTTCAAGACTAGCCTGGGCAACATGGGGAGACCCCATCTCTACAAAAAGGAAAAAAAAATTCCAGGCATGGTGGTGCACACCTGTGGTCCCAGCTACTTGGGAGGCTAAAGTGGGAGGATCACTTGGGATTGGGAGGTGGAGGCTACGGTGAGCCATGATCATCCCACTGCACTCCAGCCTCGGTGACAGAGCAAGACCATGTCTCAATAATGATAATAATAATAAAAAGATTATTTATAAATGTCTCTGTAACTGAAACACCCCCTCAAAAAAATCCTGTAAATTGGAGACCTTACCTATCATCGTTCCCTTCATTTTATTTTAAATTTCATTGAAATTTATCCTAAAGCACTTCCTGTGACTTGAAAATGCAGGCATTTTGGCTAACATTATTATTCATTTCTTTACATTTGAATGTAATAAACGTGTCAGGTTTATTTATCTGAACTTAAATCTAAGTTTTAGTGATTTTTTCCCCCCTGGATCTAAAATTCCATCATTCTTGAGCAACTCATATTTGTCAATTTGACAGCTTCTCCACTATTTTAAGCACTTTCCTTTTCATCACCATCCATTTCCATTAACAACTCCACTCTCCGCTGCCTAACAGACTCCTGGAACTGACTCCTCAAATTGGATTGTCCCCTCGCTGGCCCATTCCTCCCCAGCCTTCCCAGTCTCAGTAAATGGCCACAGTTGCTCTAGTCAGAAAACCTAGCTTAGCCAGCCAAGGTGGCTCACACCTATAATCCCAGCACTTTGAGAGGCCAAGGTAGGCGGATCACCTGAGGTCAGCAGTTCAAGACCAGCCTGGCCAACATAGCAAAACCTCGTCTCTACTAACAATACAAAAATTAACCAGGCGTGGTGGCGCGCACCTGTAATTCCAGCTGCTCAGGAGGCTGAGGCAGAAATATTGCTTGAACCCGGGAGGTGGAGGTTGCAGTGAGCTGAGATCGAGCCACTGAACTCCAGCCTGAGTGACAGAGCAAGACTCTGTCTCGAAAACAAACAAAAACCTAGCTTGCCAGACACAGTGGCTCATCCTATAATTCCAGCTACTAGGAAGGATCCTTGAGCCCAGGAGTCAAGACTAGCCAGGGCAACATAGCAAGACCCTGTCTGTAAAAAAATAAAAGTTAAAGGCTGAGCACGGTGGCTCATGCCTGTAATCCCAGCACTTTGAGAGGCCAAGGTGGGCAGATCACCTGAGGTCGGGAGTTCGAGACCAGACTGGCCAACGTGGGGAAACCCCGTCTCTACTAAAAATACAAAATTAGCCGGCCATGGTGGCGCATGGCTGTAATCCCAGCTACTCGGGAGGCTGAGGCAGGAGAATCACTTGAACCCAGGAGGCAGAGGTTGTAGCTAGCCGAGATCTCGCCACCGCACTCCAGCCTGGGCAACAAGAGCGAAACTCTGTCTCAAAAAAAAAAAAAAAAAAGTTAAAATAAACCTAGCACAGGTTCTCTCCCTCCTCACCCCAGCTGTCACCAAGTCAAATGGGTTCTACACGCAAGACAATGTCAAACCTGGCCACCTCCCACCTTTGTCCCAGATGTCTTTGGAAGCCTCACCAGCAGATACTAGGCTTCCTGTGTCCACACTCCGGCTTTCTGGCGATCCTCCTCCACCAGGCAGCCAGAGGGACCTTGTGAAGGCATAGCTTCAACCCTGTCACGTTCTGCAGTCTCTTCTTCAGCAAATATTTGCACACCTACTCTGGACAGTGCTGTTCTAGCCCTTGCTGGACCTTGCGTTATCAGCAGAGACGGAACAATAGACGAAAATCAAAGAGTGAAATTTAGAGTGTGATAGAGGACCGTAACAGTGGTGGAAAAAAATAATTCAAAGGAGGACATGGAGGGATGGGTGGCTGAATTTTTTCCAGCTCTTGAAGTAGGGAGTTGTAATTTCTAGTAGGGTGGTCAAGGAAGGCCCCACTGAAAGGGGCATCTGAGACCTGAAGGAGGTAGGGAAGTGATCCACAAAACACCCAGAAGAGCTGCCACCCTCCTAAAGTTCCCTATTACATTAAAATGAAACCCAGGCCAGGCGCAGTGGCTCACGCCTGTAATCCCAGCACCTTGGGAGGTTGAGGTGGGTAGATCACTTGAGGCCAGGAGTTTGAGACCAGCCTGGGCAACATGGTGAAACCCCATCTCCATTAAAAATACAAAAAATTAGCCAGGCCTGGTGGCATGTGCCTGTAAACCCAGCTGCTTGGGAGGCCGAGGCAGGAGAATTGTTTGAAGCCGGGAGGTGGAGGTTGCAGTGATCTGAGATCGTGCCACTGCACTCCAGCCTGGGGGACAGAGCGAGACTGTCTCAAAAACAAAAACAACAACAACAAAACCCAGAATGAAACCCAAACTCTTTCCCATCGCCCATGAGACCTTATAGCATTTGCCAAGGGCCTCTCAAATGCGCGTTGCCCTCAGTTCCAGCTCTCCAGCTGCATGAGTCTCTTGTGTCTGTCACCATGCCAGGCTCTCCCCATTTCAAGGTCTTGGCTCTGGCTGTCCCCCTGTCTGGGACACCCCATCCACCCCCCACACACCCCATCCCCACCTCCTCCCCTCTTCTCAAGGGTGGCTCCTGTCTTTCTACTCTTAGGCCTTAAAAATGTCACTTCCTCGGAGAGGCCTTCCCTGACCATCCCCACCGGCCATCTCCTGCCTTCTCCCTGCGTTTGAATCTCCTCATGCTTCCTTAGCCAGGCATGGTGATGTGCACCTGTAATAGGTCCCAGCTACTTGAGAGGCTGAGTCAGGAGAATTGCTTGAACCTGGGAGGTGGAGGTTGCCGTGAGCTGAGATCGTGCCACTGCACTCCAGCCTGGGCAACAGAGCGAGACTCCGTCTCAAAAAAAAAAATAAAAAATCTCCTCATGCTTCTTAGCGCTGTCTGAAATGATCTTGTTCACTAACTGCCTCCCCCACCTGGAATGCAAGCTCCAGGGGGTCAGAAATGTGCTTGCTGGGCCAGGGTCAGAGCCCCCTGTGTCTGGAACGGTATGGAGTGGACATTCACTGCATATTTATGGAGTGAAGAAATCAATCCATCAAGTAGAACTGGGTAACAAACTTGTAAATAATTCATGCAGTCCAGTGCAGCAGAGCGGGAATCACTCAAAAACTCACATCCAATGCCAGCCTCAGGCTCCACCATTTTATCAACAATGAGAACAACAACAGCAGCAAAAATAATTCAATAATAATTCAATAATTCAATTTCGTAATTCAGTAACACTGTTCAATCAGACTAACAACTTGGGCATTGACTCGAAGCCTCTGTCGTTTGCTTTCTCTTTTCATCCCATAACAACCCATTATTATATTATCTTATTATAACATCCTAATAATAGCCCATTATTCTCATTTTAACAGGTCCAAAAACTGAGGTTTAGGAGATGTTTTGTGGCTGAGATCACACAGCCAGTACAGAGAGAGTTCAGGTCCCAACACTAGGCCACACAATTATGTTCCAATTCCTCTAAATAAATATCATAGAGCAGCCGGGCACAGTGGCTCATGCCTGCAATCCCAGCACTTTGGGAGGCCAGGGCAGGAAGATCGCCTGAGGGACAGGAGTTTGAGACCAGCTTGGCCAACAAGGTGAAACCCCGTCTCTACTAAAAATATAAAAATTAGCCAGGCATGGTGGTGCAAGCCTGTAATCCCAGCTACTCGGGAGGCTGAGGCATAAGAATTGTTTGAACCCAGGAGGCAGAGGTTACAGTGAGCCGAGATCACACCATTGCACTCTAGCCTGGGCAATAAGAGTGAAATTCTGTCTCAAAAAATATATATATAAATATAAATGTAAATAAATAAATATCATACAGCACCTACTCTGTGCCAGGAACTGTGTATAAAAGAATCTCACAGGCAAATCAGGGCAAAATATTTCAGACAAAAGGATTTTCAATTAATTCTGAACCACTTGACAGAGATTCAACCATGAGACAGTCAGAATATGAACACTGACCACCTTTATTGGGTACTTCCTGCCAACAAGGCCTTGGACCGCACACTTCACCTGCTTTGCCTCATCACTACTTACTGTTGGCCCATTTCACAAAGGAGGAAACTGAGATACAGGCTGGTCCAGTGACTTGCTCAAGGCCCTTGCCAGGAACTGATGGCGCTGGGTTCTGATGCCCTGGTGCCCTGGCTGCATAGACACTCATCATTAGAAAAATGGGGTGGTCAGCCTGTAATCCCAGAACCTTAGGAGGCTGAGACAGGAGGATCACTTGAGCCCAGGAGTTCAAGACTAGCCTGGGCAACACAGCAAGATCCCATCTCTACCAAAATAAGACACAAACAAACAAAATCCCTGGTGCTCAGTGAGTCAGATCTGGGCAGTTGGCAGGAGCTTCTGAGGGTATAGAAAATACTGGAAATACCTAAATTGAATACCTTTAGACATGTTTGCAAGGCCTAAAGGAAAACATCTATACTCCACCCTGGAGATGTTTCTTTCCTTGGCCGGGCATGGTGGCTCACGCTCATAATCCCAGCACTTTGGGAGGCCAAGGTGGGCAGATCATTTGAGGTCAGGAGTTCCAGACCAGCCTGGCCAACATGGTAAAACCCTGTCTCTACTAAAAATACAATAATTAGTTGGGCATGGTGGTGCACGCCTGTAATCCCAGCTACTTGGGAGGCTGAGGCAGGAGAATTGCTTGAACTTGAGAGATGAAGGTTGCTGTGAGCAAAGATTGCACCACTGCACTCCAGCCTGGGCGACAGAGTGAGAATCCATCTCAAAAAAAAAAAGAAGTTTCTTTCCTTGATCTAAAGGCAGCGTAGGCTGGACGCGGTGGCTCATGCCTGTAATCCCAGCACTTTGGGAGGCTGAGACAGGAGGATCATGAGGTCGGAGTTCAAGACCAGCCTGGCCAACATGGGGAAGCCCCATCTCTACTAAAAATACAAAAATTAGCTAGGCATGGTGGCAGGCGCCTGTAATCCCAGCTACTCGGGAGGGTGAGGCAGGAAAATTGCTTGAACCCGGGAGGCGGAGGTTGCAGTGAGCCGAGATCTTGCCATTGCACTTCAGCTTTGGGCGACAGAGCAAGACTCAGTCTCAGGGAAAAAAAAAAAAAAAAAAAGGCAGCGTAAACCTATTGGCAAGGTCTGGTGAAGGACCCTTACCTGAAAGCCATAGCCTCGTGTCTCTGAGATCAGGATGCACCCTGGGGAGGGGGATTGGAGTTCAGCAAGAATATCTTTGTTGGAGGTGCTGGAGCTGCGCCAGTGCCAGCCGGGGGCCTCCTCCTGGCCTGTGCTGGGGTCTCTGTCCCACTCTCCCCACCGCCCCCTCCGCAGGCCCCAGGTGTTTGAACAGAGCCATACCAGGGCTGGAACTACAAACATGGTAGTCTGCAGCCCGTCTCGCTCTGACAGTCTATGGGAGCACAGTCTTCTATGCTGGAGCCCACAGCAGCCTGTGCCCTGGAATTTTCTGCTTGGTTCACCAATTCCTAGACAGACCCTGCAGCGGCTGTGGTGTTGAACAAGGCAGGCATTCAGTCATTAGTTCAGCAATTAAAAGGCTTAGAGGACAGGATCTTCAGCTTCCAGGAACTGACCCAGGTCACCAGCAAGGTTCTTGAAATGTTACCCTTTGGGTTCTTTAGCCAGTGCGTCTCCTCTGCAGCCCATATGGTCTTGAGAAGAATTAGAATTTTTATAGCAGGGAGACAAAAATTAAGTGACCTAGGCTCCTGATATCCAAGTGGGCATTCAAGATGTCCACGCTGGAACTTTGATTTTCATTCCCCACAAATCTGGTTTCTCCTTCAGCCTTCTCATCCCAGCTAATAGCAACTGCATCCTTTCAGTGACTCCGTGCAAACCCTGCAGGTGCAGCCTTCATGTTACAACTCCTGCCGGCTCTACCTTCAAATATTATCCAGAATCTGTCCACTTCTCACCACTGCCAGTGCCCCCACCATCCCTCCCTGGACTCTTGCGATAGTCCTTGACCAGCTGCAATCACCTCGCAACTCAGCGGCCTGACTGATCTTGTTAAAACTGAAGCCAATCACGTCACTCATCTGCTCAAAGCCGTCTGTGGCCCCCATATCGCTTCAAGTGAAAACCAAGGTTCTGCAGTGGCCCTCAAGCCCTCTCTGCTCCAAACCTCCTATCCCTCCCAACACCTTTGCTCTGCTCCTAAAATCTGCCAGACAGCCTCAGGGCCTTTGCGTGGGTTCTTCCACCTCGGACATTCTTTCCCCAAATATCCACAGGGCTCTCTCCCTCCCTCCACACCTGCTCAGGCAGGTGTTCCTCAAGGAGACTCTCCCTGATCTCCTTAGTTAAAATCACAACTCACTCCTCATCTTCCACCTCTGCCCCAAGCTCTTTGCACCCCTTACTCTGCTGTTGGATTGGTTGATTGGTTTTTGTTTTTTAGTCTTCGCACTTAACACCTTCCAACAGACAAAATGTTGATGTATTTTTGTGCCTGTTATTTATTCCCTGTTTTCCTCTGTGAGGGAGAGTCACCTCTGAGAGGTGAAGATCTTTTTCTACATTGTTTGCCAGTGTCTCCTGGGCACTGGTAGAGTTTAAACTTACAGAGGGTTCTTTAAGATTTGTGAAAGGAAGGGGCTGCCCCAGAGCTGTGGGGTTTTTGTCAAAACAAAGCTGAGAAAGAGAACAGAGGAAATGCATTTGACTTCCCTGCCCCTCAGGAGATGAGATGAGGGAAGAGTAGACAAGGTGAGGGGCCTGGAGACCCAACCCTTTCATGCCAAGACACTTATAAGCCTGTGCCCACTCCCTCCCCACCAGAGCAGGAAGAGGCTGGACCTCCAGGGGCTGGTGATGGCCTGGTGGAGGGAGAACTCCACCCCTCTCCCTGGGTGGGGCTGGGCAGTAGAGGACCACACCCCTGGGTCCTTTGCTGCCCAGAGAGCACTATGGGGCTCCTGGTTCCAGACCTAAAGCCAGGCCGGGAGAAGCAGACAAAGCCATGAGATACACATCTTTTCCCTACCTGTGGCCTCCCGGCTGCCTCCAACCTGGACACAGGGCTTTGCAGTCTTTCTAAATGAGAATCCTGATGGCTGAAGAAGGCGGATGGTGGAGGGTGACCTAACAGAAGAGGGCTTGCGGCAGACACTGGAATGCGATGTTCTGCTGGGAAACCCAGCCACCTGGGCGGAGATGCCTGGAAGGCGCTGTTCAGCCCAGCAGGTGCAAATTCTCATGTCAAACCCTTTAAGGAAGCTGCTCGCAGACAGCCCATCCTCCCTCCTTTCTCCCCCACTCCATCTGGTTGTTAACGAGAATGAGAAAAGCAGATTAGAAGTGTCACCCCTGCAGCTGGTTCAAGGCTGTACAACCGATCCACTTTCGTTTCATTCTGATAGGTACAATTTCTTTCCCAAACAAACACTCACGTATTGGGTTTTGAGAAACCTTCTACTTATATGAATTTCATGAGCTTGACTGTGACCTGGGATAAGTCTTTATGAGCAAAACAAAGAAATGACCTATAAAAAGAAGTGTGTTTTCCTTTGTGATTCTGTGGCATAAGAAATATATTTAGGCCTGGTGCAGTGGCCCAAGCCTGTAATCCCAACACTTCAGGAGGCCAAGGTGGGCAGACCACTTGAGGCCAGGATTTCGAGACCAGCCTAGCCAACAAGGTGAAACCCCATCTCTACTAAAAATGCAAAAATTAGCCACGTGTGCTGGCGAACACCTGTAATCTCAGCTACTCTGGGGGCTGAGGCATGAGAATCTCTTGAACACGGGAGGCGGGGGTTACAGTGAGCCAGATGGCACCACTGCATTCCAGCCTGAGGTGACAGAGCAATGAATCTGTGAAGGAAGGAGGGAAGGAAGGAAGGAAGGAAGGAAGGAAGGAAGGAAGGAAGGAAGGAAGGAAGGAAGGAAGGAAGGAAGGAAGGAAGGGAAGGGAGGGAGGGAGAGAGGGCGGGGAGGGAGGGAGGGAGGGAGAGGTGGCTCACACCTGTAATCCCAGCACTTTGGGAGGCTGAGGTGGAAGGCTTGCTTGAGCCCAGGAGTTCGAGACCAGCCTGGGCAACACAGTAAAAATCCTGTGTCTATAAACAATAAAAAGTAATTTTGAAAAAATTGTAGGACATGCAGCTGGTGTCACAGAGAATTTATTGGTGTGGGGAAGAAACAACACACATTTGGTGTTAGGAGTGTTCCATGGATAGAAAAAGATTAGAGATTCCACAAATTGATTCTGTCAATTTGTGGAATTGACACAAACACACAGGGCTGCCCAATTTTCTGTTATAAGCAGGGGAGGGGAGTCCTGAAAGAGATTTGCAGATGATATAAATGCGTAAGAGAACATTGAGACTTTTCTTTCCCTTTGGCCTTATTGTTCAAGAATATATTTTTAGATTAAGTCCAGATGCCAGATGAATTTGTGTGTGTGTGTGTGTGTGTGTGTGTGTGTGTGTGTGTGTGTGAGACCGAGTCTCACTCTGTTGCCCAGGCTGGAATGCAGTGGCACAATCTCAGCTCGCTGCAACCTCTGCCTCCGAGATTCAAGCAATTCTTGTGCCTCAGCCTCCCAAGTAGCTGGGGACACAGGCGCACCCCACCACATCTGGCTAATTTTTGTATTTTTGATAGAGATGGGGTTTCACCATGTTGGCCAGGTGTGTCTTGAAATCCTGACCTCAAGTGATCCACCTGCCGCAGCCTTCTAAAGTACTGGCATTACAGGCGTGGGCCACCATGCTTGGCCTGGATGCCAGAAGAGTTATTTGCAAAACAATTTTTAAATACTTTTAAATACTTTGTAAAGAAGCCAAAGTTTTATTGTTGTTATTTTCTGTCTAATGCCTTGAAGTTGCCATACATTTTGGAGATTCTATTAAAGCTATAAGCTCGTTTTGTTCAGATGAACATTCATTTGTTTTTATGATCAAGCAAACAGAGAGTGGTTTAACTGGCTTAAGAAGGACCACACAGAAAGCCGAAATTCAGGACCAGCATTGAGATGCCAGCATGGAGGCCCCGTGTGGTGGCTCATCCCAGAACTTTGGGAGGCCGAGGCAGGAGGATTGCTTGAGGTCAGGAGTTCCAGACCAGCCTGCACAGCATAGCCAGATCCCATCTCTACAAAAAATTCTAAAAATTAGCTGGGCGTTGTGGTGCATGCCTGTAGTCCTAGCTATTGGGAAGGCTGAATCCAGAGGATCCCTTGAGCCCATGAATTTGAGGCTGCAGTGAGCTGTGACTGAGCCACTGCCACTCCAGCCTGATAGACAGAATAAGACCTGTCTCAAAAAATTAAAATTAAAAGACGCCCATATGAAGCTAATCTCCGATTCTGTGTGCAGACTGCTAAAATGTCTCTCTTGCTAAAAGGAAGCCCTAAGAATGGCTACACAGGGTTTTTAACAAAAAGATTTAGCATGTCTTAGGACTTAATGCATGTGCCACCTTCAGGCAGCCATAACAAAAAACTAGAGGTTTTCTCTAAATAAATACATAAAAATAAGGAATTTAGATTCTCTGGCAACTGTGACCTTAAACTTTGTTTTCAAGGTGAAAAATATTCACATAAAATTAAGCTTTATGAGAACATTTCTATGATGATTTAATTTCTTCTCTCTTCCCCGGTTCCACTTAAACACTAATCCTAGAATCCTAAAACTGTTCTTCCTGTAGATGTCATGGTAAGTACCACACTTTTTCTGTGCTTTTCCATAAGCAGAGAACAATAGTAGCTGAGTGATCAGACAGTACAGAGATTAACAGAGGAGTTAGTAATAAGCTTTAGAGGTTTATATCTGTGGCTCTACTCGTCTAAATTTAAGCCTTTTTGGGGACAGAAACCCAGTTAACCAATTTAAGGCAACTACCATCACAGTTTCTTGATAATTGGTGATCTCAGTAGAAAGGGTACGTTGTAAATAAACAAAGCAATGAAACCCAGATTTCATTCATCAATGTATCCCCTACAGACCAGTTTAATGGAGATAAATTACCTTGTAGATAATGACAATGCAAACTTAACACACATCAGATCGATTGAGACAAACTGCTGTGTGTGTGTATCTGTGACGGCCTTTACTTTGTTATTACTGATTTAATTATTTTAAAACCCTTATTAAGTGCTCTGTGGGTTCATAGTGGCACTTCTCTAAAAATCTGAAAGTCAATATAGTCTTTTAAACTACAGAGTTGGTGCCCTTTGTCTTATGAAGGGAAGGAGAACGTAAACTCACTGCCTCTAGAAGATAGGGGTAGAGGTGTTTAGAAAATAGTTAATGGGGCCAGGTGTGGTGGCTGATGCCTGTAATTCCAGCACTTTGGGAGGCCGAGGCAGGCAGATCATCTGAGGTCTGGAGTTCAAGACCAGCCTGGCCAGCATGATAAAACCCCATCTCTACTAAAAATACAAAAATTAGCCGGGTGTGGTGGTGTGTGCCTGTAATCCCAGCTACTTGGGAGGCTGAGGCAGGAGAATCACTTGCACCTGGAATGTGGAGGTTGCAGTGAGCCGAGATCATGCCACTGCACTCCAGCCTGGGCAACAAGAGCAAAACTCCATCTCAACAACAACAAAAAATAGTTAATGGGCCGGGTGCAGAGGCTTCCACCTGTAATCCTAGTAATTTGGGAGGCTTGAGGGGAATCAGCCTCGAAAAGTAGGGGAATCACTTGAGGCCAGGAGTTTGAGGCTGTAGTGAGCTATAATCGTGCCATTACACTTCAGCCTGGGTGACAGAGCAAGACCCTTTCTCTAAAAAATAAATAGTAATAATAAAAGCCAGGTGTGGTGGCTCATGCCTATAATCTTAACACCTTGAGAGACTGAGGCGGGAGAATTGCTTGAGCCCAGAAGTTCCAGACCACCAGCCTGGGCAACATAGCGAGACCCTGTCTCTACAAAAAATTGAAAAATTAGCCGGGCATGGTGGCATGCACCTGTAGTCCCAGCTATTCAGGAGGCTGAGACAGGAGGATTGCTTGAGCCCAGGAATTTGAGGCTGCAGTGAGCCATGATTGAGCCACTGGACTCCAGCCTGGGGGAGAGAGTGAGACCCTGTCACACACAAACAAAATAATATAATACAATAATAATAATAATAAATAAAAATAAATTTTAAAAAGGGTTTTTTTTTTTTTTTTTTTTTTTTGAGATGGAGTCTCACTCACTCTTTTGCCCAGGCTGGAATGAAGTGGCCCTATCTCAGCTCACTAAAACCTCCATCCACCAGGTTCAAGCGATTCTCCTGCCTCAGCCTCCCAAATAGCTGGGATTACAGGCGCCTGCCACCATGCCCGGCTAATTTTTGTATTTTTAGTACAGATGGGGTCTTGCCATGTTGGCCAGGCTGGTCTCGAACTCCCGACCTCAGGTGACCCACCCGCCTCGGCCTCCCAAAGTGCTAGTATTACAGGAGTGAGCCGCTGTGCCCAGCCACAAAAATGGGTCTTTTTCATACATTGTACGGAGTTCTCCGCAGGCCCTTCCAGTGCTTCAGCTGTGGGAAGTTTTCCTGTGTTATTTCATTGATATTCTCTGCCCTTTCTTTGTTCTCTCTGGAATTCTTTGAAATTGCTGATTTGATTTCAACTTCTTTCCTTCCCTCCCTCCTTCCTTCCTTCCTTCCTTCCTTCCTTCCTTCCTTCCTTCCTTCCTTCCCTCCCTCCCTCCTTTCCTTCCTTCCTTTTCTTGACACGATCTTGCTTTGTTGCCCAGACTGGAGTGTAGTTGTGTGATCACCGCTCACTGCAGCCTCAAGCTCCTAGGCTCCAGGCATCCTCCCACCTCAGCCTCCTGAGTAGCCAGGATTACAGGAGTGTGTCACCACACCCGGCTAATGTTTTTTTAATGTTTTGTAGAGACGGGGGTCTCATTATGTTGCCCAGGCTGGTCTCAAACTCCTGGTCTCAAGTGATCCTCCTGCCTTGGCCTTCCAAAGTGTTAGGATGACCAGTGTGAGCCACCATGCATGGCCTATTATTTTTCATCTCTCTCTGTTTGTTCTAGTTCCTGGAAAATTTCCTCAACTTCATCTTCCAATCCACTTACTGATTTTTCCCCTCATATTAAAAACACATAGATTTTTCTTGTGTTTATTTTATTTTATTTTTCCTTATCCCTGGTAATATCTGGAGATTGTCTTGGTTTTGAATATTCATTTATTCAATAGCATTTCAAGAGTGTAATTGCCTCTTGTCTCTGGAACTATTATAATATTCGTTCGTTCATTCTTTTTTTTTTTTTTGAGGCAGAGTCTCGCTCTGTTGCCAAGGCTGGAGTGCAGTGGCACAATCCCGACTCACTGCAACCTCCGCCTTCCAGGTTCAAGTGATTCTCCTGCCTCAGCCTCCTGAGTAGCTGGGATTACAGGCCTGCACCACCACACCCGGCTAATTTTTGTTGTTGTTGTTGTTTTCGAGATGGTAGTCTCGCACTGTCGCCTGGGCTGGAGTGCAATGGTGCAATCTTGGCTCACTGCAACCTCTGCCTCCCAGGTTCACGCGATTCTCCTGCCTCAGCCTCCTGAGTAGCTGGGATTACAGGCATGTACCACCACACTGGCTAATTTTTTTGTATTTTTAGTAGAGATGGGGTTTCTCCATGTTGGCCAGGCTGGTCTCAAACCCCTGACCACAAGTGATCCTCTCTCCTCGGCCTCCCAAAATTCTGGGATTACAAGTGTGAGCCACCACACCCAGCTCATTCTTTCTTTTTTATTTCTTCCTTTCTTTCTTTCCCTAGATTGTCTATTTTCTTTGTCTCTTTTTTCCTGCTTATTTTATTTTGGTCTCACTTTTATGTTAGAGACAAACTGTGAGATTATCCTTGGCTTTCTGTTCATATTTAAGATGAGACACTAACAGTCAGTCGGACCTGTATGTGGGGGTGGAGCTTGTGACTGGAGGACTTTGCTGCAGGGTGATGGACCCGGGCCTTGGAGCACTCATTGGAGGGTCCTCATTGTCAGTTTTATTAGTTCCTTTCTCCAGAGCTGATTTGTTTCCCCAGAAGTGAATCACCCCACCTCCTGCCTCATCATCAGCTGTAACCCTGGCTGCCAATATTCTGAGACCTAAGAGAAGGCAGGAGGCCAGAGGTCTCAGTGTTCTGAGTGAGTTTCACATCATCCCTGGGTTTCGGGTGCGGTGCTTCCTCAGCTCTCACCTCTGGGCCAGGTGTTCCAAAATCCAGATTCCTTAACACCTTTCGTCTACTGTTTTTCCTCTTCTATTATCTTTATCCTTATGGATTTTTACTTTTTAAATCCTTTACAATCATTTCATTTGGGTTCAGGAAGGGATGGAAATGAATGCAAATATTCCGTCTTCAACTAGAAGTCCTATACATTAATATTTGACTTCAAGAGGTTTAGTTCAAAGCACATTTAGATTAGGAGTAAAAATTGTTCTGTAAGCTCCCGTGAGCCGTGAGCCAAACTAGGGGAGACTAAAGGAACCTATCTAGCGAAAAGATTCTATATTCCACTTAAAGGGATCGAATAGCAATTCTAAGTAGACTGTCAAAAGCTAAATATGTATATTGTAATTCCTAGAGCAATTTTAAAACTTTCCTTGTAGAATTTCTTTTTTGTATAGAAGACATAGAAATTTTTTTGTACAGAACTAAAATTAGTATGCTATAGTATATTTCTTTGTACAGAAGCACTATAGAAAGAAATATATACCTAGAAAATCCTGAAGACAAGGAAAAAATGTTAAAACAATTTTAAAATAAGAAATATAATCAAAACCCAATAGATAAATTAAAATGGTATACTAAAAGTATTCAAATAATCTGCCCGGGCGCGGTGGCTCACTCCTGTAATCCCAGCACTTTGGGAAGATGAGGTGGGCGGATCACCTGAGGTCAGGATTTTGAGACCAGCCTGGCCAACATGGTGAAACCCTGTCACTACTAAAAATACAAATATTAGCTGGGCATGGTGGTACATGCCTGTAGTCCCAGCTACCTGGACGGCTGGGGCAGGAGAATCACTTGAACCCAAGAGGCAGAGGTTGCAGTGAGCTGAGACTGTGCCACTGCACTCCAGCCTGGGTGACAGAACAAGACTCCATCTCAAAATAAAATAAAATAAAATAAAATAAAATAGTATTCAAATTATCTAAGAGAGGATAAGAAAGGGCAAACAGAAACAAAACATAGAGGGAACAAACAGAAAACAATTCATTGGTGAACCCAAATTCGAGCATATTAATAATCACATTAAGTGTAAATAGTCTAAATACACCAACTAAAAGAATTTTTTAATTTTAATTTTAGTTTTTAATTTTGCTTATTTATTTATTTTTGAGACAAAGTCTCGCTCTGTCACCCTGGTTGGAGTGCAATGGCACAATCTCCGCTCACTGCAACCTCCACCTCCCAGGTTCAAGCAATTCTCCTGTCTCAGCCTCCTGAGTAGCTGGGATTACAGGCGTGCGCCACCATACCCGGATAATTTTTTGTATTTTTAGTAGAGATGGGGTTTCACCCTGTTGTCCAGGCTGGTCTCGAACTCCTGACCTGAAGTGATCCACCCTCCTCGGCCTCCCAAAGTGTTGGGATTATAGGTGTGAGCCACTGCACCTGGCCTTAATTTTTATTTGATTATTATTTTTTGAGACTGGGTCTCGTTCTGCCACCCAGGCTGGAGTGCAGTGGTGTGATCATGGCTCAATGTAGCCTCGACTTCCCAGGCTCCAGCAATTCTGCCACCTCAGCCTCCTGAGGAGCTGAGACCACAGGTGCACACCATCACACCCAGCTAATTTTTGTATTTTTGCTAGAAATGGGGTTTCACCATGTTGCTCAGGCTGGTCTCAAACTCTTGAGTTCAAGCGATTCACCTGCCTCACCCTCCCAAAGTGCTGGGATTACAGGTGTGAGCCACCATGCCCAGCTGGAAATTGTTAAATTGAATTTTTGAAAAAACTCAACTACGTGATGTCTAAAAGAAAACCCACTTTATATATAATGATATAGGTATGTTAAAAGTATAAAGATGGGGCCAGGTGCGGTGGCTTTTGCCTATAATCCCAGCACTTTGGGAGGCCAAGGCGGGCAAATCACTTCAGGTCAGGAGTTCGAGACCAGCCTGCCCAACATGGCAAAACCCTGTCTCTACTAAAAATACAAAAATTAGCCAGCCATGGTGGCATGCACCTGTAGTTCCAGCTACTTGGGAGGCTGAGGCAGGAGAATTGCTTGAACCTGGGAGGTGGAGGTTGCAGTGAGTTGAGATCGCGCCACTCCACTCCAGCCTGGGTGACAGAGCAAGACTCCGTCTCAGAAAAAAAAAAAAAAAGAAAGAAAGAAAATTACCACAGATAGAAACGTGAGCAACACCATCAACCAACTGGATCTAACTGACATTCCTGGAATACTCTACCCAAGAACAACAGAATATATTCTTTTCAAGTGCCCTGGGTCATAAACCAAATCTCAACAAATTTAAAAGAAATTAAATCATATAAAGTTATTCCCTGACCACAAAGGAATTAAACTAGAAATCAATAGAAAAATATCTGGAAAATCTCCAAGTGCTTGAAAGTTACACAACACACTTCTAAATAATCCATGAATCAAAGTGGAAGTTTTGGCTGGGCACAGTGGCTGACACCCGTAATCCCAGCACTTTGGGAAGTCAAGGCGGGAGAATCATTTGAGGCTTGGAGTTTGAGATGAGCCTGGGCAACATAGCAAGATGCCATCTCTACAAAGAATAAAAATTAAAAACAAAATAAAAAAGGTGAAAGGGGTTCCCCCTCCCCATTTCTTTCTTTTTTTTTTTTTTTTTTTTTTTTAGACATGGTCTTGCTTTGTTGCCCAGGCTGGAGTGCAATGGTGTCATCTTGGCTCACTGAAACCTTCGCCTCCCAGGTTCAAGTGATTCTCATGCCTCAGCCTCCCAAGTAGCTGGGATTACAGGCGTGCCCCACCACGCCCAGCTAATTTTTGTATTTTTAATAGAAATAGGATTTCACCATATTGGCCAGGCTGGTCTCAAACACTGGGCCTCATGTGATCTACCCGCCTTGGCCTCTCAAAATGTTGGAATTACAGGCATGAGCCACCGCACCCAGCCAAAAAGGTGAAAGTTTGGATAGAAATTGGGAAATATTTAAACTGAATGAAAGCAAAAGTACAACATATAAAAATTTGTGAGATTCAGGTAAAAAGTACTTAGTGGAAAATTTATAACATCAAATGCTTATCTTAGCAGAGAAAAAAAAGCTAAGCTTCCAACCTAAGAAACTATCATAAGAACAAAATAAATTCAAAGCAAGCAGAAGCAAAGAAATAATAACATTAAGAGCAGAACTTGGCCAGGTGTGGTGGCTCAGGCCCGTAATCTCAGCCCTGTGGGAGACCAAGGCAGGTGGATCACTTGAGGTCAGGAGTTCGAGACCAGCCTGGCCAACATGGCAAAACCATGTCTCTACTAAAAATACAAAAATTAGCTCAGCGTGGTGGCACACACCTATAGTCCCAGCTACTAGGGAGGCTGAGGCAGAAGAATCGCTTGAACCTGGGAGGCAGAGGTTGTAGTGAGCCAAGATCATGCCACTGCACTCCAGCCTGGGTGACAGAGTGAGACTCCATCTCAAAAAAAAAAAAAAACCAAAAACAAAAACAAACTAACAATAACAACAAAAAACAAAACATTAAGAGCAGAAATTAATAAATGGTAATGGAAATAAGGCTGGACGCAGGGGGCTCACACCAGTAATCCCAGCACTTTGGGAAGTGGAGGTGGGAGGATCACTTGAGCCCAGGCATTTGAGACCAGCCTGGGCAACATAGCAAGACCCTGTCTGTATATAACTAAAATTTAAATTTAAAAAAAAAGAAAAAAAAAGGCTGGGCACAGTGGCTCATGCCTGTAATCCCAGCACTTTGGGAAGCCAGAATGGATGAATTGCTTCAGCTCAGGAGTTTGAGACCACCCTAGGCAATATGGTGAAACCCTGGCTCTACCAAAAAATACAAAAATTAGCTGGCATGGCAGCACACCCCTGAGGTCCCAGCTATTCAGGAGGGTGAGGTGTGATGATCGCTTGAGCTGGGAGGTGGAAGTTGCAGTGCATTCCAGCCTGGGTGACAGAGACCGTGTCTAAAAAAAGAAAGGAAGGAAGGAAGGAAAGAAGGGAGGGAGGGAGGGAGGGAGGAAGGAAGGGAGGGAAAAAAGAAAGAAAAAGAAAGAAGAAAGAAAAAAAGAAAGAAAGAAAAGAAAAGTGTAAAAAGAATAGAGAAAAACCAATAAACCCAAAAGCTGGTTCTTTGAAACAATCAATTAAAACTGCTAGCTAGACTGACAAAGAAAAAGAGGGAAGACAGAAATTATCAATATCAGAAGGAAAGTGTGTATATAATAAAGACCTCACAGATGTTAAAAGGATAATAAGGAAATATTACAAACAACTCTGTGCACATAAGTTTGACAATTTAGATGAAATGGACCAATTCCTTAAAGCCACAAACTACCAAACCCACCCAAGAAGAAATAGACAGACTAAATAGTCCTATATCCGTTAGAAGAAATTGAATTCATAGCTAAAATCCTTCCAGAAAAGAAAACTTAGGTCCAGATGGTTTTACTGGTGAATTCTACCAAACATTTCAAGAAGATATAACACCAGTAGAACACTTCCTAACTAATTGTGTGAGCCCAGCATTACCCCGATACCAATGAATCTGATGGATTGCTATTTATTAGTAATGCCTACAACTGACCACATACCACAAAATCCACCTGCAAAAGATACAGCAGTGCTTTAATTCCAAGGCAGAGCAGCACAGGCCCACTCTCCCTGTGTGCTGTGTGTCTTCCAAGGATCTTCAGAGAAGGATATATTCTTCTGGTTTCTGCCAACATTCTCAGGAAAGAGTAAACGTGAAGGTCAGGAATCGCCATACCTTAGATACTGGCTTCTTCTTCCTTAGCACAGCCTGTTTCCAAATCTTGTTCCAGGGCCCCTGACTTCAGCTTGGCCTCCTGAGACTCTTAGCCCATTTCTGACTTTCGTAAGTCTCCCAGAACCCCCTAAAACCTTTCTTTTTTTTTTTTTAATTATACTTTAAATTCTGGGATACATGTGCAGAACATGCAGGTTTGTTACATAGGTATACACGTGTCATGGTGGTTTGCTGTACCCATCAACCCGTCATCTCCATTAGGTATTTCTCCTAATGCTATCCCTCCTCTAGCCTCCCACCCCCTAACATGCCCCAGTGTGTGACGTTCCCCTCCCTGTGTCTATGTGTTCTCATTGTTCAACTCCCACTTATGAGTGAGTATGTTCAGTGTTTGGTTTTCTGTTCCTGTGTTAGTTTGCTGAGAATGATGGTTTCCAGCTTCATCCATGTCCCTGCAAAGGACATGAATTCATCCTTTTTTATGGCTACATAGTATTCCATGGTGTATATGTGCCACATTTTCTTTTTCTTTTTTTTTTTATTTCTTTTCTTTCTTTCTTTCTTTCTTTTTTTTTTTTTTTTTTTTTTGAGACAGAGTCTCTCTCTGTCGCCCAGGCTGGAGTGCAGTGGCACGATCTCGGCTCACTGCAACTTCCGCCTCCTGGGTTCAAGTGATTCTCCTGCCTCAGCCTCCCGAGTAGCTGGCACATGCCACCCCACCCGACTAATTTTTGTATTTTTAGTAGAGATGGAGTTTCACCACGTTGGCCAGGCTGGTCTCGATCTCCTGACCTTGTGATCCACCTGCCTCGGCCTCCAAAAGTGCTGGGATTACAGGCGTGAGCCACCGCGCCTGGCCCCACATTTTCTTTATCCAGTCTATCATTGATGGGCATTTGGGTTGTTTCCAAGTCTTTGCTACTATGAATAGTGCTGCAATAGCTTTCTTTTTTTAGCTTTCCTGATACTGAATGAGCAAAGAAATTTAGCTTCTTTTAGTCTCAGAGCCTCATTGCAATCCAAATGTCCATTATATGTCTTCCCGGGCGCAGAGCACTTCGCCCCTAGGAGAAGAAGCCTTCCCTTCCCCGGAACACAGAAATAGCTGAAGCCAATTTTAGTTTTTTGTTTTATTTTTGCTTTTTGTTTTGTTTTGATTTTTCCTTCCTGTCTCATTTCAGTAATAGCAGAAAGATATCCAATATAAGGTCCGTGAACCATTTATAGAAAATTAAAGTGCACCTCATGACAGTCAGTGCACATCATGACAGCCAGCATTGTCTTTCTCTGGAGTTCTGCTCCAGGTGTATAATTGCATGTCATTAACTTTCTATATCTCACCAATTCACAAACATAGCTTTTTTTTTAACCATCCCCTCCCTTAACAAATTTAAATTTACATAATTGAGGCCGGGTGCAGTGGCTCACACCTGTCATCCCAGCACTTTGGGAGGCTGAGGTGGACGGATCACTTGAGGTCAGGAGGTCAAGACCAGCCTGGCCAACACGGTAAAACACTGTTTCTACTAAAAGTACAAAAAAGATTAGCTGAGCGTGGTGGCACGTGCCTGTAATCTCAGCTACTCCGGAGGCTGAGGCACGAGAATAGCTTGAACTGGGGAAATCAATGCCGCAGTGAGCTGAGATCACACCACTGCTTTCCAACCTGGGCAACAGAGCAAGACTGTCTCAAAAAATAAAAAAAAGAAAAGAAAATACATAATTGAATTCACAAAACAAATTTAATTGCTATGTATATGAAGACAGACAAATGCATGGAAAAATATTCTGTGACGTATTCTTTGGTTTTATAACAAAAAAGGCAAACAGACACTTTTACTTTACCTTGTTCTTATCTTAATATAATACATAGGACCATATCCACCTCTTTATTTCAGAAAGTATTTGAACAGTTTCTATTCTGGAGGATTAGAGATTTCCTTGAAGCCATTACTACTCTACAACTTTATACTGTGATGGGCAGCAAAGATAATATTGTGCCTGATCACAAAGAGGAGACACAAGCCTTTCCAGAAATGTCTACGCTAAAGACACACACCAAAAATAAGGAGTTTACTAATCTATATTCTCAGCTTGAGTATTTTGTCTGCTTCCACTTCTAGACTTAAGATAAGGCTACGTTCCTCACCCTCCTTCCTCCAGCACTTGCTTCATGCAGTTAAAATGGAATGAATGACTTTAGTTAAAGCGTCAAAAGAGTCTCACTAAGGAGATACTAATTATAGCTGTTTTCACGAAGCTCTCAGAAACTCCAGCAGGGGGCTCATTCATTCCTGCTGAGCTGCTACAGACCCTAAGATTATGTTGTCTACATCAGCCTTAGAAATTTCCCACAAGCAACACTCCTCCCACACCCGCCGAAGTCATACACCAGTTACAGTGGGAGGGCAACTGTGTAGGTCACTACAAAGGGAACTGTTAGTTTCATCCCCACATTCCCCACAAACATTTAAAATAAAATCAAGGCAGGGTGCAGTGACTCACTTGTAATCCCAGCACTTCGGGAGGCTGAGGCGGGCAGACCACTTGAGGGCAGGAGTTTGAGACCAGCCTGGCCAACATGGTGAAACCTTGTCTCTACTAAAAATACAAAAATTAGCCAGGTGTGGTGGCGCATGCCTGTAGTCCCAGCTATTCAGGAGGCTGAGGAGGAAAGATGGCTTGAACCCAGGAGGCAGAGGTTACAGAGAGTTGAGATCGTGCCACTGCACTCCAGCCTGGGCAACAGAGTGAGACTCTGTCTCAAAAATAAAATAAAATAAAATAAAATAAAATAAAATAAAATAAAATAAAATAAAATAAAATAAAATAAAATAAAAACAAGTGGGGCAGGTGAAGCTCCCTTAATTCCTCCCTAGGAAATTCTATAAAGGCAGAGTACAATTTAGAAAATCAAACTGGGGCTCTGGCTCACGCCTGTAATCCCAGCACTTCGGGAGGCCGAAGCAGGTGGATAACCTGAAGTCAGGAGTTCAAGACCAGCCTGACCAACATGGTGAAACCCCGTCTCTACTAAAAATACAAAATTAGCTGGGCATGGTGGCACATGCCTGTAATCCCAGCTACTCAGGAGGCTAAGGCAGGAGAATCACTTGAACTTGGGAAGAGGAGGTTGCAGTGAGCCAAAGATCATGCATTGCACTCCAGCCTGGGCAACAGGAGTGAAACTCTGTCTCAAAAAAATTTAAAATAAGAAAATCAAACTGGACATCCAAATGATAATTAACTTACATATGTTCATTCATTACCATTGCTGTTACCAGAAAATGGGTCTTGTCCCAGACCCCAAGAGTGGGCTCTTAGATCTCACTTTCTTGGGAAAGAATTCAGGGCAAGTTGCAGAGTATAGCGAAGTTAAGATAGTTTGTTAGAGACTATTACGGAGTAGGGCTTCCTCAGAAAGCAAGAGGAGGAATGCCCCTACTTTAAACTTTTTATTTATTTATTTATTTAGATACAATATCTCCCTCTGTCACCCAGGCTGGAGTACAGTGGCACTATCATGGCTTACTATAGTCTCAACCTCCCAGGCTCCATTGATCCTTCCACTTTAGCCTCCCAAGCAGCTGAGCTAGAGGTACATACCACCACGCCTGGCTAATTTTTATATCTTTTGTAAAGACAGGGTTTTTTCATGTTGGCCAGGCTGGTCTTCAACTCCTGAGCTGAAGAGATCCATCCATCTCAGCCTCCCAAAGTGCTGGGATTACAGGCATGAGCCACCATGCCTGGCCAAGAATGCCTCACCTTAAACATAGTGCTTGCTTATATAGGTTGTTAAGAATAGCATACTTCATTACAAAGACTTTTGATCAGCTTGTGACGGGCTATTAGTATTGTTATTTTCCTATGCTACTACTGATTTCCACAAGAATTTATATGTGTACTATTATCTTTAAAGCAAAACCTATTCTTAAACTAAGAATGCATTTTGTTCTTGAAATATTGGGACGTTTCCATAAGTTCTGGGTCTTTATTTGGTAAGTTAGCATCATTAACTCATCCCCTCAGCCATAAATATCTTGTGACCAACAGTACCAACCCCCTGGAAATGGGGAATGCTACCCAGCAGGATTGGCTTTACCCAGCCTTTATTCAAGATGGAGTCACTCTGGTTAGGACATCTCTGACACTATTAACTTTCTATCTCAATGTCTTTCCTTCTCTCACTGCACAACCTTAGATAATTAATTTGTTAATTATCAATCTCATAAATGAAACAAAGCTGATCAGGGCACATGGCTGGTCTGGATGTTCCCAAGGATGTATTGCAGGTGGCAGGAAGGACCGTGGACCCAGCGTCCACTTTCCCAGGGGTCGATCATAAAACAATTTGCACCATGGTACTGGGGGCCAGAAGGGCAAAAGGGAGCCATGTGATCAAAATAATCTTTCCTAGGCCAGGCGCGGTAGCTCACACCTGTAATCCCAGCATTTTGGGAGGCCAAGGCTGGTGGATCACTTGAGGCCAGGAGTTCAAGACCAGCCTAACAAAACCCTGTCTCTACTAAAAATACAAAAATTAGCCGGGCGTGATGGTGTGCACCTGTAATCCCAGCTACTTGGGAGGCTGTGGCACGAGAATCACTTGAACCTGGGAGGCGGAGTTTGCAGTGAGCCAAGATTGTGCCACTGCACTCCAGCCTGGGCAACAAAGTGAAACTCTGCCTCAAAATAATAATAGTAATAATAATAATCTTTCCAACAGGTAAAATATTTTCAAGCTGAAGGAGTGGAAGTACTGGCTAGTCATATGTATAGATCATCAAAGAACAAGGATGAGCTTCTGGAAGCGAATTCTGGCAGCTGGGCTTACCTGCTACTCCCTGGGAGCTTTTTGACGTCCTTATTATTATTATTATTTAATTTTCTGTCCTGAGTAGCTGGGGCTACAGGTGCTTACCACTACATCTGGCTTTTTTTTTTTTTTTTTTAGTACAGACAGGGTCTTTCCCAGGCTGGTCTCAAACTCTTGAGCTCAAGTGATCCTCCCGCCTCAGCCTCTCAAAGTGCTGGGATTATAGGTGTGAGCCACCTTGCCTGGCTGAGATTTCATCAAGCTACTTAGAACATCGTGCAACTTAGAATTCATGAATTGTTTATTTCTGGAATTTTCCATTTAATATTTTTGGACCTTGGTTGACCGAGGGTTACTGAAACCTCAGAAAGCAAAACTGTGGATAAGGGAGGATTACTATACTGCCATTAAGTTGTATTTTAAAAATAATTTCAAAAATTGTATTCAAGTAATATGTGTATTCAATTAAAATTTCATCCCTTCAATGTTTTATAAGTAATTCAAATACCAGAGTGGTAACCATCTTCTAAGAATATTAGCTACAATCCCAATCACTGTTTTTCAAAAAGATGTTGTCAGTCCTGCTTCTGAAATTTCTCTCCAACAGGCCTCCTCCTCCCATTCCCACTGCCCCAACCCAGCCAGGCCCTTACCTTGCACTGCTCCGGGACACCAGCCTCCAATCTGAGGGTTTCCTGGTGTCTGGGCTTCCATGCAGCTGTCAGAGTGTTCTTCCTGAAAAGAAACTCCATCTGTGCCATTTTCCGAGCAATACGTTTTACTGGGTTGTCCTGTAGCCTTCAGGATAAAGTACAAATTCCTGAACATGACACCTCGGATGAAGTCCGTCCCCTCCTTCCCAGATTACCACCTGCCCCTTTGACCCTGCCCTTTGGTCATCAGCCACAATCAGCTGCTGTCTCCACCAAGCCTCACCAGCTCTCCAAGCCTTCACCCATGATGCTGTCTGCCTGGACTGCCCTCCCTCCCATTCCTCTGCCTACAAGATCCGATATGCGCTTCAGCCTCCAATGTTAGCTCACCAAAATCTTCCCTTTGAATTATGAATGCAGCTGGCTGCAAACTCCTCCAAGTGACCAGAGTGTCCTATAATCACGTCTATTATAGCATCTTTGATTTAGGGGGTGATTTTTGTTTTTTTTGTTTGTTTGTTTGTTTTTCTTTTTCTTTCTTTCTTTTTTTTTTTTTTTTTTTTTTTTGCATTTCTGTATTTCCTAAGAGAATGTGAATTCCTAGAATCCTAGGAATTCTCATCTGATTTTTATTCCCAACGTCTAGCACTATGCAAAGCAAAAAGTAGGTACCCAATAACTGCTTTTGGAATGAATAAATGAATCAATGAATGGTACCATGCAGCTGCCAAAGTGCTTTCTGCAAAGCAACTCTGACCTTGTTGCTCTCTGAGCTGTGCTCCTTCCTGGGTGATGAGGTAACACTGGAAGCTATTAACAGATAAGAAAGAGAAAAAAAAAAGGAGGGGAGAGATCTCTGGGTCTCTGACAAATTACTTATTTTCACTGAGTTTCTGTTTCCTCATTTGTAAAACAAAAGTGCTGTCCGGATGAGCTCTGAAGGCATCTTCCAGTTCTCAAATTCCAGCCTGCTTGGCTCCTGAACAACTTTCCCAGAGTCTCTGGCAGCTATAACCCAAGTCTTAGCACCATCTAGTGATAAACAGGCACACAGCGGGGAGGGAAAGCCGGGGAGTGGGGAGGGCGGATAAGAGAAGGAAATGCCAACTTTAATTATATTATGAGCCGGCAAGGAATTAGGTCAAACCTGCAAATACAAAGTTAAACCAAGAGACCTAACTTTATCCTGGGGATGGAATAAATAATTAGCTTCAGAACATGGATGAAGTAGACAATTATAGAATGCCTGAGACATGGAAAAGGCAATAAAACAATTCCTGTGTACCCTGGCCCTCTTGTTCTTTTATCAATTTACTGCTTGTTACTGTAATTAAATATTTTTCTTGGGAGGACATGTACTTTTGAAGGGCCTATGGCATGGGACTCCAATAACTCAATAAAACCACAAATTAAGTATTTATTAAGAATATATATGTATTTTCAAGTTTCTTCCTTACTATTTATTTATTTATTTATTTATTTATTTATCTGAGACAGGGTCTTGCTCTGTGGCCCAGGCTGGAGTGCAGTGGCATGATCACGGCTCACCGCAACCTCGAATCCCTGGGCTCAGGCGATTCTCCCACCTCAGCCTCCTGAGTAGCAAGGACTACGGGGATGTACCACCATGCCCAGCTAATTTTAAATTTTTCAGCTAGGCACAGTGGCTCACGCCTGTAAATCTCAGCACTTTGGGAGGCCAAGGTGGGTGGATCACAAGGTCAGGAGTTTGAGACCAGCCTGGCCAGCATGGTGAAACCCCGTCTCTACTAAAAATACAAAAATTAGCTGGGCATGGTGGTGCGTGCCTGTAATCCCACCTACTCAGGAGGCTGAGGTAGGAGAATCTTACCCCGGGAAATGGAGGTTGCAGTGAGCCGAGATCGCACCACTGTACTCCAGCCTGGGTGACAGAGCGAGACTCTGTCTCAAAAAAAAAAATTCCAGTAGAGATTGGGGCCGGGGAGGTCTCACTATGTTTTTGCCCAGGCTGGTCTTGAACTCCTGGGCTCAAGTGATTCTCCCACCTTGGCCTCCGAAAGTACTGGGATTACAGGTGTGAGCCCCAAGCCCAACCTCTTTACCTTTATTGGAGTGTGATAAGACCAAAATATGACTAATTAACACTATAGGAAATAAGGATAATTCTGAGAGAAGCAGCGAAACAATAACAAAATACTAGTGTCTACATTCTTTTCTTTAAAACCTACTGACCTACACATTTTTATTAACCTAGTATTTGTTTGCTAAATGACTTTCTAGTTGCCAAAAAACAAGAATAAACAAATCGACTGAACAAATGACAAAAGATAAAGAAACAATTGAGCATTGAGTAACAGAAAACTATGTTGAGATTTTGCTAAAATCTGTCCCCAGGGCTGTCCTGAGACCATCTTCTGGACAAAGCACACATGTAAAGGGGTAGGTACTTTATAGATACTTTGAGCAATAAGGGCCTTTAGGCCAGCTATGGTGGCTCACGCCTGTAATCCCAGAACTTTGAGAGGCTCAGGTGGGAGGATCGCTTGAAGCCAGGAGTTTGAGACCAGCCTGGACAACAAAGCAAGACCACATTTCTATAATTTTTTTTTTAATTAGCCAGGCATGGTGGTGTGCACCTGTAGTTCCAGCTTCTCAGAAGGCTAAGGTGGGAAGATCGCTTCAGCGCAGGAGGGTGAGGCTGCAGTGAGCTATGATTGCACCATTGCACTCCAGCCTGGGTGACAGAATAAGATACTATCTCAAAATAATAATAATAAAATAGGCTGGGTGCGGTGGCTCACGCCTGTAATCCCAGCACTTTGGGAGGCTGAGGTGGGTGGGTCACCTGAGGTCAGGAGTTCGAGACCAGACTGACCAATATGATGAAACCCCATCTCTACTAAAAATACAAAAATTAGCTGGGCATGGGTGGCACGTGCCTGTTGTCCCAGCTACTAAGGAGGCTGAGACAGGAGAATTGCTTGAACCCGGGAGGCAGAGGTTGCAGCGAGCCAATATCATGCCATCGCACTCCAGCCTGAGCGACAGAGCAAGACTCCATCTCAAATAATCATAATAATAAAATAAGGGCCTGTGAGTGGGGAGCAAGTGAAATCAGTCCTACATTTAGGCCATTTCTAAAGTGAGATTCCATTGTAATGCATAATTACATTTGCAAGTCGTAATAACCTATGTCTGCATGTACATTACCTTATAAACCTGTTCTTACTCATCCATTTGGAGTCTAATGGAACCTGTGTAACCATTTATTGACTGATACATTATATACACAGTAATGATTATTGCATAACCCCAAGAACACAGAGAGTACAAATCTGAAACTGGACCATTTCACTGCAGTGCCATATTTTCCAAACCCAAAATAAGGCCACTTGTACTGACAAGAATGTGCACATGACAAAAGGAAAACGAGGTCTGATAACACACAGCACCTCCAGGTGACTTCCCTCTTGGCACATTTATAACCTAGAAGTGTTTGAAAAAGGAAGAAACTGCAGAGGGAAAAAGCAAGTCAGCGTTTTTTTTGCCTGGAGTTGGAATCCAATGGTTGGGTTTTGGAGACTGCTTTGAAGGAAAACGATGACTCGCTGGGCAGGTGCGTTTCAGACACTAACAAACATAAAAGAATGTAGGGAGTTATGGGTGATGGACTCATGAGACAGGTCTGTGCCTGATTTTTCTATTTTGCCTGCTATTAACTATATGCCTCAACCTGTAAGCTTACAGACGTATTTCTTTTATGGCTGATGCAGTTACATAAAGGATGATACGTTTCATTTGGATAAACTCAATTTTATCTGAAAAATCCAAAAGCATTTCAAACATACAGAGTTGAAAGACAAACTTTTTTTTTTTTTTTTTTTTTTTTTTTTGAGACAGGGATTTACTCTGTTATGCAGGCTGGAGAGTAGTCTTGTGATCGCAGCTCACTACAGCCTTCACCTCCCAGGCTCAAGGGCTCAAGATATCCTCCTAGCTCAGCCTCCTGAGTAGCTGGGACTACAGGCGTGTGTCAACAAGCCTGGCTAATTTTTGTATGTTTTGTAGAGATGGAGTCTCAGTATGTGTTGCCCAGGCTGGTCTCAAACTTGTGGGCTCAAGCAATCTGCCCGCCTTAGCTTCCCAAAGTGTTGGGATTACAGGCATGAGCCACCGCACTTGGCCAAAAAACAAACTTTAAACAAATAATAATTTTTAATTATAATAATGCTTACATAGGTAACCAAAGTACTTCAGGAGATGATCCATTAGCCCAGCGCAAAGCCATCAGCTTCATAATAAAACCTTGGCAAATTTAAAACACCTGCAATTCATTTCATGCCTCGTGATTTAAAGTATATTACATTAATGTGAAAAATTACCTTCTGAACTCACACTCATTGAAGTGTAAATGTGCTCTCCTTCCCCCCCGGCCCCCGCCACTTCCCCATTTCATCCTGAAATTCCATTTGTAAATTCTGTACATCCACAGATGCCGTAGTCATTACCTCGTTTTTTGTTGATAAGTCTTCTCTGCCTAGAGGTTTTTATAAGAGTTATTTTTCCTGTAATGAATACTCAGCAGTTCAGGCCCATCTTTTCAGCTGGCTGGATGCTAGTGTCCCTTGATTAATGGACCTGCCAACTCGATGAGGTGATACCACACCAACAAAGGCTCAGCCTAGAAAATGTCACCTCTTATCCTGGTTGTCCAAGCACTTCTGTTTTATGAGCTTTGTGTGCCTCCCAGATGTGCCTAGTATTTCATTTTGGGTTTTGTTAATAAGAAGGCAAGTAACATGAAAGCAGGTAATTGGATTATTTAATGCAGTAGAAATAATTTCTTTTGTTCAAATAATGTGCTTCATATGATAGACTTTTTTTTTTTTCTATTTTTCATTCCTGTCAGCTTAACTGCTACTTAACCATTTAAGTCAATGTATAGGTCAATACAAACAACATTATTTTTTCTGCCTGGAGAGAAAGGCTTACAATAAGAATTGTTTGAGAAGGAAAAAAAAAAGTCCTCAAATAAAAACATTTTGCTTTTTAAAAAATTTGCTTTAATAAGACAAAGACATGGAAACCCTAGTTAAAAGTTAAAGTTGTGAACTTTGGTAGCAAATTTTGCTTGTACTTTTTTTTATAGAGACAGGGTCTTACTATGTTGCCCAGGCTGGAGTGCAGTGGCGTGATCTCGGCTCACTGCAACCTCCACCTCCCGGGTTCAATCGATTCTCCTGCCTCAGCTTCTCAAGTAACTGGGATTACAGGTGCCCGCCACCATGCCTGGCTCAAATTTTTGTATTTTTAGTAGAGATGGGGGTCTCAGTATGTTGCCCAGGCTGGTCTCGAACTTGTGGGCTCAAGCAATTCACCCATCTTGGCCTGGCAAAGTGCTGGGATTGCAGGCATGAGCCACTACGCCCGGCCTAAAAAATATATATTTTGCTTTAATAAGACAAAGACATGGAATCCCTAGTTAAAAGTTAAAGTTATGGCTGGGCACGGTGGCTCACGCCTGTAATCCCAGAACTTTGGGAGGCCAAGGCAGGCAGATCACCTGAGGTTGGGAATTCGAGACCAGCCTGACCAACATGGGGAAACCCCGTCTCTACTAAAAATACAAAATTAGCCGGGCATGGTGGCACACGCCTGTAATCCCAGCTACTCGGGAGGCTGAGGCAGGAGAATTGCTTGAACCTGGGAGATAGAGGTTGCGGTGAGCTGAGATTGTGCCATTGCACTCCAGCCTGGGCAACGAGAGTGAAACTCCGTCTCAAAAAAAAAGTTGTGTACTTCGGTTTTTTGTTTGTTTGCTTGTTTGTTTGTTTTTTGGAGACAGGGCTTCACTATGTTGCCCAGGCTGGAGTGCAGTGGCTGTTCATGGGCATGCTCATGACACACTGTACCCTTGAACTCCTGGGCTCAAGTGATCCTCCCACCTCAGCCTCCCAAGTAGCTGGGACTACAAGTACAGGCTCCAGCTCCAGGTGCATGCGCTTTTTATTTATCATTATTATGGCCTAAGATGGCTGCTGAATGTACTTTTTATGTTGTTGATAAGATTCCATTTCTTTTTTTTTTTTTCTTTTGAGACGGAGTTTCACTCTGTTGCCCAGGCTGGAGTGCAATGGCACGATCTCGGCTCACTATAACCTCCGCCTCCCAGGTCCAAACGATTCTCCCGCCTAAGCCTCCAGAGTAGCTGGGATTATGGGCACCCGCCACCATGCCTAGCCAATTTTTGTATTTTTAGTAGAGACGGGGTTTCCCCATGTTGGTCGGGCTGGTCTCAAACTCCTGACCTCAGGTGATCCACCTGCCTCAGCCTCCTAAATTGCTGGTATTACAGGCATGAGCCACCGTGCCCGGACAGATTCTTTTTCAGTAGAAGAATCCTAACTGTCAGACTGTAAGTAGGCAAAATTATGTGCTACTCCAAGCTTCTGAATAAAACATTCTTAAGAAATTACACAGGGCCAGGCGCAGCGGTTCACACCTGCAATCCCAGCACCTTGGGAGGCTGAGGCCGGAGGATTGCTTGAGCCCAGAAGTTCAAGCCCGGCCTGGGCAACATAAGGAGACCCCTGTCTCTACCAAAATTTTAAATATTAGCCAGGCATTGTGAAATGCGTGTCTATGGTCCCAGCCAATTGGAAGACTGAAGTGATCGTTTGAGCCCAGGAGGTCAAGGTTGCAGTGAGCCATGATCGTGCCACTGAGCTCCAGCCTGGGCAACAGAGCGAGACCCTGTCTCTAAAATAAATAAATACATAAATAAAGTAACCATGGAGCAGAATAAATTTCAAGGGGATTATGAAGACTAATGATCCCGAAGTTATAAAACAATGGGACTGCCCCCAAAAATGTATTCCACAATTTGAATAAAGGAAAGTACTTATGTAAGCACAAAATACCACGCTGGGGCCCAAATAAAAGAAGGAAAGTTAAAAAAAAAAACAAAAAAAAAAAACACACTTCTTTCAATGCCTGGGGGGATATGCAAAATGTAGGCCTCAAAAGAAACAAAGAGTAGAGCATGAGTACATGAATACATAATTTCCATAACCATACAAATCTAAAATGCAATAAAATTATAAGAAAGGGTGGGCCAGGCGAGGTGGCTCACACCTGTAATCCCAGCACTTTGGGAGGCAGAGACAGACAGATCACTTGAGGACAGGAGTTCGAGACCAGCCTGGTCACCATGGTGGAACCCCGTCTCTACTAAAAATGTAAGAATTAGCTGGGCATGGTAGCCCACACTTGTAATGCCAGCTATTCGGGAGGCTGAGACAGGAGAATCGCTTGAACCTGGAAGGCGGAGGTTGCAGTGAGCTGAGATTGTGCCACTGCACTCCAGCCTGGGCAACCGAGTGAGATCTTGTCTCAAAAAAAAAATAAAAAGAAAAAGAAAGGGAACATAAGCCCAGAGCCAAGATAGCTAGACACAGCATCCAATGGAGAGGAGGCTCTGAGCCCTTCCAGGGCTGGCAGAGGTGCATCAGCGCGGCCAAACACAAGGACCAGAAGGCTAAGAGAGAAGTGAGGACATCCAGGTCCCATACATACCAAACTTGACCAACGTCAAGACTAAATGGCCGAAACCCAATTTAAAAAAGCAGTCGGCTGGGTGTGGTGGCTCACGCCTGTAATCCCAGCACTCAGCACTTTGGGAGGCCAAGGTGGGTGGATCACCCAAGGTCAGGAGTTTGAAACCAGCCTAGCCAACATGGTGAAACCCCATCTCTACTAAAAATACAAAAAATTAGCTAGCTGAGTGTGGTGGCAGGCGCCTGTAATCCCATCTACTCAGGAGGCTGAAGTAGGAGAATCGCTTGAATCCGGGAGGCAGAGATTGCAGTGAGCCGAGATCATGCTACTGCACTCCAGCCTGGGCAACGAGAGCGAAACTCCATCTCAAAACAAAACAAAACAATGACTAAGATAAATTATTAGAGGGAGTTAAAAAAAAACATATAAGGTGTTGACGATATCATTCACAAACATTGCAATGGCAATGAGAACAACAGCATGCAGTAAGCATAAGTAATAAGACACTCAATTGAATGTAGTATGAGAAAGCCGGTTGAAGACACCGCAGACATGCAGCTTCCTAATGCATGGAATATAGGATTTAAGCCAGCCAGTCTTGTTGGCTCATGCCTGTAGTCCCAGCACTTTGGGAGGCAGAGACAGGCAGATCACTTGAGCCTAGGAGTTTGAGACCAGCCTGGGCAACATAGTGAGACCCCATCACTACAAAAAAATACAAAAATTAGCCAGGCATTAAATAGCTGGGCGTGGCGGCACGTGCTTATAGTTCCAGCTATTTGGGAAGTGGGTGGTGGAAGGATCACTTGAGCCCGGGAGTCAGAGGTTGTAGTGAGCTGAGATCACCCCACTGTACTCTAGCTTGGACAACAGAGTGAGACCCTGTCCCAAAAAAAGAAAAAAAAAAAAGATTTAGGCAAGCTTTCAGAAGAAACCAAAGTTTATAATACAACAAAACATTAAAGAAATGCAGTCTCTATAGCTGACCACTTCCTCATTTTGTTGTATTGTCCTAAAAGAGTAATTGTCTCTAATCATTCTACAGTGAATCTTCTGCTAGGTATTAAACAAACATTATAAAGAAATTGCTAATGAAATCTGTTGATAGAATTAAGAAAAAAAAAGAAAGACATTGTTAAGTAGAACAATTCTAAATCCTCAAGCATGCATAACTCTGAGCGCTGTTAGTTGTCTCATTCAATGTCATATCAATTTGCTGAGAAATTAATAAGATAGCCTCATTTTTTCATATTAACAATCTCATGCAGATATTTTTAGGGTCCTGCTCATTAGAACTGGGTAGATGCCCTTTGACTTCCCTTTAAGCAAATCTGAGAAATTCTATGATTCAACAAGCATTTTTCTTTGTTTCTGTGTTTACAGGCATTACTCATATCTGGAAGAATCATCCCAGACTGCAATGAATAATTCAAATCTGAATCATACCAAGGTTCTAATCCCCTTTTCTCATCTTCAAATAGTGCTTTTTCTTTTTTCTTAATCTTCTTCTTCTTCTTTTTTTTTTTTTTTTTTTTTTGAGACAGAGTCTTACTCTGTCTCTTAGGCTGGAGTGCAGTGGCGTGATCTTGGCTCACTACAATCTCCACCTCCTGGGTTCAAGTGATTCTGCTGCCTTAGCTTCCAAAGTAGCTGGGACTACAGGCGCATGCCACCATTCCCGGCTAAGTTTCGTATTTTTAGTAGAGACGGGGTTTCACCATGTTGGCCAGGCTGGTCTCGAGCTCCTGACCTCATGTGATCCACCCGCCTCAGCCTCCCAAAGTGCTGGGATTACAGGTGTGAGCCACCAAGCCTGGCCCAAAAAGTGATTTTCCATGGTCATTGTGCAATGCTCTTGCGGAGTAATTAGAAATAAAAGACCTACAAACACTCTCAGTTCTATCCTTTCAAGTAAATTTAGATTCAGGTGGAATGCAAAGTATTATCTCTGGTGCAAATTTTGTGGCTCATACTTCCTCCTGGCAGCTTGTTTTTTGTTGTTGTTGTTGTTTGTTTGTTTTGTTTTGTGGGTGCTGTTCATGACTAATTTGCCAAAAGTCATCCAATATATTATCATATTATCCTTCACTGAATTGAGGCCAATCTAATTTTTTTTTTGAGATAGGGTCTCTCTCTGTCCCCCAAACTGGAATGCAGTGGTACCATCACAGTTCACTGCAGCCTCGACTTCCTGGGCTCAAGCAATCCTCACACCTCAGCCTTCTGACTAGCTGGGACTATAGGCATGTGCCACCACCCCTGGCTAATTTTTATTATATATATATATTTGGTGGAGTCGGGTTTTCGCCATGTTACCTAGACTGGTATTGAACTCCTGGGCTCAAGTGATCCTGCTGCCTCAGCCTCTCAAAGTGCTGTGGTTACAGGTGTGAGCCAGCGCACCTGGCCCTGATTTTAAAACTTATTACTTACATTTGACTTATATGTGGAAGTTTTCCATGGTATCTGAATTATTCTTTTGAACCTGCCTGGAAACACTTCACGTGACCCTCTCCTCTACCCACTTTTCATTAAGGAACACTTGATTTCAGAAATTTGGAAATGCGGCTGGGTGCGGTGGATCATTTGAGGTCAGGAGTTCAAGACCAGCCTAGCCAGCATGGTGAAACACTGTCTCCACTAAAAATACAAAGATTAGCCGGGCGGTAGTGGCGCGCACCTGTATTTCTAGACACTCTGGAGGCGGAGGCAGGAGAATTGCTTTAGTCTGGGAGGCGGAGGTTGCGGTGAGCCAAGATTGCACCACTGCACTCAAGCCTGGGCGACAGAGCGAGACTCTGTCAAAAAAAAAAAAAAAAAAAAAAAGAAAAGAAAAAAGAAAGGAAGGAAGGAAGGAAAGAAAAGGAAGAAATTTGGAAATGTGAAAGGTGGGGACCCAGTCTCCCGAGACTCTTGATAATGCGCTCTGGAGCCATTTGTCTAGTTAACTGCCTTGATTAGAAAGGATCCTAAAGCTTCTCTCACCTCCCTCCGGGAGACGGCCAAATGGCCACAGCCGAGCCTAGGTCTCTTGGCTAGCTCCAAAATGCCGGGAAGACTCCGGCGCTATCTCCCTAGGTATTTATATGTCAAAGGGAGAAAGTCCCAGAACTTGAAGACCCCTCCAGGTGGTTAAAGCTGAGACACCTGGGGCTATCTCGTTCCGGGTGAGGCTTTATTTACATATCAAAGGGCTGGGGTTAGGTTTCGGGCCCATTAAGTTTCCAAGGAGACCCTTTCAAAAAGGGAGGGGAATAGCTACCTCCTTCGCCTTTATAAGCAGAGAAAACTTGTCCTTCATCTATGGAGTGTCAGGCTACTTGCACGGGACATTTCCTGGCCAGGAGTAAGGCTTAAGGGGAGGCTGGGAGCGGAGGCTATGTACTTATTATTTGCTAAAAGGTAATTAATATAAAATCTGTCTCTGATCCCAAACACCTGTGTGTGTGCATTCAGGATAAAATTAATAAAGATAAATATTAAAAAACCACTGGCAGGCCAGACGTGGTGGCTCACATCTGTAATCTCAACACTTTGGGAGGCCAAGATGAAAGGATTGTTTGAGTTAGGGAGTTCGAGACCAGCCTGGGCAACATAGGGAGACCCCCGACTTGTCCCCACCACCCCCTATCCCCCGTCTCTACAAATAGTTAAAAAAAAATAGCCAGGTGTGGAGGTGCATGTCTGTGGCAGGAGGATCACCTGAGTCCTGGAGGTCGAGGCTGCAGTGAGCTGTGATTGAACCACTGTACTCCAGCGTGGGTGACAGAGCAAGACCCTGTCTCAAAAACAAGAACAATGAAACACTGACAGGACAGGCTGGACGTGGTCGTACATGCCTGTAATCCCAGCAAGGAGGCAGAAGGATTGCTTGAGGCATGGAGTTCTAGACCAGTCTGGGCAACATAATGATACCCCATCTCTATAAAAAACAAAAACCACTAACAGCAGCCTGGGGTGGGTGCTTTCCCTCTTCCTCCACCAATCATGATTGGCTCTGGAGAAGGGGCATGCCAGGATGGCTCTGGCCCAAGGTTGGCCCTAGAGGGTGCAGCCCCAATTGCTCTGGGCAGGAGAGACACTCATCCTCACCTTGCAGAATTGCCAGATAAAAACACAGGGCACCAAGTTGAATTTGAATTTTGGATAAATAACAATTTTTTTTAGCATAAGTATATCCCAAGTATTGCATGAGATATACTTAAGCTTAAAAAAAAAAACCTTCATTGTTTATCTGAAATTCAAATTTACCTGGGCTTTCTGTATTTTTACTTGCTAAATCTGGAACTCAACCATGGTGACCAGGGAAGAGGACCCCCTGGAGATGCCAACACCTTATGCCCATTGAAAGAATAATACAAGGGCTAGGAGCAATGGCTGACGCCTGTAATCCCAGTACTTTGGGAGCCCAAGGTGGCAGGATCACTTGAGGTCAGGAGTTCGAAACCAGCCTGGCCATCATGGTGAAACCGCATCTCTACCAAAAATACAAAAATTAGCCGGAAATCACTTGAACTCGGGAGGCAGAGGTTGTAGTAAGCTGAGATCACGCCATTGCACTCCAGCCTGGGCAACAGAACAATACTCCATCTCAAAAAATAAATAAATTAAATAAGGGCACTCAGGCCGTCTTTCTTTTCATTTCAGAAGAGATATCGAAGGAGATAGTGCTCAGGAAATTGAATCTAGGAAATGTTACTCACAATTTTTTGGTTACAATGAGTTTATCAAGCATCCTTTGAATCTTCTTCCTTTTTTTTTCTTTTTTTTTTAACAGAGTCTTGCTCTGTCACCCAGGCTGGAGTAGTACAGTGGTGTGATCTCGGCTCACCACAACCTCCACCTCTCGGGTTCAAGCAATTCTCCTGCCTCAGCCTCCCGAGCATCTGGGACCACACACGCGTGCCACCACGCCCGGCTACTTTTTGTATTTTTAGTAGAGTAGGGGTGTCAGCATCTTGGCCAGGCTGGTCTTGAACTCCTGACCTCATGTGATCCACCCGTCTCAGCCTCCCAAAGTGCTGGGATTACTGCGCCTGGCCCTGAATCTTCTCATAACAACCTGGAAGGATTATTTTCTTCCTCCCAACTTAGGGATGAAACACCTGAGGCCAGAAAGTAACTAGAACAGTGTTTGGCACAAAGAAAGAATTTTTAAAAATATTTATTGAATGAATGAAAGTTACCCAGGTGTGATTTCACTGCAGGTTGGTGGCAGAAGCAGAACAGTGGCCTTCGGGTTCTTTTCTCATGGCTGTTTCTGTCTCTAGCCAAGGTGCTGATTCCCTGAGAATAAATCCCTTTGCTGTCTTAAGTTTGAATTTTCTCATCTATTATTTGGGTCTGATCATTTGCTTCTTGATCACGCAGCAGCGTGGACAAGACTATCTGAATGGGGAAAAAGTTTCCAAAGCCCTAAAGCACTGTCACCTTTGTTCTCGGTCCAGTAGTAAAAGGCAGCAATGAGGCAGGGCGTCCAAAGGGTTATTGATGAGGAGGTTTCTGTCCCAGGGGGCTTTGCTGTGGTGTCAGGACAGTGAGGGAGCTGGGAAGTACCTAGGGGGCATGAGGCTTGATGCTCCAGTTCTCCTTGCTGGTGAATCACTCTCTCGCATTGGGCTGGCCATCCACAGACAGGTGTTTGAATTTCATCTTGGTCAAAACAGCCCCCTCAGCCAGGCATGGTGGCACATGCCTGTGATCCCAGCACTTTGGGAGGCCAAAGTGGGCACATCACCTGAGGTCAGGAGTTTGAGACCAGCCTGGCCAATGTGGTGAAACTCTGTCTCTACTAAAAATACAAAAATTAGCTGGGCATGGTGGTGGACGCCTGTAATCCCAGCTACTCAGGAGACTGAGGCAGAAGAATCACTTCAACCTGGGAGGCAGAGGTTTCAGTGAGCTGAGATTGCGCCACTGCACTCCAGCCTGGGCAACAGAGCAAGATTCTGTCTCAAAAAACAAACAAACAAACAAAAAACAGCCCCCTCTCTCCTCTAATCTCTTTTCTGAGGGGATCTTCCTAAGGTCTGGATTTAGAAACCACAAGTGCCTATGCTAGAGCAAAAGTCACACCCAGAATATGTGGCCTAGATCTTGAGTTTTAAATAATCAAGAAACTCCCAGAAGTACTTTTGTCTGCATCGGCTAGGCTTCTTTCATTATGAACAACAGAAACCATCTCCGACCAACTTAAGCAGAAGGAAGATACACAAGGTAGCTTGTGTCATTGAAGGAAAGTCGACTAGCCCAGGAAGGGCAAGAACACAGGTAGTAACAAGAACCTGAGCAGCAGGAACTCATGTCCAGTGTGATGAGGGGGTTGAAGTTGTGATGCGTCTGCTCCCATTTTCTTTTCTCTTTTTTTTTTTTTTTTTTGAGACAGGGTCTCATTCTGTTACCCAGGCTAGAGTGCAGTGGCACAATCTTAGCTCCCTGCAACCTCTATCTCCTGGGTTCAAGCAATTCTTATGCCTCAGCCTCCAGAGTAGATGGAATTACAAGTGTGAGATACGACATCCGGCTAATTTTTGTATTTTAAGTAGAGACGAGCAGGGCATGGTGGCTCATGCCTGTAATCCCAGCACTTTGGGAGGCCGAAGCGGGCAGATCACCTGAGGTCGAGAGTTCAAGACCAGCCTGACCAACATGGAGAAAACCCATCTCTACTAAAAATACAAAATATTAGCCAGGCGTGGTGGTGCATGACTGTAATCCCAGCTACTCAGGAGGCTGTGGCAGGAGAATCGCTTGAACCCAGGAAGTGGAGGTTGTGGTGAGCCAAGGTCATGCCATTGCACTCCAGCCTGGAAAACAGGAGCGAAACTCCATCTAAAAAAAAAAAAACAAAAAAAAACTAAAAACAAAGTAGAGACGAGGTTTCACCATGTTAGCCAGGCGGATCTCAAATTCCTGACCTCAAGTGATTAGGAGTTCAAGATCAGCCTCAGCCTCCCAAAGTGCTAGAATTACAGGTATGAGCCACTGCACCCGGCCTCATTTTCTTCCTTTCCTTCTCCAATTCATTGCTCCTTTTAAATTTTTAAAAATAATTTTTTTAAAAAATTGTTTTTAATGTATTTATGTCTGAGACGGGGTATCACTCTGTCACCCAAGCTGGAGTGCAGTGACACACTCACGGCTCATGGCTCACTGCAGCCTCTATCTCTTTGGATCAAGCAATCCTCTCACCTCAGCCTCCCTAGTAGCTGGGAGCACCACAAAGCCTGGCTAATTTTTGTATTTTTTGTAGAGACAGGGTTTCGCCTTGTTGCCTAGGCTGGTGTTGAACTGCTGGGCTCAAGCAATCTGCCCACCTTGGCCTCCCAAAGTGTTGGAATTACAGGTGTGAGCCACCACACCTGGACTTTTTGTTTTGTTTTATTTTTGTTTTTGTTTCGACAGAGTCTTGCTCTGTCACCAGGCTGGAGTGCAGTGGTGCCATCTCTGCTCGCTGCAACCTCTGCCTCCCAGGTTCAAGTGACTCCCCTGCCTCAGCCTCTCGAGTAGCTGGGACTACAGGCATGCACCACCACACCCGGGTAATTTTTTTGTATTTTAATAGAGATGGGGTTTCACCATGTTGGTCAGGATGGTCTCGATCTCCTGACCTTGTGATCCACCTGTCTCAGCCTCCCAAAGTGCTGGGATTACAGGCATGAGCTACCATGCCCAGCCGCACCTGGCCTTTTTTTAGAGACAGGGTCTGACTCTGTCACCTAGGCTGGAGTGCAGTGGTACAATCATAGTTCACTACAGCCTAAAACTCCTGAGCTGAAGCGATTCTCCTGCCTCAGCCTCCCAAGTAACTGGGACTAGAAGAGTGCACCACCATGCCCAGCTATTTTTTTTTTTTTTATCTTTTTTTTGTAGAGACGGGGTCTTGCTATGTTACCCAGGCTGGCCTCAAACTGCTGGGCTCAAGTGATCCTTCTGCCTCACCCTCCCAAAGTGCTGAAATTATAGGCATGAGCCACCATGCCTAGCCCATTTCACTGCTCCTACATCAGGATGTTTTCAGCTGCAGGTAACAGAGACCCTATGAATGGCTTTAAATAATAAAGATATTTCATTATCTCATATAATGAGTACTCTGAACACTCATGGTTTCAGGGTTGATTTGGCAGCTCAAACATGTCACAGGCTGCATCTCTCCAATTTTTGGCTCTTCGGTCATGAGATGGCTGCTGCAGCTCCAAATACATTCTCACTTCAGTATCCCAGGCAGGAGAAGAGAAGGACAACAGCAACAGAGCGCTTTCCATACCTGATTAATTCATTGGTTGGAACTGGGTCACACCTAGCTACAAAAAAGGCTGGAAAGGCAAGAATTCAGCAAAAAAGAACAGAGAGCAGGGATTGGCTTATACCAGGGGCTTCATCTCCTGGGGATGGGCATGCTGCTGCCCAAAGCTAAATCGGGGCTTTGTTAGCAAGGAAGAAGTGGGCCATCTTCTTAAGATTCACCTTCCCAGCAAAGAGAGTCAATGGGCCTGGCTTAGGTCACCGTGTTGGAGTCACCATGCATGACTGAAAGGTAATGTTGCAAAAGGGGAAGCAGAATTCTGGGGCTAGAAGAAGAAGAGAGACAGAAGCTGAGTGCAGAAAAGACATCTTTTCCTCCTTCAACCACTGGTCATTTCAGATACTGGGGAGTATCGCAACCTAGCCAGGACAGGTTATATCATTTGTAGGAACCAGTGCAAATAAAATGCAGGACCCATGGTTCAAAAGTTAAGAATTTCAAGCACAGAGCCCTTCTGGACACAGAGTCCTGTGTGACTGCACAGGTCACAAGCCCATGAAGCCAGCCCTGGGCCTAGATCAGAACTGGAGTGATTGCCCCAAGGAGAGTAAGTCTTGCTAGGGTGTTTCAGGGTCTGTTTTGTTATAAAATTGGGTTAAATCATTAATTGATGGTAAGAAAGCTGAGATTTATATTGTTATAATTAACATGTGTCCAGCCCTTTGTACAAACACTGTTAAAGGGTCGAGAAAAGAGGTGATCAAAGCCCTCTGTGGTATAACCCTAGGCAGAGGCAGGGTTCCAAGAAGACAGAGCTATCCAGAGGCTTCCAGTCTACTCCAGCTATCAGAGTAAGGGGGATGGTGAGTTGGTTTTATTCCTCATGCCCATTCAAACTTGGCAATTTCAGTTTATTACTTAATCATCACAGTGGCCCTGTGTGGCTCAAAGTATTATATCCATATTATAGATGAGGTCACTGGGGCTCAGAGAGGTCCGTGATCATCCATGGTATATGATCAAACTGGGATTGGAAGCCAGGCAGTCTGAATCCTTGCGTCCACCTTTATCAGCACTGTGTGTCATTGAACAAATCTAACAGGGCTGGGGAAATTGTAAGAAGTTGTCTTATAATAGATGAGATGACACAGATATAAAAGGGGTTTTAACTTGAAGGGCTTAGAGTCCTAGAGCCCATGGGAAGTTTTTTGGTTTTTTTTTGTTGTTGTTTTCTTTCTTTCTTTCTTTCTTTCTTTCTTTCTTTCTTTCTTTCTTTTTCTTTCTTTCCTTTCTTTCTTTCTTTCTTTCTTTCTTTCTTTCTTTCTTTCTTTCTTTCTTTCTTTCTTTCTGTTTTTTTTTTCTTTTTTTTGAGATTGAGTCTCACTCTGTTGCCCAGGCTGGAGTGCAGTGGCATGATCTCAGCTCACTACAACCTCTGCCTCCTGGGTTCAAGCAATTCTCATGCCTCAGTCTCCAGAGCAGCTGGGACTACAGGCGTAAGCCACCACACCTGGCTAATTTTTGTATTTTTAGTAGTGATGGGGTTTCATCATGTTCACCAGGCTGGTCTCAAACTCCTGACCTCAGGTGATCCACCCATCTCAGCTTCCCAAAGTGCTGGGATTACAGGTATGAGCCACCACACGTGGCCCTATTTTTTTTTTTTTTTTTTTTTTTTTTTAGACAGAGTCTCACTCTGTTGCCCAGGCTGGAGTGCAGTGGCATGATCTTGGCTCGCTGCAACCTCCGCCTTCTGGGTTCAAGCAATTCTCCTGCCTCAGCCTCCTGAGTAGCTGGGATTACAGGCATGCGCCACCACACCTGGCTAATTTTTTTGTATTTTTAGTAGAGAGAGGGGTTTCACCATGTTGGCCAGGATGGTCTTGAACTCCTGACCTCAGGTGATCCACTCATCTTGGCTTCCCAAAGTGCTGGGATTACAGGCGTGAGCCACCACACCTGGCCCTATTTTTTCTTTTCTTTTTCTTTTTTCTTTTTTTTTGAGACGGAGTCTTGCTCTGTCGCCCAGGCTGGAGTGCAGTGGCATGATCTCGGCTCACCGCAGCCTCTGCCTCCCAGGTTTCAGTGATTCTCCTGCCTCAGCCTCCCAAGTAGCTGGGATTACAGACACCCGCCACCACACCCGGCTAATTTTTTTGTATTTTTAGTAGAGACGGGGTTTCACCATGTTGGCCAGTCTGGTCTCGAACTCCTGACCTCAGGTGATCTGCCTGCCTCAGCCTCCCAAAGTGCTGGGATTTCAGGCATGAGCCACTGCACCCAGACTATTTTTTCTTTTAATAGAGATGGAGTCTTACTATGTTGCCCAGGCTGGTCTTGAACTCCTGGGCTCAAGCAATTCTCCCACCTCAGCTTCCCAAAGTGGCCATAGAGGTTTGATAAGAATATCATTCCAGCAATAGGAATACAGGATGGATTAGAGCCACAAGGATGTCCGTAGGACATTTGCTAGAGTGCCTGGGCCAGGACATTTACTTAATTTTTCTCACAGAGGTGTCTGTCACCCATGGCTGATTTCTGAAATGAATCCACAAGCCAGGAACATTTGTCTAAATACTTTAATTAAATGCATTGTAATATGAAAGGCAGAGTGTAAATAAAGTGTTCATGTTTACTAAGAAAACAGACTAAGATATTCCAGGTAGCTGAACACACTTTGATAATAAAATTTGAAACAGCTTCTTGGCTTTCATTCTATTTAAAATATTTATGTAGTTAAAAAAAAAAATTGACTATTTATTTTCTATCTAAATGCAGGAAATGCTGAGACATTTTAAATGAGTAGAGATTGAACATACATAAATAAGCGTCCTGTTTCAGCTACGGAATTATAATACTTCCGAGCTGCTCCATTCATACCTCAGCAAACAACCAGTCCAATTCAATTTAGAGAAGAATGCCAGCCTCAAATTCAATTTATTTAATATTTAAGTTTTGTGAAAGTGCTGAGTTAAAGGAGTTATCTCAGCGAAATTAAAACACTGCTAATCTCAATTCAAAATCAATTTTCTTTCCAGGACAATTCTTGGGAACCTCAAGAATCTCTTGCTGTATATCATAAGGAGTATACATTCAAGAACTGATATCTAAAAGAATAAGTACATTCGTATAAAAAAGATTCCTTATAAAATAGGATCTCACAGATAAGGTGCTGTTGAAGCATTTTGCCATTTACGGAAAAGCAATGTGTTTATTAGCATATCTGAAATACTTGCTAATGGTGGAAGCATTCTCCATGCTTTGATCTTAGACTATGTGGTACAAATATACAAACAGTAAATGGAGACGAAGGAAAAATAACTGCCTAAACTCGCAGAGTTCCCCCATTTAAAAAATGTTTACCAGTGAAATGATGTCTGCACAAGATTGTTTTATTGCAGCATTATTTTTAACAGCGTAAGACTGGAAACAACGCAAATGCCCATCAATGGGAGAGTCGTTTAAATGTTATCATACATCCATACAACAAACTAGATTGCCGTCATGAAAAAATAAGCATGCTCTTTAAGGACAGGGAACAATCTCCAAAGTAAATTAAGTGAAAAATAACAGTGGCTGTAATATGTGTTACCACTTCTGTTAAAATTTAAAAGGAAGGGAAGAAGCAGTTACATATTTCCTTGTATAAGCATAAAATAACTCTGAAATGATACAGGAGAAACTGTTAATAGTGGTTGCTTCCAGAGAGGGAACCAAGGAAGCTGGGTACTGGGGTAGGATGAAGAATTTTTATTGGATGTCCTTTTGTACCCATGTAAATATGTTATTGCCTATTAAAATACATTTTTAAAGCTTTTTTTTTTAAAAAAAAAATAGGGTAAAATAATAAGGTCAATCATCACTATATTCAATGTGATGATTACCCGGATCACGTGACAAGCCATCAACTAGACAAATCTGTTTCTGACTCTGGGGTTTGGAAATGCTTAGACCAGCCTGGGGACTCCCACATTCTTTCATTTTTCCACAGTGGAAATGAATGTTGTTTTTAGTGGATGGACAAATACATACAGACATTTGCAAACCTTCAAAGGCCTCTGAGCAGCTCACATTTTCCTGTAATTTTATATAAAATGGGCAGGACCTATTGGAATTCCAGGTCCTTTATGTTCACTGTTGCAGGTGGAAACAAATGGCCTAATACTAGAATACTAGATTTTGTTTTTAATCACTCACTCCCCCAAGAGCCATTTGGTATGCAAATAAAATCCTCTTGATAAATATTCATTCCCTGAATGACCCTTTTTTCTTTTTTTTTCTTTTTTCTTTTTTTTTTTTTGTCTGAATCATAAAAGCAACATGACACGATCTGGAAAGCTTTAGGGAATGTAAGTGCTGTCATCAGCTGGGAGATTTCATTTTCTAGGATTAATTGAAGTTGCTGCCACCATCTCTACAGCGAGAGTGTCAAAAGTGAGTAACGGACTGATCCCTGCTGGCGAATGGGGTTTCTCAGGATGACAGGCAGAGGATGCTCCTACCGGGCTGTTCCTCCTGGCAGAGGCAGAAACGCTAGCAGCTCCTGGCCAGTAAGTCCATTTCCCTTCTATCTGTTCTGAGATAATGGCATTGCATTGGAATTGAATAGAGTCTGGGGAAGATAAGCACTAACTACCTTAATGGGCATCTAGCCCCCTACTGTGATTGCCCGCAAAGGAAAACCGCGTCCCAAGCTCAGCTCAGAACCATGGCAATTCTCAGCTGAACAGCTCGGGCTGCCCTCCTTTCTTTGTTTTTTTGTTTGTGTACGTTGTTGTTGTTTGCTTTTGTTTCTGCTGCTGTTTTGTAGAGATGGGGTCTCAATATGTTGCCCAGGCTGGTCTTGAACTCCTGGTCTCAAACAATCCTCCCATCTCAGCTTCCCAAACTGCTGGGATTGCAGATGTGAACCACTGTGCAGGGCTATCTTTTAGTTTTTTTGAGACAGGGTCTCACTGTGTCCAGCTCACTGCAGCCAGAAACTCCTGGGCTCAAGCCATCCTCCTGCCTCAACCTCTCCAGTAGCTGGGACTACAGGTGCACACCATCACGCCTGGCTATTGTTTTTTTGTTTGTTTTTGTTTTTGTTTGAGATGAGGTCTCGCTATGTTGCCCAGTCTGCTCTCCAACTCTTGGCCTCCAGTGATCCTCCTGCTTCGGCTTCCCAAAGCACTGGGATTATAGGCATGAGCCACCATGCCCGGCAGTGAAGTATTTTCTATCCTTGAAATGTGTTAGACAAATTCCTGAGGGGAAACCCCACACATTCAATAACACTTTACTTTTTCAGCAAAGCTTCCCATGTATTGGAGCCTCATTTTATCCCTCACCCATGAACTTTAAAAGTGGAAAATCATTTTGTTCTTAAAAAGAGGAACAGTCAGGAAAAGGTAGGGCTCTCAAATGATAGTGAGAGCTCAGGGACTCGAACACTTGATGCAACTTGTCGAGCTCAGGCCCAGCCCCGCGAGGAGCTGAGTCGGGGCTGGCGTGCTGGCGGGACGGTCAGAGCTGCAGCCACTGAGGTCACGACTACGGAAAAGCATCTTCTCTTGAGCCGTGGGGGAAGGTGGGGCGCTGGGGCGCAGGGGCGCAGCGGGCGCTGGGGACACACCTGCTGGAACTGCGCGCGGGATCCGCCTCACCCCACCTTACTCCGCCTTCTCCTCCCTTTCCTCCGGCATCTTCACCGACAGGATCTGCTCTCCCGGCTCCGGGCCCGGGCTCATGCAGATCCTCACCGAGTGCTCTTCGGGCTCGGCCGGCCCCTCCTCCTCTCCCTCCGGCCTCCCAAGGGAGGCAGGCGGTGGAGAGCTCGGTGGAGACCCCGGGGGCTCGGGGGGCGTCCGGGGCGCGGGTGGGTCGGTGGCGGCCTCCTTTGGGTGCGTGTGCTGGTCTGGGGCGGCGGAGCCTTCCTCTCCCTTGACGTCTTGCGAGCTCTTGGCCTGGAATCCAGAAAGGGTGACTCGTGAGGCACAGACTCTCGGAGGGGTCTTGGAAGGGTCTTGGACACCTCCCTGTTCCAGCCTTTTTGGACCCCCAAAGAGGGCAGCGGAACACACAGCGGGTGAAATCTAGTGGGTGGGGTGGAGCCGCATCGGGGTTATTTAGGAGAAACAAAATACATTATGGGGAAGTGTACAGATTAAAAGTCCCGGTTGGATTTCGTGGAAAGTCTTGGGATGTCTTAGATCTAGGCTGTGGGGCTGGAAGCTGGGATGAGGCTGTTGTTTCAAGTTCAGGGCCCCTCCCCCGAGCTATTGAAGCAAGCCAGGCAGTGACTCTGAGGGAGTACCCGCAAGGCCTCTGCAAAGGCTGAACCAACCATCTGTTACCAGGGGTGGGCACTCCTGGAGTGGATGAGAAAAACTCCAAGCAAACAGGGTAAAAAGTGATGAAGGGAGAGGCTGCTGGGGCTGGGCCCCCTTTCTGGGAAGTCTCAAAGGTTGAGATCCTCAGGGATACCCTGGGGCTGGGTACCCCTGCTATTGGGCTGCGCTGACCCCATGTGTGGGGACCTGATGGATACCTCCAGCCTCCAGCCTGTGCTGCCTCCCACAAACGATGGCCATGGTCTTCACATCAGTAGGGGACTGGGTAATTAAATCAAGCCTTTGCGGATACCTGTGGCCCCTCCCACTCTGCCTGACCCCATCTCTGCACGGAAGGAAACTGGAGAGGGAGCAGCCCCCAGAGGAGGCCAGGATGGTCCTCAGCTGCCCAAGACCCATGTGAAGTGGTGTTTGTGAGTTTCAAGTGAGAGCAGTCAATGTGCTTGTGCAGAGAGACCTGCGCCATTTGCTCAAGTCATAGGATATTGAAGGAAAGGAGGAATGGAGAGGGGGCAGCCAAAATGCTCCAAGAACCCAAGGCCTCTCTTGGGACATGCTTCTCCCTCTGTCTCAGTGTTTCCCTATGTTTTGGTGCCCCTGTCCCACCCTCCCCTGTCCACCCTACACTCTATTCTTTTTGTCTTCTTTCTTTCTTTCCTTCTTTCCTTCCTTCCTTCCTTTTTTCCTTCCTTCCTTCCTTCTTTCCTTCCTTCCTCTCTCTCTCTCTCTCTCTCTTTCTTTCTTTCTTTCTTTCTTTCTTTCTTTCTTAGACGGAGTCTTGCTCTGCCACCCGGGATGGAGTGCAGTGGTGTGATCTCAGCTCACTGCAACCTCTGCCTCCCAGGTTCAAGCGATTCTTCTGCCTCAGCCTCCCGAGTAGCTGGGATTACAGGTGTGTGCCATCATGCCTGGCTAAGGTTTTGTATCTTTAGTAGAGATGGGGTTTTACATGTTGGTTAGGCTGGTCTTAAACTCCTGACCTCAAGTGATCTGCCCACCTTGGCCTCCCAAAGTGCTGGGATGACAGGGGTGAGCCACCTGTGCCCAGCCCACCCTAAACTCTTGACAACACATTTCCAGGGCAGGATGCTTAGATGGTGAGCATCGTGGAACTTCCTGAAGCATGGTGCTATGGCTGGAATCAGCAGCTCATGGGAAGTTAGAAAAGTGCTTTGCTGTGTTCAACATGCTTTTCTAAAAGGCCTCCAAGGTAATCCTGCCTGATCTTTATGACCTCATGAGGCAACCCTCAGTAATCCAAGTCTCGGAAAGCTTGAGGGGCTTCCTGGGTCATGGAGCTAGTGGGTGACAGAGCTGGGATTTGGATTTGTGTCTCTGAATGTCTAGTTAAGAGCTCCCTGTACTCTGCCATTCTGCCCTGGTTGTTCTGATTTGGAAGGGAAGTGCCTTTTAATGGAACACTCATGCAAATTTAATTCCCATCTTAAAGCCCCCTTGCTGAAGAGCTACCACTTAGGAGCCACAAGCCCACCCCAGCTGAAGCTCTTGGTGTACTGGGAGCACCCTTGGAGTTCCTGTCTAGTCAGCCCTCACAGCAGCCAGCACTGAAGACCCCCACTTGCCAGCTCCACCTTGACCTTGACAGTTTGTGAGCCAGGCAATCACATCTTTCCTCAGTCTGGGGCCATTGGTGGCTGTATCTGGAGAATGTCTTGGTACCCCAAATGGCTTTGATGTCACTCACCAGACTTCTACTGTCAAACAACATCTGGATGGGTCTCCTGGACTCTGACACCAGGCTGGATTGAGACTGAGTTCACTGGGCTCCTTTGAACTCTGCTGTGTAGACTGTTAAGCCCAGTCTGCCTAACCCCAGTCCCTCTCCAGATCCCCAGCAGACTTCCTAAAGGACAGCCGTGAACAGACATAATTAATGTAATCATTCCACTTGGTATTCTTGGCTTTGGTCACAGAAAAAAGTCCCAGAACTAATTTTAATGTCCCCCATAGGTTTATGGGGGTGGGGACATTTGGCATTTTGCCTGTGTGAGAGGTTTTCACTTTCAAATTTTTATTTTTCATTTTTTGAGACAGGGTCTCACTCTGTCACCCAGGCTGGAGTGCAATGGTGCAATCATAGCTCACTGCAGTCTCGACTTCCTGGGCTCAAGTGATGCTCCCAACTCAGCCTCCCAAGTAGCTAGGACCACAGGCATGTGCCACTAAGCCTGGCTAATTAAAAAGAAAAAAAGAAAAAATTTGTAGAGACAAGTTCTCGCTATGTTGCCCAGGCTGGTCTTGAAATCCTGGCCTGAAGAGATCCTCCTGCCTTGGCCTTTCAAAGTGCTGGGATTACAAGTGTGAGCTACCATGCCTGACCCAAATATCTTAAATTGTCACAGACACAGTATTAAATATGAGGACACACTGTCTTCTGGGGCCGGACATTTGCTTCTCATACCCTCTCCTCTAACCTCTGCAACAGTATCAAGACTGCCTTTTAGAGATCCTGCTCCCAGCCTACTCTCAGTCCAGGGGCGGGTATGTGACCCAGGCCTCTTTAGAGCACCATAGTGCCCTGGCCACACCGAATGGCTCAAGAATTGGCATGTGACCCAATTCTGTCCAATGACAGTGAGTCCTGGAACTTTTGCTAGAATCCCTGGGAAAGAGGTGCTTTCTTTCTGTTGGAGTTGCTATGCCAGGAGGATGTCATCCTAGATAGAACTCTTGAGAACCTGTCTGGAGATAAAACCATCACTGAATAAAGCAGAGATGACACGATGGGAAAACTCGTCCTGTTGGCATCTTTCGGGCTTTTGGATCCAGGCTTGCCTGAACTTTTCGATTACGTGACCCCTAATTCCCGTTTTTCTCAAGCTAATTTGAGCTTGCACTCTGTCACTGGTAACCAAATGAGCCCTGACTGATAGAAAAAGGAGGGGGAAGACCCTAAAACTAAATGTGTGGCCCACTCTTGGAGACCCCTTGGCCTTCTCCCTGACACATATTGAAATGAACGTGGTGGCTGGGTTCCCAACCACATTACCTGTTCCACCAACTCTTGCTGCTTTGCAGCCGCCTCCAGCGCGGCCAGTTCTTTGAGCCGGGCCCGGAGGTGAGCAAGTTTGCCGCCTTTTGCCCCCTTGCCACCCATCTTTCCTGTCATAGCGAGGGCAGCGTTGAAGAGCTTTGGGGTGCCCGCCCGGGGTGGAAGGATCAGCACGCTCTTCTCCTCCTTGGGCTTATTGTTGCTTCTCAGCATGCGCCTGGAAGAAAGCAGCATCCATTGACATCACAGACGCACTCTGGGGGAAAAGAAAGACTCGCTTCTGCAGCCTCCTTTAAGCTGGAGCTGTGTAGTGGTGGTGATTTTGGCTGGTGATTGTAGAGAGTTTTTTCTGGGCCAAGCGTCGTGTTAAGTACTTTATGCATTGCATCTCATTGAAGGATCAGAACAACTGTAATGAGGTGGGTCTTACTGTCTGTTGTACCTTAGAGATGAGGAAAATGATGCTCAGAGAGGTTGAATAACTTGTCTGAGGTCACACAGCTACGAAATTCTTCTCTTTCCTTCCTTTCTGTCTCTCTCTCTCTCCTCTCTCTTCTGTCTTCTCTCCTCTCTCCTCTTCTCTTCCTCTCTCTCTCTGTCTCTGTCTCTGTCTCTCTCTCTCTCTCTTTCTCACAGGGTCTGGCTCTGTCGCCCAGGCAGGAGTGTAGTGGCGTGATCATGGCTTACTGCAGCCTTGACCTCCATGGCTCAAGCAATCCTCCCACCTGAGTAGCTGGAACTACAGGTATGCACCACCACAATTTTTTATCTTTTTGTAGAGACAGGGTTTCGCCATGTTGCCCAGGCTGGTCTCAAACTCCTGGGCTCAAGCGATCTACCCGCCTTGGCCTCCCAAAGTGTTGAAATTACAGGTGTGAGGCACCGCGCCTGGCCTCTTTCTTTTTTTTAACCAGCAGAAGAGTTAGGAAATCCTGAAGGACACTTTCACATAGGGAATTGGGAATAAGATGCCCAGGTGGAAAAGGAACCAAAGCTCTTTCCTTCTCCTTCTGCTTCACTGTCACCTCCCCCTCGTCACCATCACAATTATCAGCATTTACTGAGTGTCTGTATATGCCAGGCCCTCTGCTCCATCCTTTGCAGGCACCCTTCAGTGGCTCCTATTACCCCCTTCCTGGTGTTCACGCCTCTGTGTGGTCCCCTTCCCTTGAGGATGGGTGGGGTACGTGTCTTGCTTTTAAACAATCGAATACAACAAGGGCTATCACTGGTAGAATATGTCACACAGGATTGTGATCTCTGTCTTGCAAGGGGACTCTCCCTTGCTGACTTTATTTATTTTTTATTTGATTTTTATTTTAAGTAATAGAGACGGGGTCTCCCTATGTTGCTCAGGCTGGTCTTGAACTCCTGGGCTCGAGCAATCCTCCTGCCATGGCCTCGCAAAGTGCTGGGATTACAGGCACGAGCCACAGTGCCTGGCCTCCCTTGATGACTTTGATGTAGGGAGCAGCCAGCTGTGTTGGAGAAGGCCCACATGGCAAGGACCTGAGGCCAGCCACTGGCCAATTGCTAGTGGGAGCTGGGGCCCCAGTCCTACAACCCCAAGGAACTGAATTACACCAACAACCATGTGATCCTGGAAGTGGGTCCTTCCCCCATCCAGACTTGAGATGAGAGCCTGCTCTGGAAGACATCTTGATGACAATCTTGCAGAGGACCTAGCTAAGCCATGTCCGGACTTCTAACCCACAGAAACTGAGATCGCAAATGTGTGACTTTAAACAGCTAAATTTGTGGTAATACTGTTATGCTAATACATACTCTCTCATTTAAGTCTCACAACAATCCCCATAAGTAGGTCTTATTATTCATCCTCATTTCCAAATGAGGGTATAGAAGTTCAGAGGGGGTGAGTAACTTTCCCAAGGCCACACAGCTAAGAAGCGGCAAAGCTAGAATTCAAACCCACACTTCTGACCCCAGTGCCCCAGATATTAATGATTACAAAACGACATTGCATCATTATCTTCCTGGGCACTGACAAATACCCCTGTGACATGGAAAGGGCTGAGATTATTGTGCCTCTGACAGTTGGGGAAATTGAGGCTCAGAGCAGGGGGAGTGACGTGCCCAAGGTTACCAGGAAGTGGCAGAAGCAGAATTGCCACCCACATCTAATGGCATGTACCACCCTGTTTCTCTAGATAAGGGTAGATTTTCCATCAAAGAGAGCCCTAGCTTTTTACCGGCAATTTTTCACACTACAAACATGCGGTGAGCAGTTTGTCTCAAGAACAAATGAATTCTGCCTGCAACCAGCGGGCCTAGACAATGAATTGGCAAATTCATTCATCAAGGCTCCAGCAAAACTTGTTTGTTTAAAAATGAGGCCATTACTGGCTGCTTATCTAATCAGAGGCAATGGGTTTAAATTGTGCATGTTGATATTAATTGCCCAAGATTTGCATTTCTAGCTGGAGATCCCCCAGGAGAACACAAACATGATAATTCACCAGACGCCTCTGACACGCGCCAGCTCGGCACTGTCCCCCATGTTATTTGAGTCCATAATTCATGATGTGACAGCCCACAGGAAGGCTGAGGGTGCTGTGAAAATGAACTATCTTTTTCTTTCTAACAAAATAACTATGTATAGGACCTTTGCTGATTGCTACTAGCTGTCTCTGTTTGGAAACATTGAGCTAGCTTCTGGGGCATTTCCAGATTAGGGAAATTTGTCCTCATTTTCTGATGATGTATGCTTCCCTGTAACTGAGATTGAGCAATCAGCCTGGAGCAAGTGACCCACATAAGACCTCTTCATCCTCTTTTTTGGAGTGGTCAAGCCGGAGATCTCAGCACTTCACTTCTTTGGGGACCCAGGTCCCCCATCTGCAAAGCAGGGAGCTTGGACAGAATCCCACACGTGGCCCTCACCAACTCAGATGTCCCCGGGACTATGGTTCTCAGACAGTGTATCTCCCCTGATGAGCAGAGCTCATACACAATCCCCTGCCTCTCTGGTCAAGCTGGCCTGGCCAGCAAACAACCACTCTGATGACTCATGGCTGAGACCCCCATTCCCACGCCCCCCCATGTTGCTGTGAGGCCTGTTAGCCCCATTCCTTCGCCTGGCTGCCTCCCACCCACACCTCAGCCTTCTCAGTGTGGACACAGGTGCACAGGCACTGTCAGGAATGGGGGCCTCTGCACAGCTCTTGGGAGGTGCCTTTGGGGTCCCATCTGATTTGCCAAACTCTTGCCTAACCCACCCAGCAGGATGGGTAACAGCTAAAAGCATGGCTTTCCTGAGCTTTGCTCCTCCTGGTGGGGGTGGGGGCAAGAAGAGAGGGTGGGGAGACCTGGTACCAGTTTTCAGTCATAAGCAGTTGAATCTCATGATTTGTAGTAATTATGTCCTATAAGATCTCTGCGGACACTGAATTAGCAAAAATGGAAACATTGTTCCTAGGGGAAATACAAGGCTAGATTCCTACAAATCTCCCATCACAACATTCATCAACCATAATACATGAACTTGGCCAGGCGTGGTGGTTCACACACAGTCCCAGAACACTGGGAGGCCAAGGCGGGAGATTTCTTGAGCCCAGGAGTTCGAGGCTGCAGTGAGCTATGATCGTGTCACTGCACTCCAGCCTGGGTGAAAGAGCACGACCCTGTCTCTAAAATTAATAATAATAAACTTGTCTTATGTGTGTTTCTTTTTAAAGACATTATTATTATTATTATTTTGAGACAGAGTCTCACTTTGTTGCCCAGGCTGCATTACAGTGGTGTGATCTTGGCTCACTGCAACCTCTGCCTCCCAGGGTCAAGCCATTCTCCTGCCTCAGCCTCCCGGGTAGCTGGGATGATAGGTGCCCATGACCACGCCTGGCTAATTTTTGTATTTTTAGTAGAGATGGGGTTTCACCATGTTGGCCAGGCTGATCCTGAACTCCTGACCTCAGGTGATCCACCCACCTCAGCCTCCCAAAGTGCTGGGATTACAGGCATGAGCCACTGTGCCGGCTAAAGACATCTTATTAAATATAGATTATTGTTTTATTAACATTGAACGCACAGCCAACAGCACTGTAATTCATGCCTGAATGAAGCTTATCTAACACATATTTTCTGTGTAAGGCACATTGCAGACTTCTTGTGCTTAGGAACATGAGACGGCACTTCAGCACTATGCTGGGGGGCCATTTTAAACAGTGCAATCGCCAACAAAAAGCACAAAAATGCAAAAAAAAAAAAAAAAAAGAGTAGCATTAAATGGACCATAAAAAGACACCTCTTCGCAGTACAAGAGCTAAAACCACAAGACAGAACAGGGACTTCAGCGGGGAGCGTGCACTTGGGGTGACTCAAGTATTTTGCTGCTCTGGGCATGTCCTTGAATGACCACAAAAGCCTGTTAGTATTGATCTTGGCGTTGCAAGTCCATTTCAGTGAGGAGGCGAATTTGCAAATATGGAGTCCATGAATCACAAGGGTCCACTCTACCTCCCTGTCCCTGGGGAGAGGAGGCACTGGCACGCACCACTGATGTGGTGGGGAACGTGGGGAGATTTTCTGGGAGAAATTCAGATAGACTGGGTTTTGGAAGGGTCCAGTGGGTCCCTTGAGAGCAACCAGGTAAGGTGAGTTTGGGGGCAGCTTCCTTCCCCAGGGGACCTCAGTGTCTTGTGTGCATGATGCTTGGACATCAACACTACATCCTTTTACCTCGAAGCTGCCAAAGGGCTCCTGTGAAAACCTAAGGCACTTCAAGTCACTCCTCTGTGTAAAACTCTCCATGGCTCCCATCTTCCTCTGAGGTCTGACCCAATCTCTTCCCCTAGACTCCTCTGATCCCATACCAAGCTATGCTAATTTTCTTGCTGTTGTGCCACCCACACACTAAGCCTGCTCCTCCCCAGGGCCTCTGCACATGCTGTTCCCTCTTCCCAGAATGCTGTACCCAGCCATCAGTCCCCCAGCTCACTCCTTTGCTTTGTGCAGGTCTCGTTGAAATGCCACCTGCTCAGAGCAGCTTCCCCAACCAGCTTATCTCAGACAGCTCTCCGTCACTTCCCGCTCCTCCCGTGGCTTTGTGTTTCCTCGTAGCCAGACGCATCACATCATCGCTCATCTTTCCATTGCCGGTTCCCTGACTAGAATGTGAGTTTTGTTTGGTCCCTCCTGTGTCCCCAGAACTCAGCACTGTGTACTCGATACATCACTGTGCTGTAGGAATGGATGCTGGTGAGTTTCTTCCCTCTATTATGACAGCTCTCTGTGCAGTTTATTTATGGTGTCATTGTATAGAATGAAGGGGAAAATAAGAATGTGTGATACAAGACAAGGAGGAAAACCCAGATATGTGGATTAAAAAGGTTTTACCCAACTGAAAAATTATAGGGTGAATTTGATGGCTACAGAGGAACAATTGCTTATTTATCTGAGAGACAGGGTCTTGCTCTGTCACCCAGGCTGGAGTGCAGTGGCACGATCATAACTCACTGTAACCTTAAATATTTGGGCTGAAATGATCCTCCCGCCTCAGCCTCCTAAAGTGCTGGGATTACAATCATGCAGCATTGCGCCCGGCCTGAAGTGATCCTTATTAACATGCACTGAGCTCTCTTGTATGACAGGCACCCCACCGGAGACATTCCTGCACACTATTTAATTTTCACAGCAGCAGGCCAGGCACAGTGGCTCACACCTGTAATCCCAGCACTTTGGGAGGCCAAGGCGGGCAGATCGCCTGAGGTCAGAAGTCCCAGACCAGCCTGGTCAACATGGTGAAACCCCGTCTCTACTTAAAATACAAAAATTAGCCGGGTGTGGTGGCATGTGCCTGCAGTAGTCCCAGCTATTGGGGTGGCTGAGGCAGGAGAATCGAATTGTTTGAACCCAGGAGGCAGAGGTTACAGTGAGCCAGGATTGCGCCACTGCACTCCAGCCTTGGCGACAAAGCAAGACTCCATCTCAAAAAAACAAAAAAAATTTACAGCAGCAAAGTAGGGGTTATGACCTTTATTTTACATAGGAGACAACTGAGACCAGAAAAGTTAAACAACTTCCTCAAAGTCACACAGCCAGCACCTCACATGGAAGGGATCTGAGCCCCGCCAGCCTCCCAGACCTATTGTGGGGTTCCTGACACACTACGTTGCCTGTCGCTCAATTTGAAACCTGATCTTAAGGGTTTGAAAACAAAAACCGGCTTTTCTAAAAAGAATGACCTGTTCCCCAACAATGCAAAATACGGATGCACACGGTTATTCGTTGCACCACTGTTTGTAATTGCAAAATTGTGGAAATACCCTAAATGTCCATTTACAGGAATGTTCTGCCACTGTGGAAAGGAATGAGGAAGCTGACTCTGCACTGATAGACAATGATTTCCGGGTTTTGTCGTCATGTGGAAACAAAGCAAAGTACAAGAATCTACAGCATGCCATATTTTGTGTAAGAAAGAAGAAGAAATAAGAAAATGTTTGGGCTGGGTGTGGTGGCTCACACCTGTAATCCCAGAATTTTGGGAGGCAGAAGCGGGCAGATCACCTGAGGTGAGAAGTTCGAGACAAGCCTGGCCAACGTGGCAAAGCCCCATCTCTACTAAAAATACAAAAATTAGCTGGGAATGGTGGCAGATGCCTGTAATCCCAGCTACTCAGGAGGCTGAGGCAGGAGAATCACCTGAACCCGGGAGGTGGAGGTTGCAGTGAGCCAAGACCTAACCACTGCACTCCAGCCCAGGCTACAGAATGAGACTTCATCTCAAAAAAGAAAAAAAGAAAATGTCTGTGGACTTGTCCATTTTCGCAAAAGTAAGCAGAGGAAAGAAAAGGCAGAAATTGATGCAACGAGCCACGTAATAATGGGAGTTGCAGTCAGGGGGCAATGGGGACAGGGAGAGTTGGGACGCTTTTCTGAGTGCCCCATTTTGCAGAGTGTTGACCTTCAGGAACATGTTAATGTTCTACATACTGAAAACAAGAAAAAGTCAACAAAGATCAGGGTGGCAGGAGCCCTAAATGGAATGTAAACTGAAACAAGTGAACCTACCTGTATTTCAAATGAATAAAGTAACCACATTAAAGGGTAGTGGAGGAAGAGAACGACTCCAGATAACTTTGAACGTAACACTTCCATCATATATACTCGGGCTAAACACAAAAGAACTGCATCCAGTACTGAACTCTACCTAGAAGCCTTACTTTTTGTTTTTACAGTGACATGGGCTGGAAATTCTGAAATGAACTTCCCTGTATTGCTCAGTGTTGGAGAAGAGATTTACAAGTATGAAAAGGGAGAATATTAGAATGAATTCTAATATGTGGTGGCAGGGCACGGTGGCTCACACCTGTAATCCCAGCAACTCTGGGAAGCCAAGGCAGGCAGATCACCTGAGGTCAGGAGTTTGAGACCAGTCTAGCCAACATGGTGAAACCCCATCTCTGCTGAAAATACAAAAATTAGCCAGGTGTGGTGGCACATGCCTGTAATTCCAGCAGAGGTTGCAGTGAGCTGAGATGGCGCCACTGCACTCCAGCCTGGGTGACAAGAGTGAAACTCCGTCTCAAAAAAAAAAAGAATGAATTCTGTGGTGCTGGATTGAAATTGTTTTATAGATAATCAGTAGAATAGACAGAAAAATTTAAGTTGGCATATACATGTATATGTGTGTGTATGTATTTTATATATACATAATATATTATATATGTATTTTTTATATATATATATATATTTGTACTTATACATCTTGGTGTGTATGTGGGTGTGTTTCTTGGTTCTGTCTGCTGCAGAGGCCTAGTAGCACTCCAGTAGCAATGACTGCTCCTAGGACTCAGATCGTGGTTTCTAAAAACCATCCCCCAGTAAAAGGAATCAAGGCTCCTTGGAGAAATGGCCATTTCCAGGATACTGCAAGGGAAGTACAAGATGAACCAGGGCATCTGGTTGTGGCTTACTGCTCCTTGAGTAAGCAAGGAAGTGCTAAAATATGACAGGGA